>NC_000014.9:68096561-68399591 GCF_000001405.40 Homo sapiens
TATTCTTTCTGTGGTTGAGCTTTCATTGAGGAGCCCACCTAGTACACCACATCCCATCGTTTTTGAGAGGACTTACAGATGAAATTCTTCTCAGATCTCAAGGTCAGGAAACAACGATTCATGTTTTTAAAATGCTTATTATGAATCTTATATTTGATTGTATTTTCCTCTTTACTTTGGTTGCCAGGAAGGCTAGAGCCAAATTTGCAAGATCATCTCTAATAGCTGCAAAGGAATAAATGATATGTGTGTGTGTGTGCCAGTCTTACTCCTGGCATTATTTTCTTATCTATGTTCCTGTTTGATTTCATCTTTCTTAATTATTTATTTTGTCAGTAATGAATGAATTGTCATAAACTGCCAAAAATCATTATGCTGGTGATGGATGCAAATATATAAATAACATGTGTAAGGACAATTAAGCTTTCCTGACTTGATAGTTAAATCTCATTCCTCCTAGAAGTATCACATGTATACATCCATCTTCCTCATTTGTTTTTCTCCTTTATTTTACTTCCTACACATTTTCAGTTGTTTATTATGGATTTCTCTCTTGATGAATGCATTCATACAATTTTAGAATTGTTGAGTATCAATATAAAAAGCTATTTTTTCTGAAAATTAGTCTCCTTATAATTTGTATTTTTCTTAAGTTCATATTTTTTAGTAAAAGTGTAAATTTCATAATTTTTATTAAAACATTTGCCTCCCTAAAGAAATTTAACTATTTTGGTTTTTTTTTTAATCTGAGAATAGGAGTAGGGAAATTTGGAGTCTCTAAGGCATGCCATGTAGAAGTTTTTGAACATTTATATAGAATGGATTGACTTTTTCTGCTTGTTCTTCTGTCTGTTGCCTAGTAGATGTCTCTAACTGGATATTCAAATGACACTTCAGACCATCTGAAACTTCACGTATTATTTCCCTCCCAAGTAAACTAGTCACCCAAACCATATACACAACAGTCAGACTCATTTGCTCACAGCTTTAAAGCAGGTTCTTTTCCATTTCCACTGCTATTACCTATTCCAAGTGCCTTGCACAACTTTGCCTAAGGAGACACTAAGAATTCTTCATTGAAGAGATGAAGAAATGAATGAATACAGGGATGAGTTTTCTTCATTTCATTGCTTCTGTCTAGACCACTGGAAAAACGTATCTTCCTTTATTCTGACCTCTTCTAATTCATGTTCTACAAAGTTATCAAAATGTTATTCTTAAAATGCAAATCATTCTTAAAATGATATACAAACACACATCATTCCAGGATTCATTTAGTTTAGTGCCAAGGCCTTTCATGCTAAGTTCCCTGCATCTTTCTGGTCTTACCTCCCACCATGTCTCTTTACTGACTTTGTTGCATCATCACGTGGCTGCATACTCCATTTCCTCCCATGTGCTGTTCATTCTGCAGAACATCTCACTGAAGCTTTACCTGGAGAACTCTACTCACTTTGCCTGTCGGATTCAGATGTCTTTCCTACTTGTTCTCATAGACATTTATGTACAGTCTCGTGACTCTTTTCATATTAAACTGTTATCATGACTGACTTACTTATCTAGGGGCTTTCTCTTAATCAACACAGGTTCTTTATTCCTGGATGGTATCCAACATTCCCTGAATAACCAGTGATTGTTTATTGGCTGTTTGACTGAATATAGAATAGAATAAGTCTGTAGCTTATAGTCCATTCTAACCACTCATTCTTTTCATAACTTTTATTGAGTGCTTACTATGTGCCAGCTTTTGTTTAAGAGATTGGCAATACTATAGTGAACAAAATAGTACCTGCCCAGGCAATTAAAAAGTAAGCAATTAGACATACAATGTTGGGTAGCATTATGTGTATATTAATCCAGTTTCACTCTGCTGATAAAGACATACCTGAGACTGGGTAGAAAAAGAGGTTTAATTGGACTTACAGTTCTGCATGGCTCGGGAGGCCTAAGAACCATGGTGGGAGATGAAAGGCACTTCTTACATGGCAGTGGCAAGAGGAAAAACGAGGATGATGCAAAAGTGGAAACCCCTGATAAACCCATCAGATCTCGTGAGACTTATTCACTACCATGAGAACAGTATGGGGGAAACTGCCCCAATGGATTCAGATTATCTCCCACCAGGTCCCTCCCACAACACATGGGAATTATGGGAGTACAATTCAAGATGAGATTTGGGTGGGGATACAGAGCTAAACCATATCACAGTGTTAGGAAGAAAATAAAGAGGGATAAGGAAATTCTAGAGCATATGCTCAAGCAAGGCATATCTAAAGAGGGAGCCTTTGAGCAGAGACCTGAATGCAATGAGAGACAAGTTGTGTCCATGGCGGTGTTGCTGGGGAGGTGGTTCTGGGCAGAGAGAACAGCATTTCTGTGCTCCTATTATGTACCAGGCTCTGTTCTAGGGGTTCTGGAGACAGCAATGGAGAAGGTTGTTAAACATCAGCATTGTTTATTATTTAACCATGCAGTCTGTTCTTTTTCAATATTATGTCATAGTTCAAAACTCCTCCTTTCTTTAATTGCTAGGTTTAACGAAGTTGAAAAACCCTAACTTGGGAAAGTCTCTTTGTTCTCCCCAGCTGCTAATCACTTCCTACTCTTTGTTGTGGAAGAGAACACATAAAGTCTTATTATTTAGAGGCCCCTAACAGAATAGGATACTGGTCCTGGGGACAGATCCCCAACTATCTGAATTTAATCATGATGCTCAGGGATGTGTGAAAGTGTCTTAGGTGTTCATGTCTTTGACGTTTGACCTAGGTTATAGATGTCTGTGAAATTCTGTCACCATAATTAGATATAGATACTACTGATTTCCTTTTCCCAGTCTTCCAACCCAGCCTATGACCCTGAGTAAAACCTTCTTAAATTCTTTTACTTCAGTAGCACACAAAAAATCATAATTTTGGATCCTGTTCCTTGCTCTGTCACCTGCTTGCTGCAGTTAAGTCTGCTCTGTGGCAGTTTTCCATTTGCAAGCAGGGCACCCTTCCAGTTAAGTTGTAAAATTTTATGTTTAAGTAAGCCCCTGTGCCCTTGAAGAATAGGAGCTACAGGAATGTAGAGTCCAAAGAGAAAAAAAAAGAAAGAGCATTCCTAAGAAAACTGTGTAAATTTGCAAATTCGTTTTCTTCTGGTGGCAGCTGACAGGTGGAATGACAACCCAACCAAGTAACACTAGGCCCTTGTGATAGGAGGGAACTTAATGCTGCGGTTGTTCTGCTTAGATGGAATTGTGTGGGGCTGTGCCAATGCCTGTATTGAGAAAGCCCAGTCGAGCAGAAGAGTTTTTGGTTTCTGCATTTAGAACTGCCGAACAACTGAGGAAAACCGATTAAATCTGGAAGGTGGCAGCTCACTTGACAGGCTTCTCCAGGCACCTTTGAGGAGAATCAAAGATAAATAAACACATTTTATGAGAGGAGTATGGGGTGAGAGGGAGTGTTTGGACAAGAGTTAAAATTTCAAAGGGAGGGGGAAGTTCTTTTTGACTTTTCTCCTGATTAGACTCTTGCCTCATGTCTTTGTTAATGTACAAATTAGAGTTTGTCCCTGTCTACATGGGTAAGCTTGATGGGAAAGGAAGAAGATAGAAGTATATTTTCAAAGACCTCAACTATAGAAGGTAGAAGGAAACTGATCAAATATGAATTTCTTTATTAGAAAAAAGTGGCTTTAAAAACTATTTTATAAGTCATATTGGATACTCATGTGCCTGTGGAACATGCAAAAACTCTGGCCTGTTGCACAGAGGTTTGATTTTGAAACTGTCTAATTTTATTTATTTAAATTTTTTTAGAGACAGGGTCTCACTGTGTTGCCCAGGCTCTTGAACTCCTGATCTCAAGCAATCCTCCTGTCTCAGCCTCCCAAAGTGCTGAGATTACAAGCATGAGCCACTGCACGTGGCCCAAAGTCTGTAATTTTTTTCAGTAAAGATTGATGGACTTTCATTACGGCCTGGTCTAGTGTGCAGTGAGTTGCCTTGAGGTCAGGTAGTACTTGACACCCCTTATTTACTGGGTATGGACCCTGTTCTCTCATCCTTCCATTGTGCTTTACTCTTTTTTTCTCCGTGAACAATTTTTACTTGAGCTTGACTTACCTCAAAGGGGCTATGAATATTGAATTGGCTAAAAATAATTCATAACATTCTAGATATATGGAGCCTTAGAGATCATTGCCCTCTTCCCCATTTTGCAAAGAGTAAATAAAGTGAAGCCCAAAAGTGTTAAATTGCTGCTGGCCTAGGGGCATTCAGCTACCAAATATGTATGCAGGAACTCCACCCAGATCCTGACCACACTATTAGTCTGTTCTCACCTGCTAATGAAGACATACCTGAGACTGGTAATTTATAAAGGAAAGAGGTTTAATTGACTCACAGTTCTGCAGGGCTGTGGAGGCCTCAGGAAACTTACAGTCATGGCAGAAGGGGAAGCAAATATGTCCTTCTTCACATGGTGGCAGGAGAGAGAAGAATGAGCTAAATGGGGAAAAGCCCCTTATAAAACCATCAGATCTCGTGACAACTCACTCAGTATCACAAGAACAGCAGCATGTTGTAACCACCTCCAAGATTCAATTACCTCCCACCAGGTCCCTCTCATGACACATGGGGATAAGGGGAACTGTAATTCAAGGTAAGATTTGGGTGGGGCACGGCCAAAACTTTATCATTCCACCCCTGGCCCTTCCCAAATCTCATGCCCTCATACTTCAAAACATAATCATGCCATTCCAAAAGTCTGGCAAAGTCTTAACTCATTCCAGCATTAACTCAAAAGTCCAAGTCCAAAGTCTCATCCGAGACAAAGTAAGTCCCTTCTGCCTAAGCCTGTAAAATCAAAAACAAGTTAGTTACTCCTAGATACAGTGGGGGTACAGGCATTGGGTAAATACACCCATTCCAGATGGGAGAAATTGGCTAAAATAAAGGGGCTACAGGCCCCATGCAAGTCCAAAATCCAGTAAGACAGTCAAATCTTAAAGTTCCGAAATGATCTCCTTTGACTCCGTGTCTCATGTCTAGGTCACACTGATGCAAGAGGTGGGCTTCCATGGCCTTGGGCAGCTCCACCCCTGTGGCTTTACAGGGTACAGCCTCCCTCCCAGGTGTTTTCACAGGCTGGTGTTGAGTGTCTGTGGCTTTTCCAGGTGCACGGTGCAAGCTGTCAGTGGATCTGCCTTTCTCAGGTCTGGAGGACAGTGGCCCTCTTCTCACAGCTCCACCAGGCAGTGCCCCAGTAGGGACTCTCTGAGGGGGCTCCAACCCGACATTTCCCTTCTGCACTGCCCTAGCAGAGGTTCTTTATGAGGGCTCCACCTCTACATTAGACTTCTGCCTGGACATCCAAGTGTTTCCATACATCCTCTGAAATCTAAGTGGAGGTTCCCAAACCCCAATTCTTGTCTTCTGTGCATCCATAGGTCCAACACCACATGGAAGCTGCCAAGGCTTGGGACTTGCACTCTCTGAAGCAATGGCCTGAAATGTACCTTGGCCCCTTTTAACCATGGCTGGAACGAAGCAGCTGGGACACAGGGCACCATGTCCCAAGGCTGCATAGAGCAAGGAGGCCCTGGGCTTGGTCCACAAAACCATTTTTCCCTCCTAGGCCTCTGGGCCTGTGATGGGTGGGGCTGCCATGAAGACCTCTGACATGCCCTGGAGACATTTTCTCCATTGTCTTGGCAAGTAACATTTGACTCCTTGCTACTTAAGCAAATTTCTGTAGTCTGCTTGAATTTCTCCTCAGAAAATGGGTTTTTCTTTTCTATTGCAATTTTTTAAAACTTTATGCTTTGCATCCTTTTTAAACATAGATTCCAATGCCAAACCATCTCTCTCAAGTTCAGGGTTCCCCAGATCTCTAGGGCAGGGGCAAAATTCCACCAGTCTGTTTTCTAAAGCATAACAAGAGTCAACTTTGCTCCATTTCCCAAAAGTTCCTCATCTTTGTCTGAGACCACCTCTACCTGGACTTCATTGTCCATATCACTATCAGCATTTTGGTCAAAGCCATTCAACAAGTCTCTAGGAAGTTTCAAACTTTCCCACATCTTCCTGTCTTCTGAGCCCTCTAAGTCTCTAGGAAGTTCCAAAATATCCTACGTTTTTCTTTCTTCTTCTGAGCCCTCCAAACTGTTCCAAACCCTGCTTGTTACCACTTCCAAAGTTGCTTCCACATTCTTGGGTATCCTTATAGCAGCACCCCACTCTACTGGTACCAGTTTACTATATTAGTCTGTTCTTATGCTGCTAATAAAGACACACCCAAGAGTGGGTAATTTATGAAGGAAAGAGGTTTAGTTGACTCACAGTTCCACAGGGCTGTGGAGGCCTCAGGAAATCATGACAGAAGGGGAAGCAAACATGTCCTTCTTCACATGGCAGCAGAAGAGACAAGAATGAACAAAATGAGGAAAAAGCCCCTTATAAAACCATCAGATCATGTGAGAACTCACTATCAGAAGAACAGCATGGGGGTAACCACCCCCATGATGCAGTTACCTCCCACTGGGTCCCTCCCATGACACATGGGGATTATGTGAACTACAAGAAAAGATTTGGGTGGGCACACAGCCAAACCAGTCAACCCCCACACCAATGCATGTCTTTTGAGTTGCTTAGAGCTCAATATTGCATAAGTGGACTATAGCAGTTTACTTTATTGACTTATAAAACATAATTAATAAAATAATTAAATGTATTCCCTGTATAATTCAAAACCTCAGGAGTTATCATAATAGTTTCAATCTCTTTTTCTATCATACCTCTTATGAGAAACTAGAAAATAAATTACCACTTTGAGTTTCAGTTTGTGTTTATTTTCTTGCCATGAAGAGTATGATGATAAAAAAACATAAAATGAAGTGGCCCAGAGGCAGGCAACCAGAAGGTGAGGAACAAAACCAAAAGTAATAGATTATTAGATGCCAGTAACTAAGATTCTAAATTATTACTCTTACGAATATAGTGTGGGTTGCTTTAACTATTTCGTTATAATGTTTATGTCTGCACCCATTTCTCATTTCTTTTTCCTAGTGTGCAAAGTTAATTTAAAGTGTTAGTACAAATTGAGGAAGGGAAGTCTCTCCAGATTTCATTAGAGGATAGACTGAATAAGAACATGTCCTACCCGCAAGGACAAAGGAGAAGAAAATATATTCTTGACTGTTTCAGACCACTTCAGATAAGGAGGAGACAATTTAAAAAATTAATTTAAAAAAACACATTAGGATCAAATAACCCCTCCAAAGAAAGGTGTTCTATGGATGAGAAATGTAATTACTGCTGTAAAAATGTAGGGAATTTTGCACGTTTAATATAGTTTGTCTCCTATTAGAAGCACTAGTTGGCATTTTTCAGTATTAGGGTTGTGGCTTGCCAGGCCCACCCTCCTGCTGTGTTTGTTTCAGGGAATAGAACTTACCCAGTCGCAGGTTTCAGAAGAGCTGAGGTAACCTCCTTCAATGTGACACAAGTACTGTTTATGTTGGAGACAAATCCCAGAAACTCAAGGTAACAACGTACACAGAGTGAGAGAGTATATGCAAGAGATTTTTATTTGGCATTTTTACTGCTAACAGTCTACAGAAGTTTTAGTATTTAGTGCCAGTTCAGGCTTAAGGGGTAGTTTCTATTTCTGTGTGATTTTGAAAGGTTTAAAGAATCAGCAAATTATTATATAATAGATAATAAAGAATAAAGATTCTGGCTTCTATGGAAGCTTGCAAAGATATGAGGGAGGGCAAACAACTGCTTCTACGTGTTTTGTTTTGTTTTAAGAACTCAAAAAAGCATGGTAGGTTCTTTGAGCAAGGCCTTAGTTGTCAAAAGTTTCTGAAGCCCTCAAACCAATAAATAGTATTATTACTAATTAAAAGAGCAGATAAACTGAGAAACAAAGCACTTAGACCTAGGGTGACATGGTGAGACCAAAACTGAATTCTGTGTCTTAAAATTCAGTTATCTAATCTCCCCACTTCATTGCATATTCTACTAGCAGTCATTCAGTAAAGTACCTTTCATCACTGCAGGAGTCTCTCTGAACACAGTGGCTTTGGAATAGGGTTATCTCCAGACATTGTTGACATCATGTCTCTGCTCACATACCAATTGAGTGAATATTGGCCCACATGATTCTTGTAAGTGGATTACAAGAAATCCACGATAGACTTCATTCACTTTTGATGAAACCAAGAACTTTCCCTCTTGAGCTACCTAATGAGATACTGTTATTTGTTTATTATGCAGGGTACAGGTTGGGGCTTGTTAGCTCTCTGAATTCTTAAGCACTCAACTGAGGAAATCAAATGCATGATTTTACTATGCCTGCACAGGAGTTGGAGAAATTCATAAAGTTTATACTTTACTAGTTTTCTTAAGAATACAGATGTAAATAGGCTGTTAAGTCTGCCCAGGCAGAACTGTTGTTTCAGATGAAACTTAATGACCACACCCTCCCACCCCAATGGAGATTGAAACAGTTGGAGAAACTTTAGTTTGAAAAATATTTACTTTAAACTAAACTCCAGGAATCTTTTTTTTTTTTTTCCCCTTGGTGAGAAAGATATTCTCAGGTCTATTCGGAGATAGCAATATCTTTAAAATCATGCAAGAAACAAAATTTCGGAGCTTCTCAGTGGTTAGGAATAGCTTCGGACAATTTACCTAATTGGGCTTCAGTTTCCTGACCTGTATAAAACAAGAGGATTGGTAAATGCTCTCCAACATTGCTTGAAGCTCCTAGGTTCTCTGGTTACTTTGTTATCGTCATAAAATGATAATTTAAAAATTGATGTATATGCATGATTTTATGTATGTATGTTATATATGTATGATTGATTATACTTGCCTATGTATGGAAAATTTCAGGTTGTTAATAAGAAACTCGTTTCTTTTGGAGAGGAGGACTATGGGCCTGGGGGTCAGGATGGGAGAATTTTGCATTATTTTATACTTTCTGTTTGCTTGTTTTTTACTAAGTATGCATTGTTTAAAGATTTTAAAAATAGATTGGTTTTGTTATTATTTTAAAAGGATGAAAGGAAGACTTTCAAATTATTGTAAAATCTATACCCAGGATAATAATAATTGGAATTTCATTTCAGACTCCAAGTTTAAAGTATTTGTAATTATAAGTAGACTTTTGCTTTTATTATAGTAAGAAAAGTCTTTTAAATTCTCTTCTTCAATGAAAGCAACCACTTTTGTTTGGTGAAACAAGCAGCATTTACAAGCACAGAAACAAGGTTTAGCAATATTAGTGACAGGATTATATACCTTCTATTTATTGGGTCCTCTAAAAGATCATCTTCCTTTGATTTGCAACTATGGGAATGAAATAGAAGTGGGAAAAATTAGCTTTTAAACCAATTAGTTAGTAATGACTAGTGCCAAGTTTAAAGTGTTTCAGAGTGTTATTGCGGTGTTTTAAATGTAAAACACTAGCTCCCTCTTAATCTTTTTAGAAGATAAAACTGCAGGAAATGAAAAAGTGGTCAGTTGAAACAGCAGAAGGCATTTTAGAGGCTGCATATAGTAACTGGACTTGGATTTTGGTTTGAGCATTCGTTTTGTTCTATTTTCCTATTTTTACAAATATTTGTATTAGGTTTTGAGAAACTATAAGAACCCAGAAACTAGATGTTTCTAGCTTGACATATTTGTGGGGTTCTTTTTATTTTTATCATTTCTACTTTTGTTTCTTACTTAAAAAAATGAACTTAAGGAAATATACAGAAAAAATAACTCAACAATCATTTTCATTTAAAAAAAATTAGAGTACTTTCTAGCATGGTTAATATATCATTATAATCAATATGAAGTAGATGTGGTAGGTTTTTTTATTTCCAGTTGTTCTGTCAAACCTTGAACATTTTGCCCTATCTGGCACAATGTTTTCTAGCCTTTTCCATATTCAACAATGTCAAGTAAGTAAAAGTTAATTTAAAATGAACTTCAGTGTTTGTGTCACATTGGAGTTGTTAAAGTTCTCCTTTGTTCTTTCCAGGTTTGCATTGCCTCTGGCTAAATTTATTTGTATTTCCATTCCATGCAGGGTATGGTAGCACTGTGATTCAGCTTACTTAGTACTTCATTGGAACGTTGGGTTATTTATGCTAAAGTCAATAATCTCATAGTGATGATGATGATGATAACCATTGCTGTCACTTATTGAGTCCTTACTTTTGGTAGATACTACATTAGACTTTTAAAAAACTCATTTAATGGGTATTCATTGAACACCTTTTATGCCCCAGGCATTGATTTAGGAGCCAAATACATAATAGTTAACAAGACAAAGTCCTGGCCCATAAATATATTGTTTCTAATCCACATAAAACCTTGCAAGGCAGGTATTGTCTTAATTTTATAGATGAGAAAACTGAGGCTACAGAAGGAGAACAAAGTTTTCAGCATTTTATAGCCTGTGAGTGACCAGTCTATTTAATTCCAGTCTGTACTTTGCTCTGTTCTCCTGCCTCAAGATAGATCAGTATTATTTCCCTCTTCATTAAGATGTTTATAAACATTCAGGACTGGTATAAACATGCTTGGCTATGACACAGTTAAGCTGACAGGGATATAGGATGTGAAGTCTATAAACAATTATTCCTTTTTTACCTTAGTGCTCCATGAGAGCTAGAAGAGACGCTAAAACCTAGTACTTTTCACATCAAAAAACGTAAAATACTAAGGAATAAATTGAACCCCCAAAAGTATAAGATTTGCACACTGAAAATTATAAAACATTGTTGAAAGAAATTAAAGAAGCCTAAATAAATGGAAAGATGTCATATATTCATGAATCAGGAGACTTAATATTGTTAAGATGGAAATACTATCTACGTGGATCTACATAGTCAACAAAATTCCTATCAAAACCTTAACCAATACTAAAATTCACTGGGATCCAGAATAGCCATAACAATCTTCAAACAATCTTTTAAAGAAGAAGAAAGTTGGAAGACTCATATTTTCCAGTTTTAATACTCAGTATAAAACTATAGTAATCCAAACAGTGTGGTCCTAGCATAGGATAAAAATACAGATCCATGAATTATAAATGAGAGTTGGGAAGTAAACTTTTTCATTTTTGATTAATTGAATTTTTACAAGGGTGCCAAGACAATTCACTGGAGAGTAGTCTCTTCAACACATAATACTGGGACAATTTACAGCCACATACAAAAGAACGAAGTTGAATTGGTACTTTACAGAACACATCAAATGGATCAGACACCTAAATGTATGATCTAAAACTATAAAACTCTTAGAAAGAGGCCATAGAGCACAATCTTTGTGACCTTGAAAGACAGTCCACAGAAAAGAAGAAAGTAATTGCAAATCTTACATATGATAAGGGTCTAGTATCCAGAAAATATGGAGAACCCTTATAATATACCAATAGAAAGACAAATAATTAAAAGTAGATTAATAATTTTAATAGATTTTTTCCAAAGATGATGTGCAAATGGCCAATAAGCACATGAAAATATGCTCAACAGCATCAGTCATTGATGGAATACAAGTCAAAACCATAATAAGATACCACTTTTTACCACTAGGATGGCTATGATAAAAAAGATAGACAATAACAAGTGTTGGTAAGAATATAAAAAAAATGGGAACTCACATTCCTCAAAAAGTTAAACATAGAGTTACCATAGGACCTGGCAATTCCACACCTAGGTATATACCCAAGAGAACTGAAAATATGTTTACACAAAACTTTGTACATAAATATCCATAGCAGCATTATTCATAATAGTCAGAAAGTGGAAACACCTAAATGTCTCTCAACTGATGAATGGATAAACAAAATGTGGTATATTTGTACAGTGAAATATTATTTAGTAATGAAAGGAATAAAGTAGTGATACATGCGTCAACATGGATGAACGTTCTGTTAAGTGACAGAGGCTAATCACAAATAGCTAGATGTTGTATAATTCCTTTTATACAAAATGTTCAGAATAGGCAAATTCATAGAGACAGAAGAGAGATAAGAGATTGCCAGGATCTAGAGAGAGGCAGGAATGGGAAGGGACAGTGACTACTAATGAGTATCGGGTTTCTTTTCAGAGTAATGAAAATGTTCTGGAATTAGATATTGGTGATGGTTATAAAACTCTGTGAGCACTCTAAAAACACTGAATTATATACTTTAAAAGGGCGAATTTTATGATATGTGAGTAATATCTCAATAAAATTGTTACGTATATATTTTTTAAACCTATTAATTTGGCTTCGGTGGTTTGGATTTAGTCCACCACTTCAATTATCTGTTTGTGTCTGGGTTATTGCAATTCAAGTACAATATAGTCTCAACCTTTATTGTCTATGAGGATCTTCAATTTTCATTATTTTATCAATCTGCTTGTCTATTGCCTTACTTTATACCAGCTAGACTTATTATATACAGGCAAAAACTGATACAGAGCAATATGATATATTTTCTTCTTGATTCCTTTTTTAAAAACTTAATGTTATATTACTTTTCAAACCAAGAGTGGCATATTGTTGTAATTATATCATTAAAAAATGTGTTTATTTTCAAGAGTATGGATTTGATTTAGAAACTGCTTTTCCTGCATTCTCTATTATTCATGGCATTTGATGACCACACACTTGAAGTGCTCCCTGGCCAGAGCGTAAGAGTCTTGGGGGTGGGGTCAGTATAGAAATGATTAATGGTTTGTTAAAATGCAGGCAAGTTGAATATGACTTTTATAATGTGGCTGTGAGACCAGCTTATGGTATGAATTCATACATGTCTCTCTCTTTTGTAAACATGTTATCGAAGTAGGTTTTATTTCTTGAATGCTCTGGCCTGGTGCTAATGAGATGTGTGAGTGTCCTACCCAAAGCATTATGTAACAGGAAGCAAAGTTTTCTGAGGGAAATAAGAAGCTTACTAGAAAGAGAAGATAAAATCTTTGCTGGGGAATGGTTCTTTTCCATTAGCATTCCCAGTGCATTTCTCCAGAAGTGTGCCTAGGAATCCTCTGCTGTAGTTGCTAGATAATATTCCCTCTTTTTCAGGGTGATTGGAGAAAGAAAGCAGTTATTTGGGGCCTGGAGTATATAGATAGCAAGGAGCCATGGTTCTGAATGTGGTGATTGGCCCAGGCATTCTTGCTAGTGATGGAAATAGAGGGCTGAACAGGAAAGAGTGGGCAGCAGTACTTGATAACATGAGGCACTGGTAATACCAACTTCATGTCTGGTCTTCCCATTTAAAATGGATTATATTTTAGCCTCTCGTCAGATTGAATGCTAAGTATCCCTACAGTCAATGCCTGCAAAATCTTTGGCGTACTTACTTCAACCAAAACTTAAACTCAAAGAGGAATATAGTGTAAACTTTGGTTTAACTGAACATAGAAAGATCACACAGAGAGCCCTGGTTTTATTGCTTGGAAACATGATGAGATGTAAGTACTGTCAATAGATTGGAGACTCTAGGCCCAAATTTCACTGAAGTTCATAAATGTCTGCTAATTTCAGGGACCATCATACTTAGGAGCTAGTATACTAAGAAATTGGAAAGTAAGTTTAACATGTCTTTTGTGAAAGGTGGAAATTTAAGATAGGGACACAGCTGTCTGCAAGGGACAGTAGGCTTGTTTTTTGAGGCACTCTGTGGCATTCAAGATCCTAGGGGATTTGAAACTCAGAGAATGGTACAGTGAACATAAGAGGGGTGGAAAAAAGTGGAGGATGAAGTGGTTATCTGTGTCAAAAGGAACTGAAAGGTGTTCATACTGTTCCACAATCCCCTCTTCTTACCATTATTAGTTAGGTAAAGAGACAAAACTGAATGGCTTCCCTTTCTCCATCTGTCTCAAGATTGTTTCCTGCCTTGGTTGAAAGGAAAAGAGGGAGGGAGCAAAGTGGCATTACTTACTTTGGTCTCTCTTTTTAGATCTTTGGGTCCCAAAAGTCTTATTGGTGAGAATATCTGGTTTCATAAGCAGAAGTGGGAAAAATAATTATTACTACTTATTGAACATAAGAACTGTGCTAAACACCCTAATAACATTATTTAATCCGTACAACTTTTTTGTATAAGCATTTATCTATAAGTTAATACATGTGAAGCACTTAGAACTTAGAATGAGAGCCCATTAAATGTTAATACCCATTTTGGAGATAAGAGAACTATACCTTAGCATTGGTAGAATTTTAATACATGATTGTTAAACTCAAAAGCCCATGATCTATTATGCGATACTGTGGCTCTCTTCCTTAAGAACTCAGCTTCCTTTACAAAAATCTTCCCTGATATTCTCCTCTATATGCATTTAGAATCATACCTGTTTTTCAATTCTATATTTTGACTAATTCCAGGTTGTCAGTCCTAAATCCTCTTACTCTCCCTGCACTTATCCCTGAGGAAGTTCATTCTTCAGATTATCAAGGTCTGGACCAAATTTATTTAGTGAGAATGTGGAATTTTTCTTACAAGATTTTAAAATGACAAGTAAGATAATTACATGAAAGGATCTGTCTAGGCTCTTTTTGCATTGTAGGGGGTGGACCAAGTAACCTTTGGATCACTTCCACTTGTATAATTCACCATTTCGGCAGGACAGTAACATTTCAGGCCAAAGTTCAACTTTTTTTTATTATTAAATTCTTTTATTGTCGCCAGGAAACTAGAGAAAATGAATTCTTCACAGTATGCTTGTGCATGCAACTTGAAACGGTTTGCACACTAAATGAAATTAAATGAAAGACAGCTGTTTGAGAAAGAGCTGTCAGAAACTGATTGGGTTCTATTAGAGAAGAATAGAGGCCAGGAATAAGTTTTCAGAAACAGGATATCAGTGGTTTTAAAAGCAAGCAAATTTATACACACAAAAGCTCTCATGTGGTTGTGCTGTTACATGTCTTTTCAGTTCATCCATCTTAAATTATTTGCTTTTGGTGAGTAGGTGTCTGCTTTCAAGGCTTTCTTTCACATATTGAATGTGTGACAGTTCTCTCTTTTCTGAGAAGTAAATACAACACAACCCCACTACAATACCATCCTACGTACTTTGGTTTTGGGTAAACTGAAAATCCAGTAATGTTCACCAAACTACTTCCTTTGTCCAGTACCTCTCTGTTCCTGCCAAAATACAAAGGGAAAGGACCATCTTGGGCAGGTTGCCAGAAGTGCCACCTGGGTCTCCTGAAATGGCTGTCAGCAAGAAGGGAGCAATTACATCCCATAACAGACTCAAAGCAGATGGTCACCTGCGGTGATAAGTATTACATTATTAAGCCTTTGATTTGTGATTGTACTTTGTGCTTTCCAGGCACTGAAGTTATGTTACTTGTGCGATGTTCCTCTCTGTTCCCCTAGACCTCATTGCTCGTTGTTTGGCCATGTGTTCCCATGGCTTATCCTCCAAAAAGCTTTATTCTGCAATCTTCTAACTCTCCTGCAAGAGGCTAGCTCATAATAGGATCTCTGCCAGGCCCTCCAGCAGTAGGTATGGTGTTATTACATGGAGTTACCTTTAAAGGAATTTTTAAAAGCCTTTGGGGCTTTACTGTGGAAGCATAACTTAGTCACAGTATAACCTCATATAGGAAATTCAGTTAGTGTTCAGAGTTAGGAGTCCTAGTATAACATTGCACTCATTGAGATTTAGTCTCTGGAGTCTCTTCTTCCATTGAATTTTTATGTTTTCAGCCCTATTTAACAATGGTCTTCCATAATGCATTGAGGCTCAATCTCAACTGTCCTCCTTTGAGATCTCGCTTGCCATCCCCTCCACACCTTCTTTATTTTCTGAAGATTTAGAATACAAATTTATAGTCTCTCCTATAGCTGAAGTTAGGAGTCACTTGATTCATAGGGTGCCTAGCTCCCTGGACTAAGATAGATGGCAGAATGTGCGTAGAGATACATGATGACACAGTCACAAATCTAATTCTTCATGCAGATAGTCTTTCAAAATTCTTAGCAAATTTTAATTTTTAATATTGTGAGCCTCAGCTGTAGTAATTCAGATTTAATTATCATGTGATCATGCTGGGGTGATTGTTTTTAGTGCAGACATAGGAAATCAAAGTTGGCAGCTGGGCTGCAGCTGTGCCCCAGCTGGTTTTATCTGAGTTGAATTCAGAGGGAGAAGTGGCAGCATGCTCACCAGCTCCAGAAGATAGTCTTCTTTGGTCATACAAAGCAATACCTGCTAGATGCTTTTTGAGCTAGTGCAATTAACACCCAATTAGTGAGACTTCACTATAAAGGTATTAAGAACATAGTCCATGTGTAGTGGACATGTCATCATTGTTTCTTTACAAATTAAATAAACTTGCTACGTAGAAAATTTACTTTATATAATTAGACAGTGTTTTCCCTAAATTACAAAAACATGCTCTTAAATTTGGCTGTCTTAAAGTTCTCTGAACTTGTAAGATTTTGACCTACCATATCTAATTTTTGCCTGAAAATATTTTATAGATGCTGAGTACAATAGCATATTTATGTTTAAAAATACGAAATTGGTTTATTGATTTTTTAAATTAATTCTTACTAGAATTTACATCAGCTACTTCTGGCTTTCCTGCAGGAAAAGAATTCTTGCAGCTTAGATTAATCAATATTGTCCCTATTGTAAAAGACACTATATTGAAAGCTGTAATATAATTTTCACCATGCATAATAACAAAGAGTGTCTAATATCCATAATTATTAAGAATTTTACCCATCGAAGAAAACAACTCATAAGAAAAATAGCTAAGAGTTTTGAACAAGTAGTTCATAGATGAAGAATTATAATTTGCAAATCATAAAGTCACTAATATTTAAAGAAATGCACATTTTAGTATGTTCTACAAGAAGGCTCTTCCTCATGCATTAAACTCTCAATGTAAATGTGATACTTAATGAGGCTGGTGCAAATAAGGAAAGGTTCCCTCATACCAGGCATTCCTACAAATTCTCTTGGGAATGAGTTCTCACAGTACGACTTCTGGTTGAAGGCTTTCCCATATACAACATATTCATATGATCTGTGCAACATGAATTCTCTGCTTTATGATTAGAGCTGATTACTGTGAGAAGGCTTTATGACTTTCAGGAAACAAATAAGTTTTTTTTTCCATATATGAATGCTCTGATGCATACTGAGAACTGATTATCTGGATACCAGGGTGACTGAATGGAGCCCTTATCACAGTCACTGCATTGATAGGCTTTATCTTAAGTATGAGCATGCTGGGTTTCTTCATATTTGACATTTGAAGGCTTCCTCACAGTTAGTTCACATATAGGTTTCTCTCCTGTATGAATTTAGTAACGTAGTTGAAGATGTGATTTCTTAGCAAAAGACTTCTCACAGATGCCGCATTCATGAGGTTTCTCTGAAGTATGAATCTTCTGATGAGTAGGCAACTCTGATTTCTGTCTGAAGGCCCACCAACATTCAGTACAAACAAAGAGTTTCTCTCTAGTATGAATATTTTCTGGGATGAAAGAAGACTTAATCTTTTGGTGAGAGTTTTCCACACTGAATACATATATATGGTTTTTCTCCTGTGTGAACTCAACTGTGCCCTAGGAGTTGTGGTATCAGGCTTGTTTTCTTATTTTATTCTAAATGCTTGTGATCATTGCTAGTGACAGCCTTCTAGTCCTGAGCCACAGCCAACCCTTCAGCCTCACTGAACAATGTGATTGGTACTAGATTATATATATTTTTGTTTTATATTTGAATATATTAAGGTGAAGTTGGATTATTTTCTGTCACATAATTGAAATGGTTCCACATTACATTATTGGAAAATCATTTGTTTTATACTGACCCATTACCTGATATTTTACCATTGAATGGCATTTTTAGTATCTTTGTGTGATTGTCTTTCAATTGAAGTTTTTGAGGGATATATGCAGCATTTTGTCATTAAATTTGTGCAGATACATATGATGGTTTCTCTGTTATATTTTATAATATATAAAACGTGCTAAAATTGTTACAGCAAGAATATTTGTTTTCTTAATCTTGTTACTCTCATTGTGATAAGTTTCTTATTATCAAAAGTGGCCTAAATAGTTATCAACTTATGTTTCATTGTCATGGGTTTAATGTACAAATAGAGATATTATTAATAGTATTTCCCAAGTCTTTAATATTTCATTTTTATTGGATGTGAGATCATCTGCCAGAGATAATTAATTTCATATTATTTGTGTAAGTATTATTTATTGAGTGTTAATACATAGCAGATACTGTGAAGAATATTTTATGTACCATCTCATTTAATCATCTTAGTAATTTTTAGTATGAAACTAGGTTTTCTTAAAAAGTCAGGAAACAACAGGTGCTGGAGAGGATGTGGAGAAATAGGAACACTTTTACACTGTTGGTGGGACTGTAAACTAGTTCAACCATTGTGGAAGTCAGTGTGGCGATTCCTCAGGGATCTAGAACTAGAAATACCATTTGACCCAGCCATCCCATTACTGGGTATATACCCAAATGACTATAACTCATGCTGCTATAAAGACACATGCACACGTATGTTTATTGTGGCATTATTCACAATAGCAAAGACTTGGAACCAACCCAAATGTCCAACAATGATAGACTGGATTAAGAAAATGTGGCACATATACACCATGGAATACTATGCAGCCATAAAAAATGATGAGTTCGTGTCCTTTGTAGGGACATGGATGAAATTGGAAATCATCATTCTCAGTAAACTATCACAAGAACAAAAAACCAAACACGGCATATTCTCACTCATAGGTGGGAATTGAACAATGAGATCACATGGACACAGGAAGGGGAACATCACACTCTGGGGACTGTTGTGGGGTGGGGGGAGGGGGGAGGGATAGCATTGGGAGATATACCTAATGCTAGATGACGAGTTAGTGGGTGCAGCGCACCAGCATGGCACATGTATACATATGTAACTAACCTGCACAATGTGCACATGTACCCTAAAACTTAAAGTATAAAAAAAAAAAAAAAAAAAGACACCACCATTCAGAACACAAAAAGCTACAGAAGGTCCAGGCTACTGAAAAGCATCAAGACCAAGCTGTTGTAAGTCAAACTGCTTTTATGATTGCATTCTTTGATGAAGACAATCCCAGAAAAAGAAGGTCATATTCTTTAACTCAAAGTGCGGGAATCTTGTGTCAGGGAACTACATATTCAACACCACATACAAAACTTGAGAAAGCAAAGTCTTCAACAGCAGATGCCAAAGTGGTTTCTTTGTCTTTACAGACTAGCTCTGTGCATCACAGAGTGGGGCATGGTGTTCCACATGGGAAACTGTTAAAACAGAAATCAGAGGAGCCATCGGTGTCAATACCCTTCCTACAAACTGCATTATTAAGAGGTTCAGGGAGTCTTGGGCACAGACCAAGCCAGGAGATGGATAAAATGTTAAAAAATCAAGCAACTTCTGCTACTTCTGAAAAGGATAATGATGATGACCAAAGTGACAAGGGTACTTATACCATTGAGTTAGAGAATCCCAACAGTGAGGAAGTGGAAGCAAGAAAAATGATTCACAAGGTAAATAATTGAAATTTGAGTGTGATCTTAGTTGTTGTGTGGTGTATTTGACTGGTGGAAATTATTGGAGAGTCAGCATGAGATGTTGTCATGCAGTCAGTGGTATGTGAATTTTAGGGTTTTATTAGGGAACTGCAAGACTAACAGTAAGACCAACATGCTTTGTGATTTTATTTGCTGATATTCTGAATTTACCTGAGTTTCATACATAAAGCTCTGTACATTTAAAAGGTTAAAAAAAAAAAAAAAAAGAAACTAGGTTTTCAAGTTGGTAATGGTTTCAGACTGTCTATGTAAAGCATAAGTAGCATGATTTGAAGTGATTCATTCAAAAAATGTATAAAATCAGAGTAATAGAAGCTAAATTACTCAAATCTTGCTCAGATATAAAATTTTTTTTCAGCTTTCATAGGAATCTGCCCTTCGATTAGTGAGAAAATACGGTCTTCTGTTGAAGCAGAGAATTTGACAGTCATGACATTATATTGTGAACCTTTAAGTTTTACTGCTTTATTTTCTGTAAATTACTACATTTCTATAGTAATTTCGCAGTGTAAATGCTGAATGAATGTGATTAGCTATATTTGCAGGCTTAGAGCATCTGTGAATACTTCCTGGTTTTTGGTTAGTTGTGTTTATTCCTAGTTCTATGTCCTATTGAATTGGACTTTGCTTATTTAAAGAAAAGTCTATAAAGCTACAGGCAAGAAAAGTTGGAATTTCTTCCTTGGGGAAATCTCAAATGTAGAGTTTTAAGTAAATATTAAGGTTCAAAATGGGCAATATAATGAGCACATTTGAGGAATTTGTAAGTATTTATGTAACACTTCATGTTTACAAAATGTTTTACAGCCATATTCATTAATTTACATAAGTCCCTTGGAAGGTAACAATGTTATTACATGTGTTTTATTAAGCAAGACAGGTAAAATTTAGGCAAATTAAGTGGCAGAAAGGAAGAGACATTAAAACATTTATTCTGTGACTTGCGCCTATATCATAGAGCGTGCTCCTGCATTAGGGAAATAAAGAAATAAAATGCTTCTCTTTTGTTATAGACTTGATCATGGTGCCTATTTGGGTAATTGTTTATATATATTCATATAGTTTTATATATTTTTTATTTTTTGATTATGAGACACAAAGGCCTTCCAACACAAATTTCAATGTATGAAATATCTCAACTTAATAGCTGAAGGATAAGATCCTGGGTTATAAATTCTCCATTAAATGTTGCAGTTATCATGATCAACAGATTGGTGAATATGTCTGGTGGCTGCTCAGTATTGGTCTAGATAGAATATACTATGGGACCAAAAAAGATATGACCGTGGAGAGCTCACTTTGGTGGCCACACACTGCCTGCAGGCTGCTTGTTCTCTGCCACTCTGTTTTTTGGGAGGACTTTCCTTTCCCTCTCATAGAATAGCAAATTTCTGCTAAAAAGTAATAAATTTGCTCAAAATATCAAAAAGGTACGATTAGAATATCTTCCATAGTAAAAGAGATTAAAAATAACCTAGACTCTTGCATTAGAAAGCAGAGGGAGACATGACAAATTATTGCATTCAATTAACTTTTCTTTTACTTACTGAGTGCCCAGAAATTGCTTTAACACCCTGAGGTGTGACCATAAGGTAATGAGGAGTGATTTTTAAAAATAAATATACCATAAGGTACACTGTTTAAATGAGTGCTATTCTTCAATGTAGCCACTCTTTACACTAATCCAACGATGCTGTCATTGCAAGAAATATTTTTAGAACTTGTCCTTTCGAATTGCCGTTAGAAGCCATTTATGGACTATAGAAGAAAACAGTCTCACATTGACTTAAAGTCGCACTACATTTTTTAAATCAACCCCTCCCCTGCAAAGAAATTTATTACCCAAATAGATTACTGACCTTTTCACTAACCTTTGTTCTGCATTTTTTTCTTTTCAAAATCAGTTCTATAATTTAAAAAATAACAATTTGCCATCAACAAGGATATTTATTTCCTTTTTATTTTGAAAAGAGTTATTAAAAAATCTATATCAGAAAACAGTAGACAAAATAGTAGTTTCCATATATCCTTCACCCAGTTCCCTCTAATGTTAACATCTAATATAAGTATAGTACAGTTACCAAAATCAGGAAATTAACACCAATAAAATACTATTTGGTAATCAGTAGACATCATTTAAATTTCTCCAATTTTCCCCACTAATATCCTTTTTCTGCTTCAGGATCTAATCCAGCATCCCACATTGCATTTAGTTGTCATGACTCCTTATGCTGTTCCAACCTGTGACAGTTCTAATGAGGACATTTAAAGGAAGTGTGCCCCTCGCCCACCAAAAGGAAGAAAGAGCCATAGACTCTGAATGTAATTCCAAAAATATCTTTGTCTCTGTAGCTGTCTTGTCAACTATGTCTTTTATTTATTGGATTTTTTGTAACCTGTGTACCAAATTTATGCAGATTGCAGCAATAAGAAGAAGGGTAAGATGTGCTTGGGCACAAAGGAGTTGTGAGGACAACACATCTGTCCATAGCCATTGTGCAGGTGTATTTTGAGCTCTGCGGATTTTTTTATAATGCTTTCACATTTGGTTCAAAATATTTTAAAATCTTCATTATGATTTCTCATTTGATTTGATCCTCATTTATAATAGCTCGTGTGTGTGTTGTGTGCATGTGTATGTGTGTGCACATGTGTGTGTGTGTGTTCATTCATTTCAGGAACTTTATCTGTTAAAATTCTTTGAGGCCAGTGTTTAAAGTATGTTCTTCAAGGGAAGATTCCTATTTGCTCCCATCAGATGCTTGTGAACACTTCAAATGCAGGGGAACCGCCAAACAAGTTCTTTTTTTTTTTATTGAGACAAAGTCTCACTCTGTCACCCAGGCTGGAGTGCAGTTGTGCGATCATGGCTCACTGCAGCCTCGACCTCCCTGGCCTCAGGTAATGCTCCCACCTCAGTCTCCCCACGTACAGGCACGTGCCACTCACTAATTTTTCTAATTTTTTTTTGTAGAGACAGGGTGTCACCATGTTGTCCATGTAGCTGAGACTATAGGCACGTGCCACCGTACTCAACTAATTTTTCCGATTTTTTTGTAGAGACAGGGTCTCACCATGTTGTCCAGGCTGCAGTTCTTGATGTTAATTTCTTTTTTTTTTTTTACAACTATTTTATCATTTATTTATTTTTTATTTTATTTTATTTTATTATTATTATACTTTAAGTTTTAGGGTACATGTGCACAATGTGCAGGTTAGTTACATATGTATACATGTGCCATGCTGGTGTGCTGCACCCATTAACTCGTCATTTAGCATTAGGTATATCTCCTAAAGCTATCCCACCCCCCTCCCCCCACCCCACAACAGTCCCCAGAGTGTGACGTTCCCCTTCATGTGTCCATGTGGTCTCATTGTTCAATTCCCACCTATGAGTGAGAATATGCGGTGTTTGGTTTTTTGTTCTTGCGATTGTTTACTGAGAATGATGATTTCCAATTTCATCCATGTCCCTACAAAGGACACGAACTCATCATTTTTTATGGCTGCATAGTATTCCATGGTGTATATGTGCCACATTTTCTTAATCCAGTCTATCATTGTTGGACATTTGGGTTGGTCCCAAGTCTTTGCTATTGTGAATATTGCCGCAATAAACATACGTGTGCATGTGTCTTTATAGCAGCATGATTTATAGTCCTTTGGGTATATACCCAGTAATGGGATGGCTGGGTCAAATGGTATTTCTAGTTCTAGATCCCTGAGGAATCGCCACACTGACTTCCACAATGGTTGAACTAGTTTACAGTCCCACCAACAGTGTAAAAGTGTTCCTATTTCTCCACATCCTCTCCAGCACCTGTTGTTTCCTGACTTTTTAATGATTGTCATTCTAACTGGTGTGAGCTGGTATCTCATTGTGGTTTTGATTTGCATTTCTCTGATGGCCAGTGATGGTGAGCGTTTTTTCATGTGTTTTTTGGCTGCATAAATGTCTTCTTTTGAGAAGTGTCTGTTCATGTCCTTCACCCACTTTTTGATGGGGTTGTTTGTTTTTTTCTTGTAAATTTGTTTGAGTTCATTGTAGATTCTGGATATTAGCCCTTTGTCAGATGAGTAGGTTGTGAAAATTTTCTCCTATTTTGTAGGTTGCCTGTTCACTCTGATGGTAGTTTCTTTTGCTGTGCAGAAGCTCTTTAGTTTAATTAGATCCCATTTGTCAATTTTGGCTTTTGTTGCCTTGATGTTAATTTCTAAGCTGCAGGTTTTTAGGCCATATAAGTGGTTTAAGTTTCTAGCCCTAAATCACATTAGGCAGGTTTTAGATAGAAATTCTCATTAGGGCAGAGATCTTTGTTACCCAGTGCCTGGAAAGGTGCCTAACAAAAACTGGCCCTCAATACATATTCATTGAATGAAAAAATGAATGAATGGGGAAGACCCTTGTCCCCTGCCTTTTTTTTCCTGATATATTCAGAACCACATCTGAGAAGGACAGGTCTTCTGCTTCAAGGTGGGTTTTTTTTTCTTAGTTTGCCAACTGAGGGTGTCACCCTTTGGGAGCCTGGAAGTCTCAACTTTAAGTAAGGGTCCTCATTTAATCTCTTGTCCTGCTTGGGCCCGGGCTCTGTCTGCTATCCTCCCAACTCTCTTGCCATGTGCCCATTTAGAACCCAGGCTCTAGTTCATTAAGGATTGGCAACTGCTCTCAGGAAAGAATCCTCCCAAGTTTTTTTCCTTCTGAGAAATGTTATTTTTTTCAGTTGTTTCTGGCTTACATTTATTTCTGTTACTCTCTGGCTGAACCATGCTTAAAAAGACATATTTTATATTTTAGGTGTGATGTACTAGTCTTCTGTCATATTGCTAGGAGTGTGATTCTCTGTAACAATTTCTTTAGAGAAGGTATAATGTAAAGTAAAAATTAATATGGAGGAATGGGTTATAGGGAAGTTAGTGTCCCTGAGATCATGAAATTATCTCTTTACGCACTGGAAGTTATTTTTTTCTCTCGTGTTTCAAGTTAGAACTTTTTATTATGTCATAGATTAATCACACTGCTGTCACTTATTGAGTGACTCTTGTGCATCAGGCATTTTACATATATTATTTCTAATCATCATAAAAGCTTTGCAACCAGACTTAGCAGCTTTATTGCAAAAGTGAAGAACCTGAAAGCCAGAGCATTTATGAAACTTTTCCAATTATTCCAGGCAGTGAGAAATTGTAGTAGACATGTTTTATGGCACCTGCTTGCCATGCTTCTAAGAGGCGTTATTCCTCCTTGTTGAGGAGTAACAGCCCTGGTTTGTACCATATGACCCCATCCCCATCTTCTAGTCAAGTGATCTAAGGATCCACAATCCTTAGCTTGGTAAGTGCCCTCTTGCTAACCTAAAAACGAAAAAGTCAACAGCTTGCTTTATAGGGAATTCCAGAAGCATTTCCATAAACTTATTAAGCCAATGATCACCCTTATTCCTACTATCATTTAGTATTGTTATAGTAGCACTAGACAAAGGAGTCTTACAAGAAAAAGAAATTAGAAATAAAAAAAACTAGAAAGGAGGCATATTAACTATACCTTCTAAGTAATATGATTGTATATTTGGAAAAACCAAGTGATTCAACTAAAAAATTTACAAAAATAAAAGAATTCATAATGACAGATTCTGAGAAAGAAGAACATTGCGGTGGGACTAGACCAATTTTTGTAAAATGTATTAAGCTACAATAACTTAAAGACTGTGGTGCTGGTATAGATAGTTAAATGGAAAAAAATGGGACATCCAAAAATAAATGTGGAAGGAGTATAAGATATATATACATATCTTATATATATATATTTCACATAAGATAATGTTGGCATTGCATATCACAATAAACACTGGAGCATTCAATAAATCTTACCATTAGGCAAAGAAATGGAGTTGAATTTATATCTTAAGCCTTATCCAAAAATAAATCCTTGGGGGCAACAATGATTTAAATGTGAAAAATAAAATCAAAAAAGTATTGGAAGAATATCTAAGGTTATTTAAGATAATTTCTACATTAGAAAGTCTTTTCAAGTATAATATAAAGCACAGAAGCCATAAGATAACTAACTTTAAATACTAAAAAACAAAGTTTATGCATAACAAGAAAATCCATTGTAAGCAAAGTCAAATGACAAATGAAAATCTGGAGAAGATATTTCACATGTATCACAAACCAAGACTATTTTCCCTATTGAATAGAGAGCATCTACAAATAAACAAGAAAGCAATGACCAGCGATGGGTAAAGGATAAGGACAGATCACAGAAAAGTAAGCACAAGTGCTTTTAAAATTTAAGAAAAAGATATCAGACTTCCCTCCTGATGAAAATTAAATGGAAAACATGATATATCATATTATTGAAGATAAAGAAGCTTGATCAAAACTGGCTATAAAGGGTTTGAGAAAGCAGTTGGTTTTATACTTTTTGGTGGAATGATAAATTGTTAGATACAACTTCTGTGAAGGCCAATCTATAAAAAAAACTTAAATGCATGTATCCTTTGACTAAGCAATTCCACTTAAGGAATTTTCCTACATTTGTGTTTTTCATTTGAGCAAAATGACTGACATAAGTATAGTTATTGCATCAATACTTATAATAGCAGAGGACTGGAAACAACTTAATTGTCATCAATAGGAGACTGAATCAGTATATTATGGTACTCCATGGAATATACTGTGCAACTTGTTAAAAGAATGAAGAAGTTCTGCAGTGGTAATGGAACAAAATCCAAGATGCATTATTAAATAAAGCAAAATGAGAACAGTATGTCTAACATGCTCTCCTTTGTATAAAACAAACACACACACACACACACACAGACACACACACACAAATGCATAGCTTATCTTTGTTGTAAGGTTGTTTCCAGGGGGGGGTTTTGCTGTGTGAGAAACAGGAAAAAGAGACTTTCTTTTCAGTGCAAATCCTTTTATGTTTTATCATTTTCAGGCTTTGCCTGTTCCATAAAAATAAAATTAACCATATAAATGTCAGGAATGATCTTTTCTTTTCTTTTTTTCTTTCTTTCTTTTTTTTTTTTTTTTTTTGAGACAGAGCTGTCTCCTCCAGACTGGAGTGCAGTGGCATGATCATGGCTTACTCCAGCCTCAACCTCTCAGGCTCACATGATCCTCCCACCTCAGCCTCCTGAGTAGCTGGGATCATAGGCGTGTACCACCATATCTGACTAATTTTCTTCTTGATTTTTAGTACAGTCAGTATCTTATTATGTTGCCCAGGCTGGTCTTGAATTCCTGGGCTCAAGCAGTCTTCCCACCTTGGCCTCCCAAAGTGTTGAGATCGCAGGCATGAGCTACCATACCTGGACAGGAACTTAGTCTTTTAAAAAGTTAGATGATATCAGCTGGGCACGGTGGCTCACACCTGTAATCCCAGCACTTTGGGAGGCCGAGATGGGTGGATCACTTGAGGTCAGGAGATCAAGAGCAGTCTGGCCAACGTGGTGAAACCCCATCTCTACTAAAAATACAAAAATTAGCTCGGCATGGTGGCGCACACCTGTAGTCCCAGCTACTCGGGAGGCTGAGGTGGGAGAATTGCTTCAACCCGGGAGGTGGAGGTTGCAGTGAGCCGAGATTGCGCCACTGCACTCCAGTCTGGGCAACAGAGTGAGACTCCGTCTCAAAAAAACAAAACCAACCAACCAAACAAACAAAAAACTGTTGGTTGCATTTCAAAAATCTAACTGAAAAGACTTTGTGCACAAGCAACTGCATGGAATTTCATTTATCCATCTTGGATAAAAAGCCTAGTTGGTCCTGCTATGATTTGACTCTGTGTTTCTTCAGGCTCTAAGTATTCCAAAATGATGCATTAGCTCCCTGGACTCTCTGTGCATCAGAGACCTAGGATGTGCTATTTAAATCATCTGGCAAATTGATGTGTGGGGGAATGGAACTCTTTCCCCCATTTTTTAAAAAAAATTAAATTTTGTAATGGTGGCACATTGTATAATAAGCACATATGAAGATTGGAGCTATCATTTTGGAAATGACCTTAAATAGAAGGAGGAAATGATAGACTCATAGTACCATCCAACAGTGTGGGTTCAGCCTATTTTCCATTCCTACCACAGAGCTGCTGGGTGACTCTGAGTAAGCAGTTTCATCCAATTTTACTGTAAGCCTTTGCATTCCTAATAGAGGCACAATAGTATTGGTACCTGTCTTATTCAGAGAGTGGCAGATTAAGAAGACTTTGGGTGATTTCTAACTTCTAGCAGCCGTACACACGAAAAAGTCTGTACAATATAGTGTGTTTTTGTACTCAGATATTTCATGTGATGGCTCTATTTTTTGAAGCCATAGAATAATTCTTCCTTAAGTAAAACAGCAAACTAGCTCCTTGATGTCACTGAGTTTGTGAATTATTTTCGTTCATTTTGATTAGTACATAGGCCTCACAAGCTATTAAGGAGAAAAAAGAAGACAGGTTTTCTTATTCTTATTTTAATGATGAGATATATACAGTTGAAAGGAATTATGTAAGGCCGGGTGTGGTGGCTCACACCTGTAATCTCAGCACTTTGGGAGGCCAAGGGGGGCGGATCATGAGGTCAGGAGTTTGAGACCAGCCTGGCCAACATGGTGAAACCCCATCTCTACTAAAAATACAAAGATTAGCTGGGCATGGCGGGCACCTGTAATTCCAGCTACTTGGGAGGCTGAGGCAGGAGAATCACTTGAACCCGGGAGGTGGAGGTTATAGTGAGCCGAGATTGTGCCATTGCACTCCAGCCTGGGTGACAGAGCAAGACTCTGACTCAAAAAAAAAAAAAAATTATATAGCTTTCTCAAGCTCTCATGAGAAACAGGTGACGAAGTGAAATTTTCCTGCATAATGTCACATTGGATGAGAAATGTATCCTTATTTAAAATGTTACATCAGGGAGTCATATGCTTTATGGTGCACTCATGCCAGCAGTAACATTGTTGAGCTCCATATGAGACACACAGCAAAGTGGTTTAAAAATTGCATAGGGCTGTAGCATTCATTTACACAACATTCAAAACAAAACAATTACTGAATCAAGCAAGTGGAAATGCAGAATCTAAGGGGGTGAAAAAAGATTGTCTTGTGTTTACTTCTTTTTTAATTCTCTCATTGTCTTCAGTTGATATTCCTCTCAGATGCCAGATACCTGTCATTGTTGCCAGATGACTGGACTCTGCTGGCTCATCAAGGGGCTGTGGCAGTGCTTGTTTCCATGAGAGCTGGAAGAAAAACTGCAATGGAAAAGCACACGCAGTCGTTCATAAGTAGCTGGCTGTGTAATTCTCAGTGCCCTGTGTTCATCTGAATGTGAACTTAATCTGATATTGCTTAGAACTGGGGCTTCATCAATGCAAATGACTGTGCTTGCAAGCTGAACTTCAATATTTGTGAGCAGTGGCAGAGCACTTTGGTTAATGTGTACATATTCAGGTTTGTAGAAAAAAAATCTGTGCAATTTGACTGTGGTCAGTTTAGTTGCCAGGAGAATTGGATATTCCTGGGAAAAGAAAAAAAGTGTCTCACTTCTGGAGCCATTGTAACCATGTAGGTATTTAAGAGGTTTTTGTTTTGTTTTGTTTTGTTTTTTCAAAGATAAATCCCTTTTTGGATGATTAGTCAGTTGATCTTAAATATCATGTAATTGGCCATGAAAATTGATGGAAGGCTCTGTTCTTAGAACTGTAGCTCCATTGAAACTCATTCTCATGGTGTCATTTAGAAAGCACCAACGTCCCATAGGATCACATGAAAACAGAGTCTAAAGGAGTTATCAAAATGATACTTAAGAAGTTGAAGTAAGTCATCCCATATCTGATCTTCATGATGACTATCAACACTTATGTTAGATGGGCACTCTCATTAATCCTGGTGTTTTCCCATGATTTCTCTGGTGCTAGATCTGATATGAATAACTTGGTTGCAATAATTATAATAGAAGGGAGATTGAATTATATACATCTTTGTTTTATAGCTATACCTTTTTTTGTGCTAATAATTTTTTACTGTAGTAACAACAAAAATCATTCTTTTATCAGCTTTTAAATATTCGTATTCATAATAGCACTTCCCTTAGTTTATGTAGCCTTGTTTCCTGAGCATGTTTGCTGCCTTGATTCTATTGTTGTGCATGCTCTTGTTCTGGGGGAGCCATTTAGGTTTTGTGTATGCCAAAAAAAAGTCTCATACTCAGCAGTTACAAAATTACTTTCCTTCTTTATGGATTACTTTATATTCAAGTCCTCCAGTCCTAAGTCGTTGTCAGCAAAGATTGGAAGCAGCAGTCAGAAGTGTTCTACTCCTTTGAATAACTGCATAAAACTATAGCCCCTCACCAAAGAAAATGGGTTTTCATGTATGACACGTTGATCAGCATGAGATTGCTGCTGAGCTGGAGAAGAGACTGTGCAGTGACTTACTTGACAGCAGAGGTGCTTTTTACTTCCTTAGTACTCAAACTGCAGCATCTGTTCCATACCAGAAGTGAGCAGCTTGTTTTCCAATCAAAATGGATTCTTCTGCAATTGTACCTTTTTTGGAAATTAGGTACACTTTCTAACATATATGTTTTGAGGCCCTTGAGTATTTGAAACATTTCCTAGTCTACTTTCCCAGACTTAAAAGATATCATGTGTGAAATATGTGGAATGAGAATCTCAAGGTGTTTGGGTGGATTCGTTCTACGGAGAATATATTTGCTTATTGCAGTTTCTCAATAAAGACTTTAAAGTAGCTGAGGGAAAATCTAAAAGCACCTCTTCAGAACTGAAATAATTTATGTCTGCTGGTATACATAGAACCTTCCAGAGTATAAGCTAATGAGCCACCTCAGATACCACCTCCTTTGTGAAACCTTCTCCAGCACCCTTAAAAGAAAGTAGTTATCCTCTGCTCTGCTTTTCCAAAGCACTTTGACCCTCTGTAAAAGGGCTTATCTCATATATGTGCCTCAAATTATATTTTTTCATCTCTCTCCCTATTTATCATGGAAATCAGAAAGGAGATTTTGTCTTATTTATTTTTGTATTTCCCAAACTACTCCACCCAGACCATTGAATGTAGCTATAGATCAGGCAACAACCCCAACCCACCTGGTTTCCTCCTGAGTGGTCTGTTCACTCCCTGTGCTCTGCTAGGATTATATGCTCTTAAAAGCACTATTCACATACTGTTTCAACGATTTGTTTATATAGCTGTCTCTTCTATTAGACTGCAAATTCCATGGGGATAGGACTAAGTCCTCCATCTGTATTAACCCAGGGCCTAGCATAATGCTGCAACACAGAGTACTCATTAATTTGTATTGAATGAATGTTGGATTTATTCAGTGAATGGTGGCCTTGAGTATATGAATGGGAAATATAGGGGCTCATATTCCAGTTAGCGGTACTGTATAGTGATAATTCATAAATAACAATTGTACATTGTAACACACACACACACACACACACACACACACACACACACACACACACACACATACACACAGTAATGCTTTTTGTCCCTGGAAAACCACAAGTAACAATGAAGTATTCTGCTTTATTATGTTGATATCATCATGATAGGAAGGATATGTTGCTTATTCACTCTTACTTTAAAACCCAGAGATGGTATTCTGTCATTTCTTAGAAGGTTAAGTAGAATTGATCTGTTATCAGATAGAATTAAATTTTAGAGTTTTCATTGTATCTCATGATGGAATTGCCTGTTAGTTTGTGTCCCCTAGGAATGTAAGTTCCCTGTGAGTAGGTGCTATACCTTCTATGCTGAGGTTCCTAGCATAGGGCTTGGAGAGCATGGTAGATGATCAACAAATATCTATTGAATGGAACATAAAAATGAATGTATGATACAATTAGAAAAACCCATAAAAATTCGTTAGCTTTAAAGTGAAAATTCTTTTTACCGCTTGGGAAGTATCACTGGGACCAAATGGCTTTTAAGAGAAATGTAGAAACCTTCTGAACATGGCAGTATTTAGAAGCTGGAATATGAGTTTGGTTTTGATTGTTCCAAGTTCTTCCTTTGGAAGATCAAACTTCATTCCTTTAGAAGCTTAATCCTTTTTGTGTCTCTATCTTTAGCTTAGATTCTCACCCAGAGAAATAGACCTTCAATAAAGTTAATGTGAAGAGAAGTCAATTAGATCGCAAGAGGAGTTTCTTTGCAATCAAATTACCTGGAATTTTCAGGTCAAACCTGACAGAGTGTAGGTTTCATTAAAAAGGGGCTTATAGGCCAGGCACCAGTGGCTCACTCGTATAATCCCAGCACTTAGGCCAAGGTGGATGGATCACTTGAGGTCAGGAGTTCGAGACTAGCCTGGCCAACATGGTGAAACCCCATCTCTACCAGAAAATACAAAAAATAGCTGGGTGTGGTGTTACACGCCTGTAGCCCCAGCTACACGGGAGGCTGAGGTGGGAGAACCACTTGAACCCGGGAGGCAGAGGTTGCAGTGAGCCCAAATCATGCTGCTGCACTTCAGCCTAGGTGACAGAGTGAGACCCTGTCTCAAAAAAAACGTGAGTGGGGGGGCTTGTAGATACTGCTCTGTATCTCTGCTCTCAAATGATATGAACTTGGTAACAGATACACAGCTCTTACTAAGTTAGCATTCATAATTTTAATTTAAACTCTCAAGCTAGTTTTGGTAGCTCTCTATTTTAAAAGAGTTAACATGTAGTTTTTCATTGAAATTAATTTTTCTTTACTCTGAAAGGTAATTTCCTAGAGATGAGAAGGTATCTAGCCTTTTTCTCTTCTTAGGAGACACAAACTAAGCCAGTTGCAGTATCATTTACTACTTTGTATCTTGCTCTTTTTTGTCATCAAGGGCACTGGTCTTGCTTCTGGAAGAATTCACTGTGAATGAGAAAGCCACAGAAGGATTTAGCTGTAGGAGATCCTTTGCTTAGAGGCTTTTATTTTATAGATGAGGAGATCGGCTCTGAGATGTTAACTTATTTGTTTAAGGTTACACAGCAAGTCCATAGTAGAGCCTAAACTAGAACCTAGGTCTCTTGGCTGCTTGTTCAAGCCTCTTTCTACTATACCTTACGAGTTTTCTTTGTATACTGAGGTAGGATGCTCACTTCCAGGCAAACACTGATTGCTGAAACTGAGAAACTGAGAACTCTATGAGTTTAGAGTTTGGGGTGACAACACAGCTAAAACTTAAAGACTTACACATGTCACATTATTCTTTAACTAGAGAATAATTTAGTTTAACATCAATTTGGTAGTTTAACTACAACTGCTACATTGTACCTAGTGTCTGGTTCAGTGTAGATACCACAGGGCAACAGCAGTGAGGTGCCTGTCACTTAAAAGGGGAAATTAGATTTTCCCCTAAACTAGAAATCGATAAGCACAGGGTCACAGTGGAAATTTACACAATTTTCTTAAATACTATGATCTTGAAAGAATAAAAGACTTGACTGCAAAACTAAATAGCAGATATTAGTCAGAAAAGATGTTGGTCATCTATAGAAGCATGGACAAGATCAAATCGCAAGGTAAAGGTTGCCTGTGCCTACAAGCAGAGTGTACTCCAGTGGTTCTCAAACTTTAGTATATACTTTAGAATTAACTGGAGGCCTTGTTAAAGTACCAATTCCTAGGCCCTATCCCCAGATGCTTATGGCCCAAGAATTTGCATTTCTAACAGGTTCCTAGATGATAGTGATGCTGGTTGGGGAACAACATTTTGAGGATCATTGGTCTATAGGTGTGTTAGTTTTCTACTGCGGTGTAACCACAAACTTAACAGCTTAAAACAACAGCCATTTATTAGCTCACATTTCTGTAGATAGAAATCCAGGACAGTATGGCTGAGTTTTCTATTCAGGCTGAAATGAAATCAAGGTATTGGTTGGCAGTGTTCTTACCTGGAGCTCATAGTCCTCTTCCAAGATCATTCCTTTTATTGGCAGATTTCATTCCTCTGCAGCTTTAGAACTGAAGTCTTGTTTTCTTGGTATCAGCCAGGGACTGCTCTCAACTCCTAGAGGTTGTTCTCTGGTCCATAGAGGGTGCCTTCAGAGGAGAAAATACAGTAGTGTGGCTGACTCAAGTGTTCCTGGTCTATGTAGCAATTGATTTTCTCTGAGGAGATTAATAAATCAACATTCTTATTATATACATCAGCCTCTGTGAATCTGCTTAATGTGGGTCTCCTCTTGCTGTGTTTAAAGATTGGGTTTTGAAACTGATTAGCTGAGATTTAGATCCTGGAATGAAGATAAATTCACCAAGATGAAAACCAATGTTGGGGAACAAACTGGGCAGCCAGCCCTCCCTTTTAGGAATCATCTCTCTATTGCTTTACAACTGTATTTGTTCTTCAAAATTCTCATTGTATAGCATATCTTGGATTAAAGCCATGGTTAAAATTAAAGATCTCAGAAATTCAAACAAAATGTCTAATAATTTTTCTTTAGCCAATCTCCTCTCTTTTTTTGTAGAAATTGATTCTTTTACTGAAGCCTTGAGATCTCTGAGCATTATAAACTTTCTGAACTAAAGTAAGAATCCTGAAAATAAAATTTCAAAGGTGAAATGGTGGCAACTTCACTTCCTATGGGAATTCCTGTAAATATCAGAGAAAAGTGCTTGGCAGTCACAGATTGTTGAGAGTTATCAAGTAAGCCTCCATAATCTACTGGTTCTTAATGCCTGATCTATATGGCTGACTTTGTGTGTGTGGGTGTGTGTTTGTGTGTGTGTGTGTGTCTTTTATTTACCAAATTTTGTTTTTTCATCCCTTAGGAAAAGTCAGGCTCTATTTGTTTGAGTATCAGTGGCTCAGAGGTTCTTTTATACAAATGTATTTAGCTAATTATGTGACTCAAATATCCAAATTTAGAATTATTAAATTCCTTTAGAGCAGATTGATAAACAGGATTATTGTTATTTTATTCCCTTGTCACATTGTTAGAGAATAAAACTCAATCTGTATTTCTAAAGTCAGTGACAACCATATCATTACATTGGCAAATTTTGTAGACTTAACTGAAACCACATCAAGCCTAAAAGGCTGCAATGTCACTTAGAATTTTAAAAGTAAACTGTATACTATACAGCTGAAAATATTTAATTTTATAGAAGTTAATATAAAATGACTTAAGATTTTAGTTGTCTATAAAATCAAAATCTGCCTCAGTGTCATGTGCTTGTGATGTGGGCTTTGGAGCTGCATTAACAAAAGTACATGTCAAGATCAAAGATGGACATATTCGCTGGGTGCGGTGGCTCACGCCCGTAATCCCTGCACTTTGGGAGGCCAAGGCAGGCTGATCACCTGAGGTCAGGAGTTCGAGACCAGCCTGACCAACATGGTGAAACCCTGCCTCCACTAAAAATACAAAAATTAGCCAGGCGTGGTGTCATGCGTCTATAATCCCAGCCACTTGGGAGGCTGAGGCAGGAAAATCGCTTGAACCCAGTGGGCGGAGGTTGCAGTGAGCCGAGATCATGCCACTTCACTCCAGCCTAGGTGACAAAGCGAAACTCTATCTCAAAAAAATAAAAAAATAAAAAGATCGACATATTCTTCCTATCGCTCTCTGTTCTGGTCAGACCACCTTTTGTTTGACTGCCATGTGTTCACAAAGATTTTTGATAAATGTTCATTTAGGAGGGAACCAATCAGATTATAGATTGGAAATCAAGTCACCTGAAGTACAGTTCAACAAGCTGAGATTACTTAGCCTAAAAAAGAGAAAACTTTGGGGATATGTTTAAGATAGACTTGTTTAATTATATAAACTAACCAGTTAATAGCATTTCTTATTGGAAGGATATTAAAGAGTTTACAGAGTCAAAGAGAAGAAGGAAGAATCAGGCTCAGAAAGGACAGGGAAAGAACAGCTTAAGAGGGCTCAGTAAACCTGGCAGTCACATTCTTCTGGGCTTCACTGCCAAAGTTATCACACTCCAGCAACTTTCAGTGTTTTTGTTAAGATTCAAAACTAGGGGATCTGGCTTGGGTCATATGTTCACTTTTTGGCTAAAGAATGGCAGGGAATCTTGACTCATAATCCCATTAGGCTGCATTCAGTGGGGTAGAGGTAATTTTCCTCAAAGATTTGGGGTGCTATTATCAAAATAGTAAGGAAATATATGCTGTACAGACAAAAAGTAATGAATATCCACAAAGGTTATGTGATCATAATCTTTGAATATTGGAAAGAGGAAGATGAGCCTTGGTAAGGATGTAAGGCAATAGTTGGAATATCCATGGAGGCATATGTGTTTCAACATCAGGAAGAACATTCTAACAATTAGAGCTCTTAACAGGCTGTATTGTGAGTTATGGACTTCTTATTCATAGTAGGATATTCTTTTCATTGCATGTGGTGGAAACGTGACTTGAACTAGCTTGGTAAAAAGAGGAAATTAGTGGAAAGATATTAGGAATGTCTCATGTGAACAAAGAAAGGATTGAACAGCCAAACTGTGGAGAGGGCAGGCATCCCACTGGGCCCCAGAAACTGCTAGAACCAGAGACTCAAATGCAGCTTTCCTTATTTCTCTTTCTTTCATCTCTGCTTCTCTCAGAGTATTAGCTCATTTTCCCTCTGCAGACTTACTCTCTCATGCACATTATGTGAAACATGATTGCTAAGCATGCCTGGGTTATACATCTCCCAACAATCAAGAGAAACTCTCTCTAGCACATTTAGTGAGAAAAACCTTGGAAAAATTCTCTGGTCCAGGTTGGGCCAAGTGCCCAATTCTGAACAAATCAACCAAGGCCAAGGGGCAGGACCCCTAGTTTGGTTCCAGTGCCTTCTCTGGACTGATCTCGGGATGGAAAAAATTGGCTCTTAGGAGAACTATAATTGAGAAAAGCAGTTCACAGAAAAAAGAGGGATGCTTTTTCCAGAAAAGAATGTGGGGGGCAGGCAATATAGTAATTGCATGTATTCAAAGGTTAGCTCAATCAGAAATATTAGAGAAATGAATCTTATGTTGGTGGGAATTTGAACTGGAAGAACTTGAAGTTCTTTCCAACTCAGAGATGATGTGATTCTAGCTGTTTTTCAGGTAAGGCAGGCACATATTGGTTTATACTAGGAATTTTCTTTTTCCACGTATTTCTACTCAAGGATTACTCTGTTTGGAAACTGAGGAATATTTATTCAGCTGTTTTTGAATTTGAGGATAGAGGAAAATGTTTTATTTTCTAAAAATGAATGTCTGGTAGAAGAGAAGTCATGTATGCTTTTTAAAAAATGGAACCTGTGGCTTTAAAGTCACATTACCTTCAAAGACAGTACTCTTAAATCTGAATGATTTTTTTTTCTTTTTGAGACGAAGTCTCACTGTGTTGCCCAGGCTGGAGTGCAGTGGCGTGATCTTGGCTTACTGCAACCTCCACTTCCCGGGTTCAAGCGATTCTCCTGCCTCGGCCTCCTGAGTAGCTGGGACTACAGGCGCACACCACCACGCCTGGCTAATTTTTGTATTTTTTTAGTAGAGACGGAGTTTCACCATATTGGCCAGGCTGGTCTCGAACTCCTGACCTCGTGATCCTCCCGCCTTAGCCTCCCAAAGTGCTGGGATTACAGGCATGAGCCACCATGCCTGGCCAAATCTGAATGATTTTTTTAAGATTATTTTGGCTTGTTAAGAAAACTTTTTTTTTTAAATAATTATATATTCATAGCAAGGTACAAAGAAATGTACAGCGAGGTCATATATATCCTTCACCCAGCCTTCCCCAGTGTTGACATATTCCATGGCTCAAGTACAGTATCAAAACCTGGAAACCAATATGGGTACAACCCATAAAACTTATTTCACCAGTAATGCATGCATTCATTTTTGTGTGTCATCATGCGTAGCTTTGAATAACCACTAGCATCCATCAAAATGCCTCACTGTATTATCAGAAGCCTCTCGTGCCACATCCTGCTAGCCACACCCACCCCATCTCATATTCCCTAACCTCTGGTAACCGTGAATCTGTTCTCCATCTCTGTAATCATGTTATTTCACAAATATTACATAAATGAAATTATACAGTATGTAGCCTTTTGTAATTGGCTTTTTCCACTTTTCTTATGGTTCATCCAAGTGGTTATGTGTATATAGAATTCATTTATTTTTATTGCTGAGTAGTATTTTGTTGTATGGATGTACCATAGTTTGTTTAACTATTCACCCTTTTAAGGATATTTGGATAGTTTTCAGTTTGGGACTATTATGAATAAAGCTGCTCTGAACCTTCATGTACAAATTTCTATGAGAAAAGTTTTCATTTCTCTGGGATATGTATCAAAGAGTACAATCCTGGGTTGTATAGTAAATCTATTTTTAGTTTTAAAAGGAACTATCAGACTGTTTTCCAGAATGGCGATTCCATTTTACATTTCCACCAGCAGTGTATGAGTGATCCAAAATCATTTAGCGTTATCATTAATTTTTAAATGCCATTTTTGATAGGTGATAGTAATATTGTGATTTTAATTTACATTTTTCTAATGACTAATTGATGTTAAACATATTTTCATGTGTTTACTTGCCATCTATATATCCCGCTTGAGTGAAAGGATGTCTGTGTATATTTTTTGCTAATTTTCTAATTGGGTTATTTGATTTTTTTAATGTTGAATTTTGGGAATCCTCTTCGCATTCTAGATACAAGTTCTTTGTCTGATATATGGTTTACAAATATTTTCTCCCATTCTGTAAACTACCTTTTCATCCTGTTAACAGGGTTTTTGCAGAGCAAAGGTTTTACATTTTGATGAAGATGATTTTATGTTATTTTTATGATTAATATTTTAAGGAATGAAGTATACATTTTGCATACTTTTTATTGATCTTAAGAATTTTAAATTGCCAAATTACCTGCTCTACCTTCTTTTTCAGCTCAGACGTGTTACCAATGCAGATGCAGTTAAATTTTAAGATGAGTAAAACCATTGAGTACATAGTGTTTAAGTGTAGTGGAATGTCTGTGTGTTCTACTCTATTCTAATACCTGCTTTTCTCTAGTGTTTTAATTAATGTAGCAAAGGAAGATCTCACTTTCTGAGGTAGTTTCATTTTGAGTTTCAGCAAGATTTAATAACACCGGAAAGAGGACATGTGATTCTACTTGTACAATGGATTATTGTAAATAAACACCTCATATTACTAATATTTTTCTTTCTACACAATCCCAACCATATTAGACAGTGCAGCAACGTCCCATGTTGCTTTGTTTATATAAATTTAGCCTTTAGCTTTTCCTTTTGGCAGCCCATTTGTTCATTCCAGAAATACTGCACACCTACCAGCTTTGTCAAGATTGTGCTGGGTTCAGGGTTATAATGGGGAATAGTATACACATAGACATAGGTTCTGCCCTCATGGAGCTTACAATTTGGTTCTCATTTCTTATTATGGTAAGCTTGTATTGCCTGTCAGTATTTCACTGATTTGATTGAATATCCTTACTTCCCATCTTCTGTCACAGAATCTTCCTCATTCATCCAAAACGCAACATGTCCAAATCTTAGTGAATGCTTTCAGTGCTTTGGGAGTGGTTACATTCCATTAAGATTAAATCCAAGCCAAGCAAGTAATACTTACAAGCATGCACAGGAGAATATGAGATGAGGAGAGAAATCCTCATACTTAGTTAATTTCTTGCCAAGTAGAGAAATTTTCAGTAGAGCCTTAAGTTACCTCAGGGATGGCTGAAGATTCTAAATATGAGATTCCAAAGTCCACCGTTCACCATATTCTATAAAAAGAGACTCAGCCATTTGAACAAGCTAGCTAATCAGATGCCCTCTGCATAGTTCATATTTTTAAAAATCTTGGTCCTTATATTATTTATAAAAAAAGTGACTCTATATTAGTTTTAAGGTATAAATGAGACACTTTTCCTATCTGTAAACTAGCTGATCTATTTGTAGTCTGGCTTAAAATGTGACTTGCCCAAACATAGGAAAATCTTCCAAAACAGGATCTAGACTGTGTAATTAAAAATCAAAATTAGTTAAGAATCAAACGTCTGAATTGAAAATTTAATTTTTAGTTAAATTATTTGCTATCCAGTCATCTTTAATATTTTGTTTTGCTGTGAGCAGGGTCACATATGACAAATTAAAGGTGGATCAGGCCGGGCACAGTGGCTCACACCTGTAATCCCAGCACTTTGGGAGGCCAAGGCGGGCGGGTGGATCACGAGGTCAAGAGATCGAGACCATCCTGTCCAACATGGTGAAACCCCATCTCTACTAAAAATACAAAAATTAGCTGAGCATGGTGGCACATGCCTGGAGTCCCAGCTACTTGGGAGGCTGAGGCAGGAGAATCGCTTGAACCCGGGAGGCAGAGGTTGCAGTGAGCTGAGATCACACCACTGCACTGTAGTGTGGTGACAAATGAGACTCCATCTCAAAAAAAAAAAAAAAAAAAAAAAAAAGAAGTAGACCAGCCATACTTTTAAAAGCTTATTGTAACAAACACATACTGCTTATTCCATGCTGGTGTGTTTTGTGTTCTTTGCAAATGTTAACTAATTAAATCCTGACAATAAACCTATTAAGATAGATATTATTAACCTCATTTTACAGATGATGAAACTGAGACAGAGGGAGACTAGATAACATGCCCAAGGTCATACAGTTAATAAGTGGCAGAACCAGGGTTCAAAACCAGTCCAGAGGCTATGCTCTTAACCACTATACAATGGTCCCATATTGTAGTTAATCAGGTATTTTTCCATATAACACAATAAAAGCATTGAACTGGGATTTTCCTATATTTGAGAAAACAGTATGGAAATAACAGATGGAGGTATAGAAGTTTTTGATAAGCTAGGCATGTTGGCTCATGCCTGTAATCCCAGCACTTTGGGAGGCCGAGGAGGGTAGATCACTTAAGGTCAGGAGTTCGAGAGCAGCCTAGCCAACATGGTAAAACTCTGCCTCTACTAAAAATACAAAAATTGGCCTGGCGTGATGGCACACGCTTATAATCCCAGCTAGTCGGGAGGCTGAGGCAGGAGAATCACATGAACCCGGGAGGCGGAGGTTGCAGTGAGCCGAGACCACGCCACTGCACTCCTGATAGAAGGAAAACTGGACCTAAGGATTTGAGTTTTGACATTACTAGTACAAGCTGTGTGTAACTTTGGGGAAGGCTGCTACATTAGTTTCAGTTTCCTATTGCTATGGTAAGAAATTACTACAGATTTAAGTTACATAAAACAACCCAAATTTATTATTTTATAGTTCTTGAGAATTTTAAAATCAAAGTGTTCTTTAATGACTACAAAAGCTAATACACTGTTAACCTCTTTCCAATTCTATTAATACCATCATTATCTTTAATAGTTGCATGGAATCCACATGGAATGCACCATAAATGAATCGAAATCTTATGTTGAACATTTGTTTACTGTCTTTTGCCATTATAAACAATATTATGATGAACATCCCTAAATATATGCCTTTGAATACTTGTTCAATTTTATTCATTGGGGCAAAAAGGTATGCACATTTTAAAGAACTACAGTCCACAGGTGTTCATGCAATTGCTGAGGGTTTTCTGAGAAGGTGAACAAGAGCAGTCTATTTCAAAACTACTGAAGCCCTTTTTGCATGACTGACTGGCATTCCCTAACTGGGCCTTCTTCGTTGCCCTGACACTGCCTGTTGCTGCTCCTCTGAGAAGGAATGTGTATTCACAGATGAGGCGCTCCATTAGTCATGGTGCATTTCCTGGGCCCTGGAGACATGGGCATGACATCACCAAGGGCCAATGAGAAAGGATTCTCTGTAGCAAGCTCTCAAAACTCTTTAGAGGATTGTAGACTGTGTGTTCTGTTCCTAGCCCTCAGGGTGTGATTTGAGCTTGCCTTGCTCATCCAGCCATAGTCTGGGCACAAAAGTCTAGCTTACAGACCCAAGAAGCCAGGACAAGCTTGAAAATCTGCAGAGCTGCAGGCAGATTCCCATTTAGTATTTTTTTTTTCCAGGGCTCAGGTTGTTATTCCCAGAGTTTTCCACTCCTAATGATGTTGTTACTTCATGTGGTAATGGGTGGGTGGTGAAAGATGAAGTCTGCATTAAATAAAAGACATTTGGCAGTTAAAATTTCTGGGTAAGTATAGGTTGGTAGCATAACAAAATCAGAAGTACATTTTACCGTTTTGTTACATTGCTTTTGTGTGTAGTTTCACATAATAAAACAACATCTTTTAACAGCAAAGGCTCCTAGCAAAATGAGTGTGGCTTAAAATAGGGCAATTACCAAAGAACTTTACTGAGGGGATTAGTAACTCATTAAATCTTTTCTCTTCAAGGAGAAAAGAAACTTAAAAAAAAATTCTCTTTTCTTGGGTTTTAAGCATTTTGGATAAAAACTTTTCTGTCTTTCTCTGTATCTGTCTCTCTCTCTGCTCCCTAATTTATGTATTTATTTATGAAAATGATTTGTGGAATTTAGTCAGGGATAACTTTGTTAATTCTGCACACCAGGAAGTCTATTGAAAGACTTATTTCCTAATTGGCCCAATCTTTTGCTAACAAGGTATAATTGTAAAATTATCTTTTTAAAAAATAGTCAAGGAAATTAAGGCTCAAAACTCAATGTGAGCTTACACTGAACAGACTTTTATAGCTTAACTCAGTAGTTGAACCTAAGAGCTGTGCTTTTCTATCTTCATTCAATCTATGATTGAATGAGAATGGTTCTTTTAGTATTTTTTCATGTTTAATTCCTTTTTGATGAAGTCAAAGAGAAATTGGGAAAAGTAGCCATCTTTATTAGTGTGTTATCTGTGGATGCCATATACTATGGAAGAACCTGCCTCTACCACTTTTAAAAAAATGTTTCTGCAAGATAAAGATGATTTTTTTTTGTAATTATAGCAGCTTTTATTTTTAAAAATCACTTGAAACCGCATGAATTTATCCTTATTTCCTAACATATATACCAGTAATTAAAGGACTTTCCTCTAGAACTATAACATACTATAAGACAGGGCACTTTTCAACACTTCAGAGATCCTCCTTCAAAGATCTCTGTGCAATTCAAAACATTTATTACTAAAATTTCAAAACATCTCTGGAGATATTCTAAATGGTTTTTTTTTTTTGGCTTGTATAGATGAGAAAGTTGAGGTACAGAAAGATTGAACCTTGTACTTTGTGTCAGTCATAGAAGCAGATACTGCATACATAAATCATTCTTTTATCAAAACTCTTAAGAGGACAGTTCTTTGTGTCTTTGTATAAAATTGTTCTTGTTTTCCTTTGACAGCTTCAGGCTTTGCCTTATTAACAGCAGTGCTTATTTTTCAAAACCCTTTGATTGAGACAAAAAAAAAAGCAGGTTCATCTAGCCTAGGCAGAACTGGAAGAAGCCCTGAAAGGGATAAATTACCTAAGGGGTGGCAGTGTGGGGCATGGGAGCACTCCCACTGCCTCACTCTTAGCAGAGTACTTGATTCTTCTCAATCCCATCCCACAATTTCTCCCACCTGAACCAATATTTGCCAGTTTTCTACTCGAGGGTTGCCATGACTCCTGATGAGTTAATATTGGTAAAACACTTTAAGCCTTTGGAAAAAGGTCTCATAAAAGTGTACAATTGGCACTGGCCCTGATAGTAGTCACAGGCTTTTTGAGTGGGCACTAGGCACCCTCAGATAAGGTTAACCAGATCCCTGTTTTTGGCGAGGACAGGCTCTAGAATGAGGTCTGCTGCTGCCATCTTGAGAGAACACATCTGGTTTGAAACGTTGAAAGCCAGGTGACCCTTGAAGCAGCCACACAGTAATGTCTCCTCACTGCTTCTGCTTCCTGCTAATTTGGGGAGCAGCAGGTGCCTCCCTGAGAAACCCTGCCAGAGGGTTGGCATGCCATGCTGATCGTCTCATTAAGCCCTAAACTTTTTCTACAGAAGAAAACTCTCAAAAGGCGATTCCAGAATATGACAGAGAGAGGTCATGACAGATAATCAGATCAGTTTATAAAAAGTTAAGGATGAGTCATGTCACTCCTAAAGGAGTTGGCATCAATTTATTACACAAGACCAAACACTGAAGGAAGAAAAGCCTTTAGTCTCATTAAGGAGCCCAGACAAAAATCCCACTTAATCCATCTTGCTTTTCCTTTTCCTGCAACTCAGCTGGTGTGCAGGTGTAGGGCAGCTTGGCAGAAGATTTGAACGTTTGGAAAAGGGAGTCATTACTGAAAGTCACTGACACACACTTCCCTTGGAATGCTGCTGATGTCATGGAAAACCAGGACCTTAGCAATAACCCCTAACAACCACAGCTACAGTAAACAGTAAATGTTACCTCCACCAAGGCATTGGTTTTTAAAGAGTTTTAACAGGCCAGGGCTTGCCAGCCACAACTCATAAAAATGTTCTTATAATTTTACCCTACTCTCTAAAAGTGCTGGATAACTGCTGAGGTTTCTCTGCCACTTGGGATGCAAAGCCAAATTCACGTCACTTTCAAGGTTCACTAATCAGAATTTACAGCATTTCTTTTGCAGTCCTCTTCATACCCCCTGCCATGCTCACAGAGTTAGGTCTGGTAGATTTCATACTTTTTCAAAGAAGTCTCTTGTCTTACTGAGTTGTCTCAATTTCTGGTGATGGTGTGAATTAATGTGCCAGGTTTTGACTAGTGTTTTATTAGTCTAGAGGTTAGGCAAATCTGGTTAATTGATAGCACTCAATCTATAGGTTATATTCCAATCAATTTGAAACAACCGGGCAAAGTGGCATTCTATAGTTCAAACTCTGAACTGGGTATTGTCAAGGTGACCATATAATTTATCATCAAAACTAGGATATTTTTGAAAGTAAAGGGGCTCTATTAATAATTACTCTGAGATAACAGCAATAAACCGGGACTGTCGAAGCAAGTTGAGCATAGGGTCACCCTTGTTACTGTGCCAAGAGTCACCATCTAGCTGTCATTTATTAAGTCAGACATTGAAGAAACTTGCAGGAATGCAGAACAGTGCCACTCTTCTCATGAACATTTTTTGTTTTAGAAAATCTAGTCATTCTCATAAAAATGTTATTTATGATAAGATGTTATGAGTTTATTAGTGTTAGTTTTAAATGAATTAAATAAATGCTTTAAAATTCATCTATTTTAATTTCTAATATGGTAAATATAATCCTCCCAAGTAAAAGCTCTATAGGTCTTCAATAATTTTTATATTCTTAAAGGGAACCCAAGACTAAAAGTTTTGAGAATTGCTGCTTTTTCTCTGCATGGGAAAGAATATACTACTAAAGCAAAATGATAAATTCCCTGGCAAGAGAGACCAGCTTAATCATGATTGCATCTGCTACAGCACTAGCAAAATGTCCTGCATATAGTTAGTATTCTGTAATACATAAATATGAGTAGACAAATCTCGTGTGACAACGCTGAAAAGTTGCTGTGTTTTCTGACGTTTGGGTATTACATTAACATTATTATTTGGTTTAAGTCTTTGTTTTTTGATATTCAGTATGTTTGGTACTCTTTGTTAATCTTATTTCGACACAACAATGATGATGTCATTTTTCCTTCGAAAGTTTTATGGGATAGATCAAATTTCCTATGAAATGAGTATGTTAGATAAGAAAACATAAAGCATAATAAAAGTAGGACTCCTTTCTTTTAACCTGCCTAACTCATGTTTATCCTTTATCTCAGGTGTCATCTTCTTCATTTGGCCTTCCTAGACCTTCCCAGGCTGGTCTGCAGCCCCTCCCATGTGCTTTCAAAGTACCTTTTATCACAAGACTTATGACTCAGGGTCATTCCATTCATATGTTGGTTTCCCCAGTTAATTTTGAGTGCTTTTATGTCAGAAGCATCCTTTAATTTCCTTATTCCCAGAATTAAATGATGCTTGGTAAAGCTATTAAAGACTATCTGTTACACTGAAATGAATATAAAGAAGGAAAAACTAGTTAATTTAACTTTTACTAGTTAATGAAGTGTTTTTTTTTTAAATGTCATATGACATGATTTCTATAGTACTGGAAGAAAAAATTTTTTAGAGTAAAGGAAACCACAGTTTGAGGAAAGAAGATAGATTGCTTTGTTATGACCTTACATGCAGATTGATTTACATCTACCTACCCCTCCACTCTCAAACTCCTTTTCAGAGTTAGACTCTTTTAAGCCCTTTAAGGGTTACGTATTTCTGAGTATGTGATTTCTGTCAATATCAGAAATTATTTCCATTGGCAAAAAAAGTTATGAAATGATTTCTATAATATAGGTTTACTTTTGTTGCAAGTAACTTTTCATTCTTTATGTTTTTCTTTCTTTCAAATGAAAATATTATCTTCTATATTTAAATTTGTTCCTTGAGTTAGAAATATAATATTTTAAATCCATGCTTAATTTAATTTAGAAGACATCTCCAAGGCCTAAAATTGACTTGCTGTTTTGTAAATCAACATGACAGGATAAACAGAGGCCATAGTTTATTTGGGAAGCAGCATGATCGTCATGATTTAATAATAGTGATAATTATATGTAATAAGTAAAAGTAGGAATCTAAGTTTTATGAAGATGGTTTTTAATGCCATGTGTTTTGCTTGGTTTTAGTTTGGGTCTTTTCTCTGAGTGCTGTTCTGTGCCTCCACATTTGTTTCTCTTTTTGGAGACCACACATTTTGGATAATTACTTACCAAACTTATATGCAAATTATTGATGAGAGTCAGAACACATCACAGTTTTTATCAAGTCTCCACTAAAAAAGGGGTTGGGGGCTTGCAGTGAGCTGAGATGGCACCACTGCACTCCAGCCTGGGCGACAGAGCAAGACTCTGTCTCAAGGAAAAAAAAAAGGCGCGGAGGGCGAGGGGGTGGGGGGGGAGTTATTATGCTGTCTGAGATGGAGTCCTAAAGGAACACTGTGATTTCTGTGGACAGGTGACTGGCTGGATGGGGATGAGAGAGCTGGGTACTTGTCCCAACTTTGCCACTTTCTAAGTTTTGGTGTGTTTTTAGCATGTCACCTTACTTCTCTTAGCTGCTATTAGTGTCCCCATCTGTAAAATCAGTCTGATCAGGCTGGGTTAGATGATCTCCAAGGTCTTTTACAAATCATCTAATTCTATAGCTTGTGTAGTCTTCTGTCAGGATTTCTTGTTCTTGAAGTCCCTAGTTGACAGATAATGGTGTGGAAGGAAATGATACATGGCAGAGTCCTGAATGACCAAAATGGACTTTGTCCACACTTATGTGCTAATCTCCAAAGAAGAAGAAAATACAAATGGGCCAGCGGCCAAACATGAAAATGGTGACAGTGAGCAAAACATTGAAGCAGACAGCTGAAAGCTTCATTTCCTGGCCCGGCTGCCATGAGAAATGCTGTGCTTGCCAAACCCTTCAGGCTGTCAAGGCCAGAACTTTGGCTAGCTCTTATTTTGAGCTCCCCCCATACCACACACACAAACCACACAGGAAAATTGTCTCTCTCCCTTTATATTTGTGCCTTTTGGCTACACTTCTATTTATGCCAAGTCCTTGCCTAATCTCCTTCCTTCCAGCTGTCACTATACTCTGCCTGTTGCTTTCTGGGGGCTTTGAAAAGCAGCTGCAACCTTCAGAGGAAGCGCAGGGTGGTTGGCATTGGTGGAAGGGTATTGTAAGTGTGTGTGGACTCTATCAGAACCAACCGTCACTTTTACCTGGTTTATGGACAGTCCAAACAGTGTTCTCACTCTCTTTCCTTGGCAAATGTTAGAACTGATGGCTTTATTTTTTTCTCCCTCCCTTCATCTTCAGGGATTTTTTTTTTCTCTTCTACATTACTCAGCCTTTTTGTCTGTGAACATCCTGTGGAAGATTTCATTTATCTTAGGTTCTTTGGCCAGGCTGCTCATCATCTTTTTTTTCCACATAAAACATATTTACCTAATGAGAGAACTTAAGATGGATAACCAGAGCCTCTGTACTCTCTCACAAGCCTAGAAATTTGACACTTTCTCAATTCTGACAGTTCATCCCAAACCATTGGCCTCCTAAGGCCCAGAGAGCTCTTGGTCATTTGCTGTCTGTCTAGCCCCAGCTGTTGGAGAACTAGCTTAGGTGTACTTTCACCCCTGGCCTGTGTTGTTTCCCCACAGAGCTTGTCTGCATATGTCTCATATTGGCTCTTAGTGAGGGCGGCTGAGCAAAGAGGCACTTGGTTGTCATCATTTTAGAAAATCAAGGAAGAATCTCAGGAAGCCTGATTGAAGAATCTTGGCTCAATATAGGGGAACACCATGTACTATGAAGGTTTTAAGTTATTGCGCTTGCACAGACTGACTTTGTGGCCTTAATATGGAAAGCAAAACAAGATTAAAATCTCACACAGTCATTGTCTTTTGTAGTAGAGCATTGTCTTTTGTTGATGAGTAGAGCTTTTTGAGATACAATGAGTTGTTCTCTGCTGCTCTTTCTGGAAACTTCGTTAACTATCTTGCCCTATACCTGGCAGTGCCAACCCACATTTCTGTTTATATAAAAGGAACTCCATATCCTCTTCAGAAGCTAGTAAACAAAAAAACCTCAAAGCATATCTGTATTGGGGTTTGTCTATGTTTTCTCATGTCTGTATTTTGTGTTTTATTTAAAATAATTAAAATGTTAATTGATTTTAACTTCAAACAGATGAATTTGTTTGCTAAAATTCTTTTTTTGATGGGATCTTGTTTACCTTTTTGTATACTATATAAAGTCTTTTTTATTCATATTGGGAAGATAACACTACAAAGCCATTTTTTTCCATTTCTGCCTGTATAATTTCCTCAATCTTTGACTTGCTTGGCTATATTGTTTCAAATACCCAGTTAACCTTTTTATTACTCATTTCCTTATTACATGCTTTTGCATTGTCTACAATTCATAGAATCAGTATGGTAAAACATTAGAGCTGGAAAAGCCATTAAATATTAACTATCCAAACTCCCTATTTTATATTAATAGATGAGAAAAAGCCTGCAGAAGGAACATGATTAGACCAAGGTCACACACATGCCACAGCCAGGCTGACAAGTCTTCTGACCCATTGTCTAGTGGTTTTCCATTATAACACCTGTGCTCCATGTGTCAGGAATTTTCCAAAGCACTAGTGAGAACTCCATCAGAGACTGCATCCTACTGGAAAGGGCACAGGCTTTGGAGCTGGATAGATCTGGGTTTGAATATCTTGTTCTGCCACCTACGGGCGGGGTACATTAGGCAAGGAACCAAAGCTTTTGGGGACTTGTTTTTTCCTCTGTTATATGGCAAAAGTAACAAGAATACTTTATGGTTATTGTGGGTATTAAATTATATAACCTACATTAAAGTACCTGTTACACATATTATGTTTAATAAGTTATTATAAAAATCTGCTGTTCACAGAAAAATGTGATATGTGTAAATAATAACTTAAAATAGGTATTTCATTATTGGGTATTCTGAGCCTCTCTTGTTCAGTAGTATTTTCTTGAAGTCAGTATTAATATGTGAATTGAGTGAATTGTCTGGAAATGAATTACTGAAAGTTATTTATATCTTGATTGTGATTCATACATTTCCCTTTTCTTTATGGCTTTCCTCTGTACTTAGCTGCAGTGCATCTGCATCCTATCCAAGAACTTTTGTACAAGTTGAACTCACCCAAAGAAGACATTTGGAGAGTACTTGGGTTTGGCCCCTGCTTTTCATCTGGCTAAACACTATTAGATAAATCTAGAATATATAGTCTATGTAGAATATTATGTTTACATTTTTAGAAACTTTGGATTTTTAGTGTTTTTCTGAAACTTACTGAACTATGTGATGAACAGCTTCAGTGTGAAATTATACGTACTTGGTCTGAGTATAGGTAGAAGTTATGTTCAATATAAAGGGGCCCAGGACTGTTGTTAAAAGGAATAAGGACTACATTATTTAACTAGTAGTGTGGGGAGGTGGAATGAGTTAGGAAACAAAAGCTAAGATGGATTTAGCAAAGGCCAGAGCAAGAAAAGAAAGTTTAGGCTGGGCGTGGTGGCACATGCCTATAATCCTAGCGCTTTGGGAGGCCTTGGTGGGCGGAATGCCTGAGCTCAGGAGTTTGAGACCAGCTTGGGCAACGTGGTGAAACCCCATCTCTACTAAAAATACAAAAAATTAGTGGATATGATGACGTGCACCTGTAGTCCCAGCTACTCAGGAGGCTGAGGCAGGAGAATTGCTCGAACCAAGATGGCGCCACTGCACTCCAGCCTGGGCAACAGACTGAGACTCTGTTTCCCCCCCACGGCCCCCTCCCCCACAAAAAAGTTTAGAATCGTCGCAGGAGGTGACTCAGGGGAATTTCATTTAAGGGCCTCTCAAATTGCTTGGGTGTTGTTGGCTTACTGGAATGCCTTGAGTTTGAATTAGAGGGAAGGACCTTAAGGAACTAGACAGAATTTTGCTTCTCTATTAGAGGACCCTGGCTTAGGTTTTAAACGGAAGTTAAGTGCAATTAGAAAGAGGCACTATGTACCTAACACGTAGTGGATCCTTCATATGAAACCATTAATTGTCAGGGGACTTTGAGGCTCATATAATTTGGCCCATAATTATGGCTACATAAGTAAAAGCTGTGAACACTCTTAGGGTTTTTTTTAAATTGTTTTTTCAGTAAAGGTGAAAGTATAGCAGTGTTGGGAGGGGGTGTTCCTTGTGCCTATTTGTACACAATGTCTTAGATTAGATTAAGAGCCTTAGGCCAATGATTGCTTAAAGATAAAAAGCAGGCATGATTCTGGAGGGATATTGGATAATCAAATATGACCAGGAAATAGAAGGTCCTATTTTGCTGTATTTTGGGTTCATCCAGATGGGATCAGACCAGAGGAATTTGGCAAGCATTGAGACTCGCCACTTAGAACCACACTGAAATAGTTGTGGTGGCAAAAGAATTTCTCCGGGAGTCTTATTCCACTTGAGGCATAACAGCCAGAGATTCCTGGCCTTTGAGGGGAGAGTGCCAAAGTTGATGTATTTTAAAAACATCAACTGAGATCTATAAACCTACGAGAAATAGTTGAATTGGATGACACTGGGACTATGTGTTTCTGTACTTTTCTTACAGAAGACATACTATGAATACATGTGTCCTGGAATCTACTTTTAAAAATTAGTTCTATGCTCATATCCTCACATTGAGATTTAATGTATTTCAGTTTAATAAATGAGAACATATAAAATAATTTACCTGTAAGGACCTGTCTATGGGAACTTCTATATTCTGCTTGAAATTCTGACACATTAACCTGGCCATTTCCAAAAACTTTCTGGCAAGAGCTCTTCATGGACCTAATAATTGCTTTACTGTTTAATCATTCCCTGAGCCTTTTTATACTCTAGTAAACTGCATCTGTCACTAGATTTCATCACCATCTGTATTATTTATCCCTTGTAATCTGATATCTATCTCTATAATGCCCAATTGTATCCCCTTCAAGTGCCCACTTCATTGGCTTATATACATTAGGTTTTCAATAAATATTTTTATATAATGGTAAATGAAGAAGTTGTTCTTTATATTTTAAACAACTCTTACGGAAGGAGATTACAACACAGCTGGAAGGAATTATTGTGAGAGTGAAACATGGAACCAAAAAAGATAAAGCAAGGGAAATTAAAAAAAAAAAAAGAGCTTTATTGAGTTATAACTGACATCCAATAAACAGCACATATTTAGTCCAATTTGATGTTTTAACATATTTACATACCCATTAGATCATCACCACACTCAAGATAATTAACATGTCTTTTATCCTTAAATGTTTCTACATGACCTTTGCAATCCATGTCTCTTACCCTTCCTTACCTTACCCTCATAAGCAAAACACTGATCTGTTTTTGTCACAATAGATTATATTACATTTTCTAGAGTTCCTTATTAATGGATCATACAGTATAAACTCATTTTGGTCTTGCTTTTTTACTCCAATTTATTTTGAGATTCATCCATGTTGTTGCATGTATCAGTACTTCATTACTTTTTCCTGCAAAGTAGTTTTCCACTGTATGTATATACTACATTTGCTTATCCATTCATCTGTTGATGGATATTTTGGGTTCTTTCTAGTTTATGGCTATTACAAATAAATCTACTATGAACATTTGACTACAAATTTTTGAAAAGAGGTATGCTTTCTTTTTTATTGGGCAAATACCTAGGAGTGGAATCACTAGATTATAGGATTGCTGTATGTTCAGCTTTGTAAGAAACTGCCAAACTGTCTGTACCATTTTGCTTTCTCACCAGCAATGAATGAGAGTTCCTGTTGCTTCACATCCTTGCCAGCATTTGGCGATGTCATTGCTTTGGATTTTAGTCATTCTGATACAGATGTTCCCCAACTTACAATGGTTTGACTTACACTTTTTTGATTTTTCAATGGTGTGAAAGCAATATGCATGCAGTAGAAACTATACTTTAAATTTTGAATGTTGATCTTTTCCTGGGCTAGTGATATGTGTTACGATACTCTCTCGTGATACTGTGCAGTAACAGTAAGCCCCAAGTCCCAGTCAGCCATGTGGTCAAAGGGTAAACAATCAGTACTGTGCAGTGTACTCTTCAATAAATTGTATGAGTTATTTGGCACTTTATTATAACATAGGCTTTGCATTAGATGATTTTGTCCAACTGTAGGCTAATGGAAGTGTTCTGAGCATGTTTAAGATAGGCTAAGCCAAGTAAGATATGATGTTCTGTAGGTTAGGTATATTACATTTATTTTTGACTTATGAGTTTTCAATTTACAAAGAACTTATTGAGTCATAACCCCACTGTAAGTTGAGGAGGATCTGCAGGTGTGTAGTGGTATCTGTGTTACTTCTTTGAAGAAGTGTCTGTTCAGATCTTTTACTCATTTTTAAAATCAGATTGTTTGTTTTCTTATTGCTGTTTTAAGAGTCCTGTGGATGCAAGTCCTTTATCAGATAGGTGTTTTGTAAAAATTTTCTCCCAATATTTGGTTTGTCTATTCATTATCTTAACAGTGTCTTTGTCAGAGCAGAAGCTTTTAATTTTAATGAAGCCTAACATCAATTTTTTTTTCATGGATTGTGCTTTAAGTGTTATATTCAAACTCATTGCCAAGCCCAAGATCACCTAGATTTTTTTCTATGTTATCGTCTGGAATTTTTATAGTTTGCATTGTATATTTACTTCTATGATCCACTTTGAGTTAATCTTTCTGAAAGGTGTAAGGTCAGTGTTTAGACTGATGTGAATGACTATTTGGTCCAGCATCGTTTGTTGAAAAGACTATCCTTCTGCATTGAATTGACTTTGCTTCTTTGTCAAGGTTCATTTAACTATATTTATGTGAGTCTGTTTCTGGGCTCTATTTTGTTCTATTTATCTAGTTATCTATATTTTCACCAATATCACATTGTCTTGATTACTGTAGCTTTGTGAATGTATGCATGTATTCATTTAAGAGATGAGGTCCCACTATGTGGCTCAGGATGGAGTGCAGTGGCTATTCATGGGCTTGATCCCACTTCTGATCAGCATGGGAGTTTTGGAGTGCTCCAGTTCCAATCTAGGCCAGTTTATTCCTCTTTAGGCAACCTGGTTGGTTCCCTGCTTTCAGCATATTGATGCTGAACTAAATGTGGACATCCAATTGGCATAGCACACAACAGCCCAGAACTCCTGTACTCAAGCAGTCTTTCTGCTTTAGCCTCCCAATAGCTGGGACTACAAGTGCATGCCACCATGCCTGTCAGATTACTGTAGCTTTATAGTAAGTCTTGAAGTTGAAGACTTTTTTTTTTTTTGAGACAGAGTTTCACTCTTGTTATCCATGCTGGAGTGCAATGGTGCAATCTCAGCTCACTGCAACCTCCACCTCCCAGGTTCAAGCAATTCTCCTGCCTCAGCCTCCCAAGTAGTTGGGATTACAGGTATGCGCCACCACGCCCAGCTAATTTTGTATTTTTAACAAGAGACAGGGTTTCACCATGTTGGTCAGGCTAGTCTCAAACTCCTGACTCAGGTGATCCACCCACCTTGGCCTCACAAAGTGTTGGGATTACTGGCATCAGCCACCGTGCCCAGCCTGAAGACTTTTATTTCTCCAACTTTGTTTTTCTTTGTCAGTATTATGTTGGCTATTAGTTTGTTTCCTTTCTAGATAAACTTTAGAATTTGTCCATATCCATAAAGTAACTTGTTTGGATTTTGATTGAGATTGCACCAAATTTATGGATTAAGTTGGGAAGAACTGACTTCTTAACAATATTGAGTCTTCTTATCCATGAACATAGAATATTTCTCCACTTATTTAGATCTTCTTTGATTTCTTTCATGAAAGTTTTATAATTTTCTTACATAGGTCTTGTACATATTTTGTTTGGTTTATACCTAAGTATTTCCCTTTTGTTGATGCTAGTCTAAATGGTATTGTGTTTTTAATTTCAAATTCCAATTGCTCATTGCTAGTATATAACTAAGCAATTGACTTATGTACATTAACCTTATATCTTATTTGTTTTTGGATTTGTGTTTTTATGATTCCATTTACCTCTACTATTGTTCTATTAGCTGTAACTCCTTGTGTAGTTATTTTAGTGATGGCCATAGGATTTGACAGTATATATCTTTAACTTATCACAGTCTATCTTGAAGTGATATTATACCACTTTACATACAGTATAAGAACCTTACGATAGTCTTAAAGTAGTTGTCATACATTTTACTTACACATAAATATACTTTAGTTATAAATCCCACACTGAGTTTTATTTTAGTCAATTATCTGTAAAATATATTTTGATAATAAGAAAATAAATTTAATAAATATATATTACCCAGTGGTTACCATTTCCTGTGATCTTTCCTTTGTATAGACTGATTTACTGAATGAGATTTACCTGAAGAATTTTCTCTATCAGGTCTTGTGGTGTAGGTCTCCTTGTGATGAATTATTTTAGCTTTTGTTTATCTGAGAGGTCTTTATTTTACCTTTGTTTTTGAAAGATATCTTTGTTGGGTATAGAATTCTAGATTGATAGATTTTTTTCTTTTAGCTTTTTGTAGTTATTGCTTTATTGTATTTTGACTTTTATTGTTTCTGACTAGAAACTGTGCTTATCCTTATCTTTGTTCCTCTGCATATATATATAATTTTTTTAATCTTGTTGTTTTTGAGATTTTCTTTTCTCTTCGATTTTGAGAAATTGATTGTGATGTGCCTTTGTGTCCTTTTCTTTGCTTTTTATGCTTGGGGTTTTCTTGAGCTTTTTTTGATATGTTTGTTTAGCATTTTCATCAAATTTGGAAAAATCTTGGCCACTATGTTTTCAAATATTTTTCTTCTCTCTCTACCTTCTCATCTTTGGGGTCTCTTACTACACATATATAAAGCTAACTGAAATTGTCCCACAGCTCACTAATGTCCCACAGCTCCATTCATTTTTCTTGGTTTTTTGTGTGTGTGTGTGTGTGTTTCAGTTTGCATAGTTTCTATTGTTATGCCTTCAAGTTCTCTAATCATCTCTTTTGCAATGTTTAATCTACCATTAATTCTATCCAGTGTATTTGTCACCTCAGACATTGTAGTGTTTACCACTAGAAATTTGATTTGGGTATTTTTAGTATTTCTATTGACTTTTCAAACATGGACTATAGTTATAAAGACTTTTTTTTTTTTTTTTTTTTTTTTTTTTTTTTTTTTTGAGATGGAGTTTCACTCTTGTTGCCCAGGCTGGAGTGCAATGGCATGATCTTGGCTCACCACAACCTCCGCCTCCTGGGTTCAAGTGATTCTCCTGCCCCAGCCTCCTGAGTAGCTGGGATTACAGGCATGCGCCACCATGCCTGGCTAATTTTTTGTATTTTTACTAGAGACGGGGTTTCTCCATTTGGTCAGGCTGGTTTCGAACTCCAGACCTCAGGTGATCTGCCCACCTTGGCCTCCCAAAGTGCTGGGATTGCAGGCGTGAACCACCATGCCCAGCCATAAAGACTATTTTAATGTTCTCGTGTTATGTAGCTTTGAAATGATTCCAGACACATAATTTGCTGCATGAATGATAAAAGTTTTGCTGTGGTAAGAACACAGAGTGTAATCTTCCTCCCCATGGAAATGTTATATCACACCTTATCAGACCACATATATGAACTCATATATGTCCTCAACTACTGGACTCTAAAACACATATAAACCCAAGATTTTGACAGATACGTTGAGAATGTAGGCTGTGGCAGGGCTACTCTCTGTTAGCCTTTGAGTTATTCTTTTGAGCCTGGCCAGCCAACATCAGCACCACTTGCTAGTGTTGAGGGACTTTTCATGTTGTTGTGGATCCCCATTGTGTTGGTCAAATCATCACTCCCTAGAATCTCTTGTAAAAAGATACGCCTCAGATGTTGTTTTTTGTTTGTTTTTGCTTTTTTAACTTAACAAATTGGTAATTGTTTTAACTTTTTTATTAGGTTCAGGGGTACATGTGCAGTTTTGTTATATAGGGAAATTCGTATCACAGGGTTGGTTGTACAGATTATTTCATTACCTAGGTACTAAGCTTAGTACCCAATCTTTTTTTTTTTTTTAGCTCCTCCCTCCTCCCACTCTCTTCCTTCAAGTAGGCTCCAGTGTCTGTTGTTCTCCTCTTTGTGTCCATCAGTTTTCATCATTTAGCTCCTACTGATAAGTGAGAACATGTGATTTGATTTTCTTTTTCTGTGTTAGTTCACTAAGGATAATGGCCTCCAGCTCCATCCATGGTCCCACAAAAGACATGATTTCATTCCTTTTTATGGCTGTGTAGTATTCCATAGTGTATATATATCACATTTTCTTTTTCCAGTCTGCCATTTATGGGCATTTAGGTTGATTCCATGTCCTTGCTATTATGAATAGTGCTGCAATGAACATACATGTGCTATGTCTTTATGGTAGAATGATTTATATTCCTTTGGGTATATACCCAGTAGTAGTATTGCTGGGTCAATATCTTTAAGTGTTACTGTGCCACTTTACGTATAGTATAAGAACCTTAACAATAGTCTTACAGTACTTGTCATACATTTAAATATACATTAGTTATAAATCCCACACTCGATTTTGTTTTAGTCAATTATCTGTAAAATATATTTTGATAATAAGAAATAAATATAATAAATAAATTTGAATTATCCAGTGGTTATCCTTTCCAGTGATCTTTCCTTTGTACACATTGATTTACTGAATGGTAGTGCTATTTTTAGCTCTTTGAGGAATTTTCACACTGCTTTCCACAATGGTTGAACTAATTTGCATTCCCACCAGCAGTGTATAAGTGTTTCCTGTTCTCCTCAACCTCTCTAGCATCTGTTAGTTTTTGACTTTATAATAATAGCCATTCTGACTTGTGTGAGATATTATCTCATTGTGGTTTTGATTTGCATTTCTCTAATGATCAGTGATATTGAGCTTTTTTCATATGCTCGTTGGCCATATATATGTCTTTTTTTGAAAAGTGTCTATTCATGTCCTTTTTAATGGGGTTGTTTTTTTCTTGTAAATTCATTTACATTTCTTATATATGCCGGATATTAGACATTTGTCAGATGCATAGTTTTATGCCTCAAACTTTGACTAGACTTTGTATTCATGGCGGCCTACTTCCACCCTAATTGGGCAAATAGACTTTAATAATTAGACTCTAAATGAAATGGAAACTCACACACTATGAGGTTAGTGTATCTCATTTATTGAGTGTATTCCCTAAGAGATTTGTTCTCATTATTCTCCACCTGTTTAAGCATTGTGGGGGAGAAAAGAATCTCTTTGTCAATAAGCCATGTGATTCATGAGTCGTATTTTAATCGTCTTCTTATTTTAACTATACAAAGCACCTTGTCTGCTAACTCTAGTATCTGTGTCAGTTCTGAGTTAATTTCAATTGGTTGATTTTTCTCCTCACTGTGAGTTGTATTTTCTTGCTTGTTTTGCATGCCTGGTTATCTTTGATTAGATACCAGACATTGTGAATTTCACCTTTTTGGGTGCAAGATATTTGTATTCCTATAAATTTTAAACTTTGTTTTGGGATGCAGTTAAGTTACTTGGAAACACATCCTTTTGGATCTTGCTTTCAGGATTTGTTTTGGCAGAACTATTTAATTTAAAGCTAATCATTCCCCACCATCAAGGCAAGACCCGTCTGAGTATTCTATCCAATGCTTCATGCATTATGAAGTTTTCCATTCTTATTCGTAAAAATAGGCATTATTCTTGGTCCTGTATGAGTGCCAGGCACTCTACCCTCTACTCCTCTCAGAGCATTCTTTCTCTAGCCTCAGGCAGTTTCCTTACATGCATGCACTAATCAGTACTCTGATGAATATTTGAGGGAGACTCTCTAAGATCTCTTCTGTGAACTTTAGCTGTCTTCTTTTCTCTGAATTTTCAGCTCCTTCTCCTCACTTCAGGGAGCCTGTTGGATTCCACCTGTGTTCCCTCTTCATGCAACACAACCTAGAAATTCTCTTAAGGTAATGGCCTGAGGAAATTGTAGAACTTTCCTTTTTTTTTTTTTTCCCTCATCTCTTACCAGATGTCCAGTGTCTTGAAAAGACATTGTTCTGTTTGTTTTGTTTCTTGAAAAGTATTGTTGGTTGTTTTAGGTGGTAGGGTAAATCTGGTCCCTGTTACTTAATCTTTGTCAAAAGCAAAAGTGCTCAGAGATCTTCCTTTAAGTTTTCATTGGTAGTTCTAGAAATGACCAATCACAAAACAGGGAATCTCTAACTGAAAGATCCATGACATTTCATTATAGAGAGTTAGGAAAGAGAATTAATCTGAGAATTACCATTATCTAGTCTTCCTCCCACTCATATTCTTCATAAACATTTGCATAACACAATTTTTTGTACCATTGTTGACCATATCAATGGGTAGATTACTGAATTTTGGGGGGAAAGACATGTACAAGCTACTAGAATGGTAAGTTTTGTTGAACATGTTATATAAAAGGAAATTACGCAAGGGGAGCTGGGTTGGTATCATAGTATAGTATTATATTTCTTTTTTTTTTTTTTGAGGTGGAGTCTCGCTCTATTGCCCAGGCTGGAGTGCAGTGGCGTGATCTCAGCTCACTGCAAGCTCCGCCTCCCGGGTTCACGCCATTCTCCTGCCTCAGCCTCCCAAGTAGCTGGGACTACAGGTGCCCGCCACCATGCCCAGCTAATTTTTTGTATTTTTTAGTAGAGACGGGGTTTCACCATGTTGGCCAGGATGGTCTCGATCTCTTGATCTCATGATCCACCCGCCTCGGCCTCCCAAAGTGCTGAGATTACAGGCATGAGCCACCGCGCCCGGCCTATATTTCTTTATAGAGGTAAAATAGGTGTGAGATTTTTGTTTTTACTTATTTTGCTTTGTTATTTGGGCTTCACTGGGGAACCAAGTGATTTTTGGCAAGAGAAGAAGCACAAAAAATACAGAAAAGCCTCTTCTTATGGTTCCTATAATGGCAACCAAGTCAATAAATGGTTGCAAAATTCAACTAGATTGCGATAGGGTAGTTACTGCTACTGCTTTATCCTTTTATAAATAGTCAGTTTGAAAAGTAGAAAAGTTCATGGGTAAAGAGCAGTAGCTAGAATGCAAATGTGAATCCAGGATGCAATATACAAAGGTTTTTGCAGTTTTCAGCAAGTGTGAAGAATTTCTGATTGATGAGGCCCTCAGAGCAGAAAGAGACCCTCCTCTGTCTATGTGTAAGATTAGTAACACATAGAGACGTGGTGTTCATCTGCCCAGTTTATGTGGCTAATTAGCATTTAGAGTTTCTTCAATAGAAGCTAGTGAAGTAAGAACTAGATAATATCTTGGAAGATCTTTTTGTTTCTTCTGTCTTGCACTTTGAAGAGGGGCTCAGACTGTTGAATTGGAATAGAACAATTAAACAGACTGTAAAATGAAGTCCTGACATGCTGGTTGCTTTGCCTGCTCTGTCAGAGCAGCACTGGTTCCAGGGAGAGAGAATACTAGTTTTGTTTATTTGTTTGTTTCCAGACAATTTGCTATGTCATCACTTTTTTTGTGTGTGCATGCGCCAAGTGTTTGAGGTTGATAATGTTGACAGAGTCCTTGCAGAATGGAAGTTCATCTCCACAGGGAAAGGCTTTGTATTTCAAGTTTTAAAATTCCAAAATATTTTGCTATAACATTGTTATTCCTAGTTTTTTATGCCTTTTTGTGTGGAAGGTTGGTTTCTCCTTTATCTACTTACCAGCTTTTAGGGGAATCCCTTTTTAAGTCAAGAAAGCACCTTAGAAAATTTCTCTCTCTCTCTCTCTCTCTCTCTCTCTCTCTCTCTCTCTGCCTTTATGAAACTGACAGTAGCATATCTTGCTATTCTTGGGTCTTAGTTTGGAATTAAGCTGTGCATGCAGTATGCCCAGAAGGCTCAGTTTTTAAAAAATTTCTATGTTTATTCGTATTTAACTTCATTCTAATGGGGTCATGTACACTGTGATATTTATTCATGAAATATTTAGGAAAAGATAAAATGTTTGAACTATAATGAATTATGATTTTATTATCCTTTTATTAATGATAATACACCCAATGCTATTCTTGAAAGTTTGAAAATGGAAACCTTGGTAAATTTTTTTTCTTTTGGCAGAATTTTGAACTTTTTTACATAAAAGTGTAAACCTTTGTTTGGTATTATGGGTCACCTGGTTCCATAGCATCTCTTTGATTTAAAGAGGATATCATCCATTTAAAAAGGACTCACAGCCAGGCATGGTGCCTCATGCCTATAATCCTAGCATTTTGGGAGGCTGAAGTAGGCAGATGCTTGAGCTCAGGAGTTCGAGACCAGCCTGGGCAACATGGTGAAACGCTGTCTCTACAAAAAATACAAAAATTAGCCAGGTGTGGTGGCATGCACCTGTGGTCCAAGCTACCTGGGAGACTGAGGTGGGAAGACTGCTTGAGCCTGGGTGGTTGAGTCAGCAGTGAACCATGATTACACCACTGCACTCCAGCCTAGTTGACAGAGCAAGAGCCTATCTCAAAAACAAAATAAGCAAAAGGGACTTACTTTGGGGATTTGGAGAACTAGAAAATATTATTATTCATATTAACTTACACCCATAAAAGAGTGCTATTAAAAGTTCACTTAATACAAGGGCTTCTTTTTCTTTGCTTTGGATTTAAACAGGTTTTCTATAAGCTAATCAACAGAGATTTGATTAACATACTTAAGCATGTTATATGAAAGGGATGGCATTGTGAAAGATGGGGATACTATATAGAAGTAATAAAATAAAAGGTATGGAATTAGGTAGTGTAAGAATTTCAGAACTAAAATAGTCTGAGAAGTCATTTGGAACATGGATTTCTTTTGACAGAAAACTTCTGTCCTGCAGTATATCAGCCTTGTCCAGCAGAGCTGGTTAGTGCAGATAGAAGAACCTAGGTTGCTTAACTACCAGTTCACTGTCCTTTCTATTATATTGTAATTCTGTTTTCTGTCTTATTTCAGAAGCAGCAATCCAGATGAGCTCTACATCCTGAATAAAAACAATAATAATGGCAATAACAAACTATTATTTTTTTAAGAAATATGACTTAAACCTATTTGTTTTTATTTATTTGGTTTGTTTGTTTATTTATATGTAGTTTGTCAGAAAACCATAGGAGTCAGGCATTGGGTAGCTCGTGGCCATTAGTATTATTTTCAAAGTCAGAAATCATTGGAGAAGAATCCCCTTCTAATATAAATTTTTAAACTATTCATCTGAGTGTTTAGGAAGCTGTGATCTCTGCTGTGATAATCCTAGAAGACATTGCTCAAGCCACAGCTGGCTATTATTGAGACTATGGAAAGAGAAAGAGCTTTTGCCCTGATTTATCCCATAAAATGAATAATAGGCCACATTCAGGGAGACCTAGCTTGTGGCAGACTATTCTCACCACACCCTTCACACAGCCTTTTTTTTTCTTCTCCCATCCCAAGCCACCATCCCAACCTGCCTTGACTAAACTCAATGAACAGGAACCATTGTATGAATCGGAAGGAAAATGTCTTAAATATATGAAGTTATAATGAGTTGGTAAGTGCTGTAAAAATACTCTGTAACTTAGTTGGAAGTTGCATCATCCATGCCTGTGGCACTATGGACTGGACCCAAATGGTATAATTCTTCAGTGTAACACTGAAGTAATTTTTGCATCTGCCAAGTAAATGGTTTAGATTTCAAACCTATGAAATGCCGAACTGTAATTGTTCAATTCTAGTGAACCACAGATGTGTTTAATTTCCTTCCTTTACTTTTTGCTGTCTTCTTTAGGTAAGCTGAACCAACTAAAGAGTGGCCTTATGTGAATCTACAAAGTGAACTTTAACGTCAGTCAGTTAATATACTTTAACACCTAAATGTTGTATAACACTGCTCTATATAGCACTTTTAAATGTATAAAATTTTTGATAGAGGATAAGTCCATTTCATTTAGGGAAAACAGTTGTTTCAACCACATGTATTATAATAGGAGTAAAAGTGGCATATCGTAATGAAAGAACACGGGAAGTCAGAAAACCTGGATTTATTTTTGCCTCTCCTGTCGATTCTTCATTTGATCCGGCCTGAATAATTTCCTTTTCCTTTAATTTCTATATCTGCTGAAGGTGAATAATAATACTTTCATTGGCCACATAGAGGTGCTGGGAGAATGAAAGATAAATTCTCCCAAAGCACTTTGAACTGCCTAGAAGAAAGACTTATTTAAACAAAAGTTGATTCTGTTTTCTATCTTTTTATTTCTTACAAGCAGACACCAAAGTAAGTGTTAGAAGAGCCTCAAAGATTTGGTTATTTTTTTTTTGCAACTTTTATTGTAGGTGAGAAGGTTAATATAATTGCCTTCATTGTATAAACAGGGAAACTAATGCTCCCAAAAGGTTTGTTTTGGGGCTTAAAATGAGTAGCCCTTTATGAGAATAGGGGAAATTGATGGGGGTGTAGATGTAATAACATCAGCCATGAGTTGACAATTATTAAAGCTGGTAATGGGTGTGTCTGTTTAGGGGGGTTATCATGAATACTATCATGTCTACCTTGTCTTTGAAATTTTGTATTAAAAAGTTAAAATTTAAAAAATTGATTAAAAAAATAGCTCATTTTCATTTGCAAGGTTCTTTTAAAAATGCTATTGAGGCTGGTCACGGTGGCTCACGCCTGTAATCCCAGCACTTTGGGAGGCTGCGGTGGGCGGATCATGAGGTCAGGAGTTCGAGACAAGCCTGACCAACATGGTGAAACCCTGTCTCTACTAAAAATACAAAAATTAGCCAGCCACGATGGCGTGTGCCTGTAATCCCAGCTACTCGGGAGGCTGAGGCAGAAGAATCACTTGAACCTGGGAGGTGGAGGTTGCAGTGAGCTGAGATCGCACCACTGTGCTCCAGCCTGGGTGACAGAGCAAAACTCCATCTCAAAAAAAAAAAAAAAAGACAAAGTATATGCTTGGACCCTGAACACAGACATTTTAGTTTTTCATACTCAGTTTTTACATTCTATTTCCAATGCTTTCTAACCATTTACTACTTTTAACATATTATGCCATTTCTTTAGCGTTAATATATTACACTTTTTTCTTACTCCCGTTCCAGATGTTTGTCATGTGCTTTGTTGTCAATTTTAGATTTTCATTTTCCTATTTTTGGGAATTATAAGCAGTCACTTATTAACCCAATTACTTTATGCTTCAATGGGCTTGTCATTGGGTAGCCATGTGAATTATTTCAATTTTTAGAGACACAGATCAACCTGCTACCCTATACCCACAACAGAAAACTGCCGACTTCCCCATTGTAGGAACTTACAATCAAACGGCATTTGAAACATGTGAGAACACTCCTATTATTAAAAAAAAAAATCACCCTCAACCTGGGTTATTTTCACTGACAGACTTCATGGTTAAAGCTTGCTATTTCATGAGCTCCCAGATGACGCAAATGCTGGGAAATGTAACATACTCACTGTGATTTGTTTTTAGACATCAAAAGAAATCCATTTTACAAAGGAATCATATAACTTTAGAGCTAAGAAAGATCTTAATAATCATCTGGTATAGATCTTTCCATTTATTTATGCCAGAACCTAAAATTAGAAAGGCCAGGTAATTTGCTCAGTGTTACATACCTTAGTATGGCAGAGCTGGAACTTGAACCTGAGTTCCCTAGCTTTCAATTCAGAGTTCTTAATAGGTTGCCACTCAAGTGCAGTCAGGTCTTTGATGCTATTTGTGAACACCAAATATGTCTCTGCTTCTTACAACTTAGAAATCTTACTCTGTTTTGCAATGCCCTGCCAAGTCATATTGGAGCCTGAGGCAAAATGAAAGACCAATGACACTGATCCTGTCTTTATTTAAAATTCTGATATTTTCTTCACTATGGATTTGTGGGATTAATTTTGATTTTTTAAAATATTGCATTAAATATTATATCTTGACTACTGAGTTTTTTAGTAGCTCCTAAAATTTTGCATTTGAAGTGGGTGCCTTGCTTGATTCACCCTAGTCCCAATCCTATTATTTTTGCTTTAATCTACTAAATCCCTTTTTCAGCCTTCTGGCAATAAAATAAAATCAACCTATGGAACCTTTATAAGCAAACCCATACTATTGGCCACTTACAAACAATGGTGGCAAACAAACCAGAATCTGCAAGTGCTTTTCATTGGCTTGATTGTTGGTAACATTGCATGGTAATTACATAGTCATTTTTGGCTCCATGAATTGAAACTCTCTTGGAATGTCTAGCAGTTTATTGAAAAGAGCTCAAAGCCAAGACGTGAGTTCTTTTGTTTGATCCTTCACAGTATTGTGTTTTAGGCTCTTATATCGTTGTGTTTGTTTTGATTTCTATAAATTGGGACTCAAGGGAAGGAAGCTCTTTATAGGCCTATTATTTTCATTTTACTTGGTCCTCTCAACACCTGTTTGAGATAGGCACTTTATAGGCTAAAACCAACTCACACTGACTTAAGTTAAAAGAGAATTCACTAGCTAACACAATTGAAAAATCTAAGGAGTAGATCTGACTTCAGGTATTACACATCATTTTGTCAGGGCTTTCTCTCTCGTGTTTTCTACTGGGTTGGCTTTATTATTATTCAGGTTTTTCCTGTGTAGTAGCACCAGGTGTATACTCTACTAGCTTAGCAACCTTAGTAGAAAGGGAATGAATCTTTCCTGATTGCTTGAGCCAGAGTCTCAGAATTGAGTATAATTGGCCCAGCATAGGTCACATGCACATCCCTGCACTAGGCATTAAGGCCTGGCGAATGCAATTAAATCACTGGCTGAACCTGGTTCATGTGTTCAACCCTGGGTCAGGGACTGGATTGAGAGTAGAAGAGATCTGTTTCCTCTAAAGGAAGAGACGACTTTTTAAGTCTTTTCCCCCCAAAAGGGATTCTGGACAGGGAAAGACAAATGTCAACTAAAATGTTACTATTCTCACTTCATTTATGAGGAAGTTGAGGATTAATTAAGTGAATTTTCACGAGGCTGCATAGCTAATGAGTGATAGGATCTTAACTTTGACCCAAATCTGCCTAAATCTAAAGCCCATCTCTTTTCTCCACACCTTGTATCCCTAGAACATCATGCTTCTTCCTCCTTCTCCTTAATGTGAAACCATGATGGTTGCCATCACTTTACAGCAGTATTCTTCAAAAAGGAGGGATTTTGCCCCCAGAGGAAATTTGGTAATTTCTGGAGACATTTTTTTATTGTCACAACTGTGCACAGAGGTGAGTGTGGTGCTACTGTATAGAGGCTAGGATGCCTATACCTCCTGTAGTGCACAGAACAATTCCTCACAACAAAGAATTACCCAGCCTAAAATGTCAGTAGTGGTAAGGTTAAGAAACCCTGCTTTTTAGGTTCAATTTCTCGGCTGTTACTATTAACATCAGTTTTGAGAGAAATAAGTAATAGAGAGCAGGATTGAAATAATTCATACATGTAGGTATAATTAAGTTGTCTCTTAATTCAGGGAAACTTCCTTTAATTTCCATAGAAGCTAACTTTAGAATATTGAATTATCTTGGTTAGTGAGTAAATTGCAATAGAACGTAAATTCCTTTTTAAAATATTTGTTTTATGCAAGTTTAAGCTAACTTCCCAGACATAATTTTTCATTCTAAAATAAGTCCTATAATTTTTTTCTTAAAATAGAAATCTAGGGATATTTTAAATTGAATACTGAATGCTTTTAAAGGAAATATATAAGTTTATCTCAAAAGCCTTTTAATATTTCATATAGAAGTTTCTATACCAGGGGAAATAATTATTTTTTAAAATCCGAGCTGCCGGGCGTAGTGGCTCACGCCAGTAATACTAGCACTTTGGGAGGCGGAGGCAGGCGAATCATGAGGTCAGGAGATCGAGACCATCCTAGCTAACACGGTGAAACCCCGTCTTGACTAAAAATACAAAAAATTAGCCGGGTGTGGTGGCGGGCGCCTGTAGTCCCAGCTACTCGGGAGGCTGAGGCAGGAGAATGGTGTGAACCCAGGAGGCAGAGGTTGCAGTGAGCCAAGATTGTGCCACTGCACTCCAGCCTGGATGACAGAGCGAGAATCCGTCTCAAAAAACAAAACAAAACAAAACAAACAAACAAACAAAACTGAGCCAAAGCATTTCTAAAACTTTGGATGATAATAAGGGATTTAATGTACTAAAAAGCATACAGAAATTTTCTTCCTGTAAGCATGTGCTTTGTGAAAGAATAATGAAAGCAGAAGAATGCGTTAAATGTATTATAGCTGCAGTTATTGGGTTTGACACTTCAGAGAAATCAACCTTCTTGTTAAATGACATGAAAATAGTTTATACTGTCTGACTCCTTGAGACTTGCAAGTCGTTTCTGAATTGTGCATATCTGAATGAATCCAGGGAAAGCTGTGCTTCTGTAGTCAAACCACAGATAATATTCTAGTAGAAGAGCTGAATGAGTAGAGTGATACTACAGATGGATTTCATATAAGAAATCTTTTACAATCCAGCAAGTCAAATTTATTGTTGGAGTCGGAAGATTTGAGGCTTAGCATTTTCTCGTTTTGCCAGTTTTATACAAATAATTCTTCTTGTTTTCCAAATTCTCATGACTGTATGCAGCATGGAATTACAAGTCCATTCCTTTCTCTGGTTCTTTTTAACCTTATCAGACCCAACCCAGATCAATGAACATTCCTCTGATTTCAACTGAATAATTCTGACTTGCTTTGATATCTCACATGGATGACTTTCTTCCCATCTCTCCTATCCCCCGATGGTCCTTCAGCTCATGCCTGTCGTGCCCATTTTTTTGGCCTCACTTCTTTACCTAATCTCAGGAATACTCATTGCTTTTTCTATTTCTTCTATTTTTCTTTGGCCTCTCTTTCCGCTCCCATATTAAATTTCCTCCTTGGCTATAACGCCTGCCTTCTTCTGTTTCCCAAGTCCTATTTACTGGCTCTGTATCCTTAGACTCACTTGTTTCTTAATTCATATCCTCATCTACTAAGGTGCCTAATGGCCACCCACCTAGCATATTTTAGTAAGGCATGTGTGTACAGACAGGTCACCTATTCATTGTTAATAGAATTCAATTTGCAGTTTCCCTGGAAATAAGGCAGTTTCTGATCTTCAAATCACCCAAGTTCTTACTCGTTAGAATGCAAGTTCCTTTGTCACATTAGGAAGGACAGTAATATTTATTTATGAAAAAGTTGAAAAAATACTGTAATAAATGGTGCTGGGTTAATTAATATATTATTAATATGGTCCTATTTTTCTTGAGAAGAAATGTTCTTGAAGATTTGAAATTTCTTATCTGTTTACAAACATTTTCCTGGTGCCATCAGCAGTTTATTCCTCTTTACTGCTTTGTGATAGGGCTTGGTATTCCCAATTTTACAGAGCAGAGATGACAGGTCACTTGACTAAACAAGTGACTTATTTAGAATTTCACAGGAAAGTAATTACAGAGCCCTTAAATTTCCTGTCTCTTACTTCTATGATATAAAACAATTTACTTTGCATTCCTTATTTATATAAATGCCTTAGAGCATTTCCTTTCCTTTAATAAAATCATGAAGACTATCACCTGGTAATGAAATTGTTAGGATGGAAGAGAAATGAACTAGGCACAGTGTACGTGAATTTGATTATTGCCTTTTCAACTGTCTAATAATGGGAGCTGTGGGCTCATAGGCTCTCCTTTTGAATTGTGAAAACTATACTTATTTTATACTACATTGGTGAAGTTCCCTGAAGTCCTTAAAAAACAAACAAGATTTAAAGTGCAAAATGTTATTGTTAAGTTAAAATGACCCTTGTGTGTTTGCAAAGCTCCGCGGGCTTTCTGGGGCTAGTGATCCCCTTGGTGAGCATTGTGGAGTGTGGTGGGAACCAGCCATGTTTTGGTGATTTCTTTTAGATTTCTAAAACTGTTTTTCTGTTGGGTTGAAGTGGGAAAACAGCTTTGGAACTGCTTTTGGTGTTGCTCTGAGTGTGTTTGGGAGTGCATTCCAATAGTTTGTGAGGGGATGTTAGCTGTTCAGGAAAAATAACCCTTACCAAAGGTAATGGTTCCCACTAGCATTTTCAGTAACATGTACCAGATGTGGGTAGTTAATTATTCTCAGATCTGATAAATACCTGCCAGCCAAGCCTAATTTTATTTTCAGTAAACAGTGGCCAAAGGTCCTAGCTGTTCATTTGATAGGATGGGCCTGTTTGCACTTATCTATTAATAAAAGCACAACACTCCTTTAGTTTTCCTTTCCCAGGGCCAGATAAAACATTTTAGACACTCACGTATTTGTCTTAGTAAATCAGACAAAGTAAACAAATCTGGTAGATTAACTTGGTAAATAGAGTGTGGTTAAGTGTTACCTTTGGAGTTGAACTCAGTGCCATATAAATAGCATTAATCGCATGGTATTTTCAATAATCTTTATGGAGTAAAACGGAGGGTTGTTTTTTTCTTTCAACCAACAGGGACTTAAGTATATTTCTTAAGTACTTTCAGATGTTCTTCTGTATGGAGATTTTAAAATCACTTTAAAATGAAATTTATTCTTTTGTCCCATTAGTAACTTGTTGGGAACTTTGTACTAGTTAACATTATGTTTAAAAACCTGGAAACCTCTATAGTTCATCTCAGAAGAAAAATAGGACTACATAGTGGCATGCAAGCTTTGCCAGACAGAGATAATGGCCATCTAGAGGTTACTGATTTGGGTGGAACAGTGAAAATGGGGCCGCTTTTATGGGGAAGACAGTGGCTGGTAGGCAGAAATTCACTTTATTCATATGCATTTTTTTTCCTCTTGGGTAAAGAGTTTTATTAGGGTCAGAAGTACTATTTATTTTTGTGAGGTAAATTCTTGTCTTGTGAGAACTGGCATGAAACAGACTCATTATTTCACACTAGCCAACAAAACAGTATTTTATCAAAGTAACTTCTAGTCAGTCCAAGACTGGACTGGATTTGTACTGGTAACCTGGTGGTGCAGGGCTCTAAGTCTCATGCCAGCTCTTGTCTCCCTCATTAAACTTCCTTTTTTAGTAATGATTAAAAACAACTCTCTTTACTACAATATATTTTCTCATTGGCTTTATACTCGAAGTTGCAAGTACTTTATAAAATTATTTTTAGTTTTGCATGCTGTATAATAATCCATCTAATTTGGTAAGCATAGTACATAAAAGAAATAGCTGAAAGGCTTTAGAGAAAGTTCCCTACTCATACCTCCCCCTTTACAATGATCTCGGCATTAATATCTTATGCTGTAAGAGGGTGGCCTGGCACAGTACCATGAATATTGTGCCCGATACCCAGTGGTAACCTACCAATGATTGTTATGAAAATGATGGTGATGATAGTATAGGGGAGAGAGTGTAAACCAAAAGTTGAGATCTGTATTCTGTTTTCAGCTTCATTTTAATGGCCTACTGGAAGACCAGGTACATTATTTCTGCTCTTTTTTTTTTTTTTTTTTAGTTTCTCCAGCTATACATGAAGAAAAAAGTCCTAGTCCACTAGCCAACCTGACAGGCATGTTGTGAAAACTAATGAAAGTATAAAGTTCTCATAGTCCGAAGCATAAAAGGTGCTGTAACCAATAGGTACAAAATACTAATTATTATTTTTACAGTTCAGCATAGTAAATCTTTGGAGTAAATTTTTTTCATTATATTTACTAGTCTTTCCTTTAAGAATTATTTGCCAAATTTAACTCTTTTTCTCTTTTAATTAGACCCAGAGTATAGTAAAAAAATTGATGGTTTGGCTTTCAGAAAGAGTTATTTTGTTATCTGTACCAAATTTTCAATTAAATATTTTTAGCTGTGAATCAAGTTTCATCTTCAAAAGTGTCTTCAATTTTAAATAATTTGAGAATACTTACCTGGTTAGTAGGCTAAACTAACGTAGTAGGGAAGAGAGTGTAAGAAAAGTGCTGTTGAATTCATCATTCCCATTAGCACCAGTCTGCGGATTCCCAAACATGTATTTCTAGGCTCAGATATTTTTCCTGATCCCCAGACTTATTAATCCAGGAACTAGTCAACTTCTTTACCTGGATGCCCTGTAATGATTTGTAGCACAACATACATAAAACTTAATATTCTGTTCCTGAATTTGCTCTCTCTGTGAATGGAATATCTATCCACCCCATCTCTCAAGCTGAAAAACCCTCACCCCATTTCCTCAACATCTGTAGATTTAACTGTCTTAATACTTTATGCCCCTTATCTCCATCCCACAATTACTACCTTAATTCGGCTTTTGCTCTTCTGTCACCGGGCAGCTGCAATTGTCTTCCTGCCACCAGTCTGGTCTCATTACAGTCTACTCTCGATACCATTTCCAGATTAACCTTTACAAAATGCAAATCATAGAATATTACTGTCTCATTTTAAAAATATTTAGTGGTTTCTTGTGTGCTATAAGACAAAGTTTACACTCTTTATATTGGTTATTGAAATCTTAATAATCTTTACCTTGTTTCTAGTCTTGAATCCTCTTATGACCTCTGTTCTAGTCACACTGAAAGTTTGTGGGTTCCAAAACATGCCATGTTGTTGGACATTCTACATTCTCTCCACCCACTTCTTTAATTGCCAACACTGTTTTATATTTTAAAACCTAATTCCAGTGTGAAGTCTTTTGTAACTCCCTCCTTGTATCCCATCATACCCTGTATATACTTCTTACATAGTTCCTATAAAACCTATAGCACGTATTTTGTGTATATCCTTCCCTTCCTGCTTTATTGTATGAGAGATTATGTCTTGTTTATTTTTGCCTTTCAACGTCCAGCTCAGTGGTTGGTACAGAGGTAGCACTTGGTAGATTGATTAGATAGTGGGTGGAGTAAAATTCTATGACCATATTTTCCTCCTCAAGTTCTACTCCCTTTTCAGTGTTGCATGGAAATGGCTTTTTAAAGTACTCAGATTAAGATTTGATGGGTAGACGAGGTCTTTACTTAATTGGTATGATTGATGGGACAACAGGAATACTCCTGTAACCACTATACCTACCCAAAGATTTCATAGACAGTCTGACATTTCCCCATGAAAAGTCATTTATTAGAGTTCTGATATTCTACTTATTATACTCCCTGCCCTCTTTAGCACTTTATAGGTACAAAGTCCTCCCATAAACATTATCTTATTTAATTTTTAAAACAAGCTTATGAGATGGATTTTATTGTATATACTTTAACTTTATCTCTAAAGCATATACAATATAATTTGCACCCTTAGGCAGATCTGTGAATTGCTTTGAAGAATAACTCGCTATTCTTTTTCGTGATTTGGACTACTCTGATAGTGACACTGTTTTGCTAAGCTGTGAGAGTTTGGAAGTGTCTCCCATAATTTTGACACTAGATTTTATTGGGTACAGCACAAATATCACTCCTTGGGGTGGGCCACATAGTCACGGACCCACAGATACTCAGATAGGAAGAGGCTCTAAAGGACATTTTCTCTTTATATATGGAATTGTATGAAATTTAATAGAAATGGATCTCTAGAATTTTACTCCTTTTAATCAGGACAGTAGTACAAAGCAAAACTTTTGTACACTGCCTAGCATGGTGCTCAGTTCTGCAAACGTCTTTTATGTCTTTGATAGTGATGGTGGTGATGATTTAGAAGCAGTTTTTGCCCATATACATATACCATGGTAAAGCAGTTTTCTCGTTTACCAACGATCTATGAGGAGCATTATTTTTATAGATCTTAGATATAAATTCTCTCCTTCAGACTGTTTGCCTGAACCTTAAAATGTAGCATGATTACACAAGCACTCTGGAATTTAGATTAAACAGCATTCAATTTGAAAATCTAATCATATCATCTAAATATCATTAAGTAATAATAGGCTGATTGATAGGGACCAAAGCTGTTTTGGCCTGGTGTTGCATGCCTTTCACTCAGCCAGCCTTTTCAAACCAAGATGTTGATAAAGAGGTCTATAAATCTTAATAGTTGGAGACAGTTTAAAAGCATAGTTCACTGGATAAGGTCACACCCACTTAAGTGACCTATTTTGTATACTTTTCAAAAATAGGTTAATTAACTTAATAGAAATAAGACTCTCATATTGATGTGCAATTACTACTAAAACAGCTTTGTTTTTTTTTCTTTCCAAGTGAACATGATGTTCATGAAATTGAGGGCATAATAGCCATGACAAGAACCAGGCTTAGCAAGGCAGGTCATGTTCAGCGAGTACATTTCAGACTTCCCCTTTAAAATCCTCTTTTATTCCAGGTCCTAGGACATAAGCATACACCTCCATCAGAGCAGTTTATTCCTGGCTCTCTCCTATTTCAGTTTTTAGGAGGGATTATTCTAGCTGTTGTTGTTTTCCTAATCACTATAACAGCACTTTATATAGTTTCTGATCCCTGAAGACTCCAGCTTGCATAGTAAGCTCAATGAATTTTGGTCTCTTTTTCTTTTAATCTGAGGCTTTCTTCATTTTTCTAACAGATGGATGATTCATTTGCTACCCTGGGAGAAGCATGGTTTCAGAGGAGGATACAGTATAAAAGGGCAAGGGAGTACCCAGACCAGAGTCATATTCTGGTTATATTCTCCTCATACAGCCTGCTTTCATTTGTTGTTGTCGTTTAGTGCCCATTTCAAATTTTCTGCTCCTAAAGCCTTTTATCTACTCTTAGTCTTCTTATTGATGATTATAACCTTCTTAGTCTATTATTGGTCACTAATTTTGCATAATTTGATTTTCCCATTCATCTGTTCCTTAACATATAACCCCTTAATGTTTTATATCGTAAGTTGAGTACATGGGCATTTATTATTCTTTGAACTTTTAAATATATTTTAAATAACATATACATTTAGAAAAGTTAACCTCCTCCCCCAGTCTGATATCTTGTATCACACATAACTCTCTGTGTAGATGTTGCTGAGTCCTGCTGGCTCGAATTTTCCTGTGGCCAGATGGTCTGAGAGGCAGTTAGTGATGCACATTCATGGAAGGGTGGGTTCTTGCAAGGTAGCCATGATGGGTATATTTGAATTGATGGATATATGTTGATCTGATGGGCGTATTTTGAATTAGAGGTTCTAATATATATAGCAGAGGTTCTAGATGACCTCTTTGTTCACCTTACAGTAGTGTCATTTCTCTGCTTGTTTGCACTGCACTTACAGCAAAGACTTTTCTAAATTAAACAAGTCTTGTTTATATGTTTTGTGTATGTGATCACAAAAAATAGCAAAGAATACTGTTCTATGGACTCTTAGCTGTGGTGGAAAGAACCATTGAAACTCTCTCAGCCTTTAGTTCTTCATTAGGAAGATGCCTTTCTTACTGAGGGTTGTAATGATTGTGAAGTCCAGTTTTCTGACTTCTCCATTAGGGAATAAGAGAACTCTTTGGTTTTAAATTGAAAGATGGAGTGATTCACTCTCCAGTGTAGGAGGGAACCTACTCTACTTGAATTTGCTATATTTCTTTATTTCCTAGGAAAATGTTGGTGGTTTTCCCTCCCAAGCATTCTCTCTAGAGTTTAGCAGCATCCTTTCCTTGAAAGCAAAGGCCTCATTTCCTATTTCTTTCATATCCTTTAATTTGCCTAGTACAGGGTCCATTTCATAGTAAGCACTCATTAAAAACATTTTAGTTAATTAACTACAAAATGTCTGGCTCAGGTTTAGGAGAGAATGAAAGATTGGGCAGGGGAAGTACTGGCACACAGGAGAATTAAAATCAGAGGATATCCTTTTTATTACTAATTCTTTTTCCAATAATAAAAGTACTCTATTTTCCTTATTTAAGAAAGCTATCATTTAAAAAATTAGTGTTCTAAAACCACACCCTGAAATGACTACTGTTAACATTTTGTCATATTTCTTACTAGTCTTATTTTATACACATTTAAAATTTTTACATAGTTTAGCTTATATTTTATGGTTTTTATATAGTATTTTTTACTTATTTTATCATCTCATCCTATTAAAAACTTTTTTGTCAAAGGAATTTTAATGGCAGCAGAATTGTTTATTTCACAACTGTAATATGAATTCTATAACCATTCTAGATGTTGGACATTTAGGCTGAATCTATTTTTTCATGATTATAATTAGCAAGTTGCCTTTTGGAAAGGCTATACAACTTTTTATTCTCATTTCTGAACATAAAATGTTGATGAAAAAAATGTATTGGGAATGATAACTTCACTGAGTTTTAGACCAGGGTTTCCAGAAGTAAAATGTTCCTGTCTTGGTTTTGGCCTTTGGGTAGAAAAAAGTAAGTTTTTACCAGGAGTCCCTGAAAGGGAAGGCCCTGCTGGCCAGGGGTTTCAGGCTCCTCCTCCATAACCCATCAAGTGGCCAAAGTCTTGATTTTCTGTGTAAACGGGTAGACAGGTTCTCAGCCTGATCGAGTCATGTATTTATAGAAGAGGTTCTCTTTTTCTTGAAGAATTTCTGACTTACTTGATCTGTCATCATTGTCTCATATTTGTAACTTTAGAGCCTGACAGAACAAAAAAGAAATAAGCCATTTCTGTAGCAGAATCTTATTTGGAGAAAAGGATTCAAGACTACAGCGTCCTATTTTTTTTTGTTTGTTTGTTTTTGTTTTGAGATGGAGTTTCACTCCTGTTGCCCAGTCTGGAGTGCAATGGCAGCAATCTCAGCTCACTGCAACCTCTGCCTCCCGGGTTCAAGTGATTCTCCTGCCTCAGCCTCCCAAGTAGCTGGGATTACAGGCGCCCACCACCACACCCAGCTAATTTTTTGTATTTTTAGTAGAGACAGTGTTTCACCATGTTGGCCCGGCTCGTCTCAAACTCCTGACCTCAGGTGATCCACCCACCTCGGCCTCCCAAAGTGCTGGGATTACAGGCATAAGAACCGCACCCAGCCTACAGTGTCTTTTACTAGGAATTGTAATTTTATTAGTTTCTAAAGAAAATATTAAATGCAGTGTTTTGTAGGCAGTGATTACCTTTCATCTTGTTTGTCATATTTCTCATTCTTTTTTTGTGTGTGTGACGGAGTCTCGCTCTGTCGCCCAGGCTGGAGTGCAATGGGGCGATCTCGGTTCACTTTAACCTCTGCCTCCGGGGTTCAAGAGATTCTCCTGCCTCAGCCTCCCAAGTAACTGGGATTGCAGATGCCCACCACCAAGCCCTGCTAATTTTTGTATTTTTAGTAGATACAAGGTTTCACCATGTTGGCCAGCCTGGTTTCGAACTCCTGACCTCAAGTGATCCACCCACCTCAGCCTCCCAAAGTGCTGGGATTACAGGTGTGAGCCACCACACCCAGCCATATTTCTCATTCTTATTTTAGGCTGATGAAAATACTAAATATTTCAACACCTCTGTATCATAGCCATGTTTAAATGTGCATATCCACCAGTCAATTTTAATACATTCCTTTCTAGTAAATTCTGTTAGGTCTTCAGTTCAACTGTACCTCCCTCAGTGTCACTTTTTACCTTCCCTCCTCCCTTAAATCGCCTAGTTCTCATTTTGAAAAGGTAGAGAAATCCTTTGTCAGTAGTTAGGAGGTTGTAGATCCTGTATGATTTTCTGTCATTACATTCTTAATCTATTACATGTGTATTTGTCCCGTCCTTACTGACTTAACCTCTGACCACATTGCAAAATGTAAACAGAGCCAGATACCGACAGGTTTGTCCCTTCATTAGCCAGGGCCCAATTCATAATTTCTATTTTCTAATTTGGAGAATAAGAAGGTTAGCTAGATTAAGAGGCTTTCCTAAGTCACATAACCGTTTGCAAGTAGCTAAGAACAGGATTGTGAACTCTTGCCAAACTCCTCCATAAAATTCCATAAGCTTGTGGGAGCTCATTTATACAATATTTAAGAGGTTATATAGGCAAGGAGAATAATTGAATTTCTATATATTTAGATTGACTGATATTTCCCAAACTTCAAGTGGAAAAAAAAAGCCCTTAAAGAAAGAGCTTAAGAGAATTAAAATGATGTGACCCGAACCATGGTTCCTTTCTCATTCAATTATTTTCTTTTAACCACTGATGGCTTTTTGTGCTTGGCTGGGTAACTTTCTAGCTAGTCAAGCCTATGTTATGAAAGAGAAATAAGACACTTAATCCTGTGAATGATTAACTAGTATTGGCCTCCCTTCCCAGTAGTTTGCCCTTCCTGTATTGTAGTCTGTGTACTCATTTCTGAGCCAAATCTCCAAGGTCTCTTATTATTGAGTGTAGGGACACCTGGATTACAGGGAGTTAGGCCTTTGTTTTAGTCTGAAGATGATGTGGCTAATTATACAGCTCCAGGCATTTGCATTTTTTCAAGGCATTTTAAAGTTTATTGCTTGTGAAAACCTAGTTTGTAAAGTATCATTTTTAAATTTTACAGGTGAAGAAGTAGAACTCAGAGAAGTTTTACTTGCCAAAAGTTCTGCAGCAAGTCAGTGGCAAATTCAAATAAGTGTACACTCATGTATACTTAGCTCAGTGTTTAACTCATGGAGGTATTGTTTTGTTTCTTATTTATAATATAAAGCCAAGTAGGGCTGGCTAGAGCCATTTGTAGTTAATACATTTTGGTCTTTGATCTTTTTCCACATAAGGTCAGACTTCAAGATAGAAAAATATTCTTTATATTCTTTGCAAAGAGCTGATTGCCATCTTTCTATACTGCCTGTGGGAACACTCTGGCCTTAGAATCCAAGATTTTATTATCCAAGACAGCAGCCAGTAAGTACAGTGAGACCTAAGTGGGGAATTAACTTTTGGGCTGTAGATTTTGAATGAGAAGTCCTACTCAGGATCTGAGAGGTGACAAGAACGAGTGACTATTCATTGATTTGGATTCCTGGGTCTTGGCACCTTCTGTGGGATAAGAATCACATGCAATATGAGTAATTTTGTGGAAAGGTCTTGGTCCTGGTTCATAGACTGTCTCAGTTCCTCAGTAGAGAGAACTTAGAGGAGAAATGACTCCCTTGTTGTCATATTGAAGCAGCAGCAGACTATTAGGGAGTACCCATGTTCCTGGCTTCTTTCCTTGGGCTGGAACCATTCAACTGCACAGATAAATGTTTACTCAAGGAAGAATGCATAGCTTTGAAACAGTCTTAAGATGAGTAAAAGTCTTAAGATCAGTAAAATATACAAACTACTCCTATGTAGGTCATTATATTAACATCTGTGGCCACATATTGGTCCATGAAAGGGATACTTCTAGCCACTGAAATCTTAACCACTAGAAACTTACTCTGCAGGGCATCTTTGTAATTATGGCACTGAGTAGCCCAAGTCTTAGATTATTTCATTGTGATGTTTCCAGTGTACCATCAACTGTATAGGTGATTAGCATTTGCCTATTAATTCCTTCTTCCTCTCTTATCTTCTTAATGACTCTTATACATTTTGTTATCTTTTCTTACTCTCCATGTAGTAGTTCTTACTCTGCATGTTCAGACTCTAGTGGAGGTGCTAGGAAGTTCCACTTTCTGGTAGATTATTTAGAGTACAGGATAGTCAAGGGAATAAGGATGGTGCTAAGGCAGGCTGTGGTGGTTTAAGCCTATAGTGCCAGCTACTCAGGTGGGAGGATCCCTGGAGCCCAGGAGTTCCAGGGTGTAGTGGAGCTATGATTGTATCACTGCACTCTAGCTTGGGCAAAAAAAGTGAGACCCTGTCTCCAAAAAAAAAAGAAAAAAAAAGTGGTTATAAGAACCATAGGAAAGAGAACAACATCATTTTGACTAAGACAAAGGCATAACCTTGACAGATCTCAGTGTCTCCAGGCTAAGAGAAGAGCAACTTAGATATAGTACCTTGAGCCTTTCAATGATTGCTGTTTAAAAAGTATATGACTGTAGGATAGGATACATTGGAAATACTGAACAATGCTGGAGGAAAGCCAACAGCATGTGGATAAGACCATCCAATGGGGCCAAGATGAGGGGGCACTGGATTGGATCAACGTTAATGACTAAAATTCTCTGCTTCTAATATACACATGACTAACTCCCTTACTCACTTCAAGCCTTTGCTGAAATGTTATCTTCTCAACGGGTCTGCAAACCTATTCTGACCTACCTATTTAAACTTGGAATTAATTGAATGAATTAATGGAAGCCTCATGTTGATTAATCCTCTTTTCAAGGACTGAACTGCATTACATAAGAAAATTTAATTCTATTAATGGTGAGCTCAGTGGCACAATCCACATCTAAGTTTTTAGCTTTATCCTCCTTGCAAATAATGATATTAAGTTAGTGTAAATATTAATAATATTTGCCCATGAGAAAGGAACAGAATGTTCTCTACCTTTCTCCAGCCATACTTTGAATCCTGGGGAATCAGCATTTCCCAGAAAGATCAAACTATCAATGACATAAAGCAACAGATTGATTCCATTGATGATCTTTTTATAATACTGACGTACCACATTCTTCCCCATGGCTTTTGCATTTCTATCTTTCCATCTGAGACTTACAACTTCAAACTCCATTTTCCATGCTTTTGCTGGCATGAAGAAGGAAAAAAGAAATCATGGTGCATTTACTGGCCTTAAAGAAAGTTGGTATGTTTATAAAAGAAATAAAGCATACTGAAGAGGAACAGTATTTGAGTTTCATCAGTTAAGCAGAGCAATTTAAGTACTGAATGCTTCATACTGACCATTTCCATTTTATTCATTGTAGGCAGGTTTATAAAGATGGCTAGGTGCACTTGTCCATGGTTCTCCCACCCGTGTTTGGGATGTGCTACCTCACAAGCATAGCTGGCTGGGGATAGTCTTTAGGTGGAAAATAGCTACGAAATACCTATTTTTGGTTGTATTAAATGAGCTATGGCTGACATATTCTGTGATTCATTTCTTTCTAAATGAGTGCTGGGGCATGATACTAAGTGTGCCCATGTCTCACTGGTCTTGGGTTCTTTTATGGTTCCCCAGCCAAATTCAAGTTGAATTATGGTGTCCGTTTAACTTACAGGTGTCTGAGATAAGTTGTCAGTTAACATTTATACATGAGATCACCATCTCCTAGTAAGTACAGAGTACTGGTAGAAAATGTGTGGCTCAGTCTGACTTGGGTTCAAATCACTCTACCGCCTTTTATTACATGAATTCCATCAAGTGAACCTCTCTCAGCCTCCATTTCCTCATCAGTAAAGTCTGACAGTTCCAAGCCAATGGCTTAATGATTTCTCTACTATATATGCACTTCCTAGAATAGTTGCATTCAAATTTGCAATATCTTTCATCAAGATGTTGCCTCTCTTTCCTTCTTTTTCTCTTCCATCACAGTAAGTGATAGAAACCTGCTTGCTGCACTCATAAATAAATGGCCAGACATGTGCTATAATAGGCAGGATCCTCCTGCTGAGCCTGGACTCCATTTGGATGCTGTGTTCGTTAGTTGGAGTCTCAGAGTATGTGCCAACTCACCAATCTAGCTAATCCTTAAATATCCCTAGGAGATGATGAGGAGGCAGATTTTATCTCTTAGGCATGCATCTTGGAAAACATACCAAGTAACACGTATCTATTTTTCTGGGGCTTTGTATGGATGGGTGGCAAGTGAGGCACAGAGAGGTTAAGAAACTTATCCAAGATTCACAATAGTAAATAGTAGAACTGGGATTCAAACCCAGGTCCAACTAATTCCAAAACCTGTACTCTTAATCAGTATGCTGTTCTCAAAGACTTAGCTCTTAAATCCTTAGTCATTTCTCAAAATAAGATAATACATTCTAGTGCTGAAATAGTGGATCAGAAAATTTAGAGTTTACTCTCAGCTTTACCAGCGACTTCACCTCAGGCAACTCAATCATCATTAGATGATTTCTCTATGAGGAAATGAGGATCATGATGTCTGTCACTCAGGGATAGAATGAGCATTAAAAACTAAAACAATAGCCTCTGTAAAAGCCCTTTGGTCTCCAGAGTTGATGAACATTGCATTAATCTACAGCATTAATATTTTATATTGAAGACTTCTGAGCAGGTCATTTTGAACACAAAAAAGGGTAAACTTTGGATCATGTATTCCCTGGTTCTAGAAATTAAAGGTAACCAACCTTGAAATAAATAGTTATAGCAGTGCCAAAAGAGGATACGATTATGGAACAATATCACCCAGGTATCTTACACAGAAGGCTTCTGGATTGTTTCAGTTAGCAGCAAGAGTATGTATTTCATGGGCCTGGGGCATATTAATCAACTGCACTATGCCAAGATGGAGTTCTGTTTTTTACTAGAGATCTGCTCTAAATCACTCTGTTCATAATATTGTCATCAAATTTGCCATCCACAATTGAGGCATGTCACAAAATGAGCAAAGGAGTCCTTTTCTCTAGAGTGTAACTGCCAGAATGGGCCAAGAAAGGTAATGTTGGACTAAGACTTGTTTCTGAGAAAAGTTTTTCTTCCAGATTCAAGACTGACACTGAGTGTACAATGCCACATTGACTTCCAATGGCAAACAGCACATAATTCTGTACACAAACACTTAGTGATGTTTTCCTCTAAAACTTTTAAAAGCACCATCTTTTTCTGGGTGCCAGAAAGGCACTCAGCCCAACAGTATAAGCCTATGACTGCTCAAGCACATGTGTGTGCATGCACTTGGGTGTGCATGCATGTGTGTATGTTTACACAGGTAGGCACCTAGGTGTTTTGTTCTCCATTTTTAGAATGATCTTTGTTGCTGGCCAGTACCAGAGTGATCTAATTATACATGCTTTACTGATTTCCATCTACCAAAATTCATGTTTCAAGTTTAACTAGATATCCTTAGTGGATGTTTCCTTAAAAACATGCGATCACATGTGCTTATCTTTTCTCTCACTAGGCTGGAGCTTAAGTCCACTTATGAGGAGAAAATATATAAAAGCAACTCTAAATTGGTGAGGGCGATGGAGGGGGCCAGTGGGGAATGAGAGAAAGGGAAAAATGAAAATAAGAAGCAATTAAGTTTTTTTTTTTTAAATTAGCCTAAGCTCCTGGAAACAGATATAAATAAATTTGAGAAAGCCTTCCAAAAGTCAGAAGAATTTAACTCTCCAGCCGAGATGTTCAAGCTTTCTGGCATTTGACTAACGTTTTATGCTCTCTTGTCTATTGATCATTGAGCCACTGTTGAGATGACCAGATGACCAGGTGCTAAGCATACTTTAAAGAAAGTTACCTTGCCTGAAGACATTTTCCTACTCAGATATCTTTAACAGCTCAATGCACATGACCTTGGCATTGCTTCAAAGGTGGCAGCTCATCCAAGTAGGCAGAATACCTGGTCTCTCAGCACTGCTTTTATAATGCCCTTTTTCTAACGTTGAGCTGGTGACCATGCTGCCCTCTTCATTTTGCAGTAATCAGGGTTGTCTTCTTTTTTCATATCCCTTTCCTGCCTGAGGCTGCTTCAACAAACAGCAAGTATAAACTGAAACCCTATCTCTTTGCGGATCAAACACACAGCTTGAATACATTGATAAGTAACTTTAAAAAAAAATTGTTTAGCCTGTGGACCTATTTATCAGAATGCTATATAAAATTATTGTTTTCCAGTGACCCAATTAGTTGAAATATTCTTTCTGAAGCTATAGGAAAAAGACTTAATATTGTTTGATATGATTTTATCATTTGTTTAGTTATGTATCACTTCCCACTTTACAGTGTGTTATGCATACTTTCTTTTTTTCTGTCATCCTTCCCCCATGTCTCTACTCTTCAGTCTCATGCATAAAGAAACAGGGTTCCCTACTTGACAGTAACCACATGAGGAGTTGACATTGGCAACTGGTTTAAGACTTCGATCATAAGTCATCTAAGTAATTGGGCTATGCGTATCCTGTTGAATCACATTCCTTCTCAAATCCTTCTTTGTTAAAAGTTTGAAGCCCAGGCCTTTCAATTTTCTCTTATCCCTTTAAGTCCACAAAGGAATTTTTAGGCTGTTTCTGGAGGGTTATAACTTCTCCCCAGTGCTGTCCAATAGCTGGCATATTGGAAATTGGCAGAATGTGGGTGCAAGAGAGAAGGGAGTTCTCAGTAAAGCACCATTAGAATTCTCCCACAGTTTGACACATTCATTTCATTGCCCCTGTTTTGTGTGGCTAGCAACTGATGTTGTTTGGCTGTGACATGCGTAAACAGATGTTGTAAAAAACCTGAAAAACAAAAAATCATCTTTCCCTACTTTTTCAGGCATACTGAAGACAGAATCCTTTTTTGGTTATCTTGAAGAGTCTGAAATAGGAAACACTTTGAAGTGTAGATAAAATTTCTGCTCTGGTCACAATGGATGCCAAGTGTTATAAAATGATTGTGGGAGTGTGTTTCTATATTGGCATTTTGATATAGAGGCAGGTAAGAGCAATGCCACCTTCCTGCAGAGTACTCTAAAACCCTTTCTTCCTTCATTAATAGTTTTCCTTTGAAGATAAAGGAACTGCTTTCATTATGTGTGAAGCATTCCTTTTACAGTTAAATTACTGTTTATTGGTGAGTGGTTTCCTTGCTGCGCTAGTATGCGGCAGATGTTTCTCATGTATCCCTAGGTTTTCAGGCTTTTTCTTTTCAGGATGAGGCTCTGTTGTCTTTTCTTTTTTTCTTTCTTGGCAAGAATCTGATTGGGATAAAACACATTTTATGCAGCAAATTAAAAATACGTATTTAAATTTACCTTTTATTTTTTACCTAAAAAGTTCGCAAACTACTTGTAGCTATTATTACTCTGAGGTCATTCCTCTGATACAAATGTATTTGTTGTTTTATTTCGGAGCTACAGATAGAAAATCTAAATACAGAATATTAAAAGTATGTAGTGTAACATGACTTGTACTTAGTAGGTACTCCGTAAATGTTTGGAACTTATGAATTGAAGGTTTCTTTCTGATCTTAGTCTAGAACAGTGCTTCACAGCCTTTCTTATGTCATAATACACATAGAAATTGATAATATTTATATGTCATATGGAATTTTTTTCAAAGAACATCTCTAGTAATAACATAATACAGAGAGGGATACAAGTTGAAAAATGCTCTTCTATGTTGTTATTGTAACTTTTAGGAGTAAGACTACCATAGAAAGCATGCATTAGAATGCTAGGCTATGACATGGGTAAACAGATGTTACATCTTTCAGGGCATCACACCATAGGAGTGGTATGCCTTACATCACATGGGAGATGTGAATGGCTTATAAGGAGTCCCAAACACTAGGACACCAGCCAGTTGAGGTCTGACTTCAAGACAGTTGGGTCTTGCACAGATGGTAGAAACAGATGGTAGAATGTATATTTGTGTATGGGGGGAGAGGGTGCCCTGTATTCCACCCTTTATTCCCCCCTTGCATTCTGAGACTAGAGCTTGGCCTATGGCACCGACAATTCCTCAGTCCTGAATAACATGTATAGGCTACAGCATTGCCTAGTTCCATAAGTCACCCTAATGGTTAAAGTTTTGCCACCTGTCACCTTAAAATACCCCAACTTTGAATGGATTCTGAACCATAGCCTACGTGTTTAGAATGTCTAGTTTGATGGAGCACAGATGGTTTGGGGAGCGCTAACATTCATCTTTACTTTGCCTTCATCTATTATTTTGCCCAAACGTGTTTATCCTACAGCCTGCTTACTAATGGCTCAGTTTGTTCTAGCTAGTTGTGGTTTGGGAGTAGGAGGCCACTCTGCCCACTGTTAGATGAGGGGATTGTAAATGTTAGAGAGGGCCGGGGTAGAGGAGTACTCTTTTTAAGAAAAGTAGTTGACTTTGATAATGAAAAAGTATCATCATGATTATCGTCATGCTGTTGAGTGCTTTACTACATTTCAGGCACGATAAGGTTATATATTTAATACTTACAACTTTATGAGCAGCTGTCGTCATTATCGCCACTTTACAAATATGGAAACCCAGGCAAAAAGAGGCTAAGTAACTTTGCCAAGGTCTCACAGGTAGCAAATTGCAGAGCCAGAATGCAAAACTACTGCCTTATGATCTGCTTCTCTAAGTAGCTGGGAATGGAGAAAGACGGCGAGCAGATGTATAGAATGCACTGATTAGGGTGACTGGGTGAGCTCTGTGCTGAGTTATACTTCAAGATGTACAGGACAGAGTTAGGGAAATGTGAGACCAAGGGCTTTTCTGGGCAGGAACAACCATACTGGCTGCTGTGGCAAGGTTAGAGCCTGCCAGGTAACTACAGTGAGACTTCCTTTTCATACAGATTGGGGGAACTGGCAAGACAAGTTATCATCACCTCCACATAGCAGGTGAGGGAAGGGAAGCAACAGCAGAGGCATTGGTGTTTTGTATTTAGAAGGGCACATAGCCTAATGCTAAAACTCACCCATTAGTTACATCAATGTTTGGATGCTCTTTGAAAGACTTCTCAGGAGAGGTGTGAGAATGATTTGATTTGAAGGTGGGTTTTAGTCTTGACCGTGTGCCACAGCAAACAAAATGAAACTCCCCTTGAGATAAAGGTAATCAAGATGAAGGTGTATTTACAAAGATGAGCAGTGGGATTTATCCAGTGACTCTGGAAGGTAATCCCCAGATTTAGTGCTCCATGAATACCTTGCCATGTTCCTAAGCTGGTAAATTACTCTGAGTTTTATGAGAGCGGATTGTGGGAAGCATCTAGATGAAATTCAGCCTGTTTCACCTCGAGTCCAGGGCTCACTAATGCACCCCAGGTGTGCAGACTGCCCAGGCTTTCTGCCTTGGAAGCCTCAAGGAACTTTCATCCCAAAGGGAAGCTTTGAAGAATACCAAGGACCTTTCTATCTGTCCTTGATTTTTTGTCATTTTTCTGCCCACATTTGGTAATTGGAGATATTTGTGGTGTTAAAGCCGGACTTGTTCCTTCTCAGCCTGCCCCCTCCAGTAGTGAAATTTTAAGCCTGTGGCTTTGATTATGCAAAGCAGTGATTTCTCTGCAGTGTCCCTCAGATGTAAAAGGAGAATGACTGAAATACTAGAAAGGAAGTTACGGGAAATCACCAAACAACCATTTTCCATGTCTACAGATCCTTTCATCTGAGGGCAAAAGAAGCTGGAGAGGGTGCCTCCAAAGGTGGGGGTTTGGAGGAGCACAATTTAAAATTCTCTGGGTTGTAGGCTAAGGATCAAAGGGTTATGTCCTCAGAATTACACGGTGAGTCACTGGAAAAACTCTGAGTAAAAGTCAGGCATCCTGTTTTCCAATCTTATATGCCTAATAATTTCAACTGGCTTTAAGACAGTACATTTATGTATATTTTTCATTTAGATCCATTGCCACCTAAAGAATATAATGATGTATGCATTATATAGATTATGGTTTCCATGCCCTAGAGCATCATGAGGTGTTTTGCCATGAGAATACAGTGGGTTAGGTGAAGAGGTGCTTGAGAAGCCTTGGTGTCTAATGTGTGGTCTCAGTACTCTGTGGAATCTCCTCCTCCCTTACAAACCACTGCCTCTATTCAAGCCATCTTGTGCTTCAATTTAGAAGTTCTCCTTTAAGAGAGAGTTTTCCAAAGCTAAATTAACAGCTATGCAGTGTACTGAGTAACTCTGTGATTTACTTTTTCCAATTTTGACTGCTGTAAGCATTTCAGTTTGTTTCCCACTAGTTTGGATCAACATGTTGGTTTTAACTTTATCTCCAAATGTAATGATTTTACATATTATAGACAAATGTGTTTGCACAGTTAAGGGCAGCAGGATTTGCTTGAACAGAGAATATGTGAGTTCTGTAACTTTTAATATTCAATTCAATTTAAATTCTTTTTCATATGTCCTTTTTATATATTCCAGTTTCTGATTATGGGTAACCTGACTTGAAGGTCAGACCATCTGAAGTGAAGATGGTTAAATTGTATGTGTTTGCACATGCATACACGTGTGTGTGTGTGTGCATGCATCCACATACACATGGGTGTTCATGTGGTAAAGGAGAGCCAGAGAGATGTTTAATTTCCTCACCACATTGTAGAAACTGAAAGAGACATGTACTGCAGAAACAAATTCTGAGATACGTTTGCTAACCACTTTTTTAGGTTTCACCTTCCGGGGAAAATGTTAAGGCATTTGCAAACATGCCTAGTTTCTTAGCGATTTAAGGCGCATAGACTCTCTGTGACTACACCTAGAGAGGTAAGACATGGAAAAGAACATAAGCTTTGAGCCACCTAGATTAGGGGCTTAATCTGGCCACACCACTTTTTAGATGTATAACTTCAGGTTGATTACTGGACCTGTATTCCTTTTCTTTCCTTGGTTGACACTTGTTCCAACTTATGATGTTGGTTTATGATTTTGATTTTAGTTTGGTTAACTTCTTATTTGGGGGATTTTGACTGACTTAATTTGTTCTCATCTTGTGTTAGGGTTCTCTAGAGGGGTAGAACTAACAGGATAGATGAATATATGAAGGGAAATTTATTAAGTAGTATTGACTCACACGATCACAAGGTGAGGTCCCACAATAGGCTCTCTGCAAGCTGAGGAGCAAGGAAGCCAGTCCAAGTCCCAAGACCTCAAAAGTAGGGAAACCAACAGTGCAGCTTTCAGTCTGTGTCCAAAGGCCCAAGAGCCCCTGGCAAATCACTGGTGTAAGTCAAGAGTCTAAAAGCTAAGGAATTTGGAGTCTGATGTTCAAGCGCAGGAAGCATCCAGCACAGGAGAAAGATGAAGACTCAGCAAGTCAAGTCCAACTTCTGCCTGCTTCTTTCTAGCCACACTGGCAGCTGATTAGATGGTGCCCACCAAGATTGAGGGTGGGTCTGCTTCTCCAAGTCCACTGACTCAAATGTTTAACTTTTTGGCAACACCCTCACAGACACACCCAGGAATAATACTTTGCATCCTTCAGTCCAATCAGGTTGACACTCAGTATTATAACCGTCACACATCTGTTATCCTATTGATCCTGATTCTTGACCTCTAGCCGCAGTTCCATTCAGAGAAGATTAGAATTGTTTCAGAGTTGGGCTAGGCACGATGGTTCACACCTGTAATCCCAGCACGTTGAAAGCCCAAGGTGGGAGGATTGCTTGAGCTCAGGAGTTTGAGACCAGCCTGCGCAATATAGTGAGACCCCATCGCTACAAAAAATTTTTTAAATTACCTGGGTAAGGCCGGGCGTAGTGGCTCACGCCTGTAATCCCAGCACTTTGGGAGGCCGAGGCAAGCTGATCACGAGGTCAGGAGATTGAGACCATCCTGGCTAACATGGTGAAACCCCGTCTCTATTAAAATACAAAAAATTAGGCGGGCGTGGTGGCGGGCACCTGTAGTCCCAGCTACTCGGGGGGGGTGAGGCAGGAGAATGGCATGAACCTGGGAGACAGAGCTTGCAGTGAGCGGAGATCACGCCACTGCACTCCAGCCTGGGCGACAGAGGGAGACTCCATCTCAAAAAAAAAAAAAAAAAAAATTACCCGGGTATGGTGGCATGCACCTGTACTTGGATGTCCCAGTGGCATGCTCCCAGCTACTTGGGAGGCTGATGTGGGAGGATCACTTGAACCCAAGAGTGCAAGGTTATAGTGAGATTTTTTAAAAAAAGTTATTTTTTGAGACAGGATCTCACTGTCTCATCCAGGCTGGAGTGCAGTGGTGCAATCACAGCTCACTACAACCTCTGCCTCCTGGGCTCAAGCAATCCTTCCATCTCAGCCTCCTGAGTAGCTGGGACTACAGGTGCATACCACCATGCCTGGCTAATATTTTGTATTCTTTTTTCTTTTGTAGAGACAGGGTTTCGCCATGTTACCCAGGCTGGTCTTAAACTCCTAAACTCAAACAATCCACCTGCCTCATCTTCCCAAAGTGCTGGGATTACAGGCGTGAGCCACTGTGCCTTACTGCTTAGAGTGAGTTTGCTACTGCACCACTCCAGCCAGCCAGGGTGATAGAGCAAGGCCCTGTCTAAAAAAAAAAAAAAACCAAAAAAAAAAACAGGAAGAAGAAGAAGGAGAACAATTGTTTCAGAGTTAAAAAGAATCTTAAAAATCATTGTGCTTGACAACAATTTTTATGCTGCAGGTGCTTCTCTCCAAAGACCATTGGTAAGTTTACCTGTAAATGGAAACAAAATATGAACAATCCCCAAATCTGTGTTTCTGAAGATTTATTCTTTCTAATGCTTGAGCATTTTGAAAGAGAGACAGATTAATAAGAAGGAAGAGGCTTCCTAGTATGAGGGAAAGTGTTCATGAGTTTTAGTCCTAGCTTTGACTCTCATTACACATGTGAAAATTTTCTCATCTTTAAACAGGCTTAAATACAAAGAATAACTGAAAAATATTGGAAACCTAAGTGGTTATAATGTTGTATCTAGCAGTGGGACTAGGAGTGATTCTTTGTTTGGTTTGGTTCTGTTTTTATTTCCAAATTTTATGCACTGGGAGTGTACTCCTTTTGTATTTACTACTTCACCCCCACCAGCCAAAATGTCTTAAAATGTAAAATCATGAAAAATAAAAGGATAGGGATGATTTTCAGCCCCACTACCTCATAGGGTTTCTATGAAAATCAGATGAAACAATGTAAGACTGCGCATTGAAAAATAAATAATAACTACATAATAAAGTATTGCCAACATGTTAGATTTAGCCTTAAAGAAATTCAGTTTCTGTATAGGGCAAGTGGAGTGGCATGCAAATTCTTGAATCTCTTGAATTCATCATTTCAGTTTGCTATTCCTGCAAGAGGAAGGAATTCCATAGATCCAAAATGCATATCTATTTGTCGCAAAGACAATAACTAAAGATTATTTGCTGCTACTACAGACTGATAGCAAATTTATCAGCATTAAAATAATTATTTTAAAGGCTACAGGAAAAACATGATCATGGCAAGGAATTATATCATGTTCTTGAGTAGATTAGGGAGAAAGAATAGAATTCAGGCAGACGAGGCTTGCCTATGGTCCCCAACCTTTTTTTGACACCAGGGACCAGTTTTGTGGAAGACAATTTTTCCGTGGATGGGGGCGGGGGTGGTGGTTTCAGGATGAAACTGTTCCACTTCAGATCATCAGGCATTAAATTCTCATAAAGAGCACACAACCTAGATCCCTCAAATGTGCAGTTCACAATAGGATTCGTGTTCCTAAGAGAATCTAACTCTGCCACTGATCTGACAGGAGGTGAAGTTCACCTCCTGTTGTGTGGCCCAGTTCCTAACAGGCCACAGACCAGTGTTGGTCCATGGCCTGGGGGTACCCCTGCACAAATCTAAAAACTCTCCCTTTGAGGCATCACATTACCCAACTGGAAACTATAGTATAAGGCTGCAGTAAGCAAAACAGCATGGTACTGGTACAGAAGCAAACACATTAACCAGTGGAACAGAATAGAGAACCCTGAAATAAAGCCACACACCTACAGATGTCTAATCTTCAACAAAGCTGACAAAAATAAGCAATGGGGAAAGGACTCACTGGTCAATAAATACTGCTGGGGTTGTTGGCTAGCCATATGCAGAAGAATGAAACCAGACCCCTACCTTTCACCATATGCAAAAATTGACTCAAGATGGATTAAAGATTTAAATGTAAGACCTTGAAATATAAGAATCCTAGAAGAAAACCTAGGAAATACCATTTTGTACATGGGCTTTGGTAAAGAATTTATGACTAAGTCCTCAAAGCAATTGGAACAAAAACAAAAATTGACAGATGGGACCTAATTAAACTAAAAAGCTTCTGCACAGCAAAAGAAACTATCAACAGAGTAAACAGACAACCTACAGATAGGGAGAAAATATTCACAAACTATGCATCTGACAAAGGTGTAATATCCAAATTCTGTTAGGAACTTATTGAACAGTTGAACAGCAAAACCCAAATAACACTATTAAAAGATGGGCAAAAGACATGAGAAGACACTTCTCAAAAGAAGACATACAAGCAACCAACAAACATATGAAAAAATACTTATTATCACTAATCATCAGAGAAATGCAAATCAAAACCACAATGAGATACCATCTTACACCAGTCAGAATGGCTGCTATTAAAAAGCCAAAAAACAACATGTTGGCAAGACTGCAGAGAAAAGGAATGCATGTACACTGTTGGTGGGAATGTAAATTATTTCAGCCACTGTGGAAAGCAGTTTGGAGATTTCTCAAAGAACCTAAAACAGAATTATCATTTGACCCAGCAATTCCATTACTGGGTATATATCCAATAGAAAACAAATTTTTCTACGAAAAAGACACATACATATACTCACATGTTCATCGCAGCACTATTCACGATAGCAAAGACATGGAATCAGCCTAGGTGCCCATCTGATAAAGAAAATATGGTACATATAGACCATGGAATACTATGCAGCCATAAAAAGAATGAAGTCATGTCCTTTGCAGCAACATGGATGCAGCTGGAGGCCATTATCCTAAGTGAATTAAGGCAGGAACACGAAACCAAATACCGCACATTCTCACTTATAAGTGGAAGCTAAACATTAAGTACTCAAGAACATAAAGATGGCAACAGTCAACACTGGGAACTACTAGAGAAGGGAGGGAGGAATTGGGGAGAAGGGTTGAAAAACTAACTGTTGAGTGCTGTTCTCAGTACCTAAATAAGGGGATCATTCATACCGCAAACCTCAGCATCACACTATATATCCAGGTAACAAACTTGCACATGTATCCCCTGAATCTAAAATAAAAGTTGAAAAAGAAAAAAAAAAGAACTATCCCTTTGGGATGTTATGCTGACCACATAGAAATGTGGGAAACCTGCTTGTTAGTGGTGACACCCACATGGAAGTGCTTATTTTACTTATCCAACTTCCCACAACCTTTGTGATTATGGGCCACCATCAAGAGATCTCATTTAAATTACATTTATCCTTCATATGCTTTTATGTTTGTAAAAGTAATACATACCCTTAAAATTCAGACCTTTCAGAGATACACTATGGAGGAAGGGAAAAAGTTCCCCATAATCTTAGACTTAACTGATATTAGCATGTTTGTATACAGTCCTTCAAATTTTTTCAATGCGTATATTAACATATTTAGTATTCATTTGCTTCACAAAGAATGTGTTTATATATTATATACTGTTTTGCATCTTTTTCTCTTAATACATTTTGGACATATTTTTATTTTATTTGTTTATTTTTCTTTGTTTTTTGAGGTGAAGTCTTGCTCTGTCACCCAGGCTGGAGTGCAGTGGCGCAATCTCGGCTCACTGCAACCTCCACCTCCTGGGTCAAAGCTATTCTCCTGCCTCAGCCTCCTGAGTAGTTGGTATTACAGGTGCACGCCACGATGGCCAGCTAATTTTTGTATTTTTAGTAGAGATGGGGTTTCACCATGTTAACCAAGCTGGTCTTGAACTCCTGACCTCAAGTCATCCACCCGCCTCAGCCTCCCAAAGTGCTGGGATTACAGGCCTGAGCCACCACTCCCGGCCTGGACATATTTTATAAAACCCTTTGTAATACCAGTTGTCTTAATTTTTCATATTCTTTCAGAGTCATTTAGTCCGTGATTTCAGTGGTACATGTCTTACAAAGTTAAAAAGGAGAGCTGGATAGTGATTTCTTTTTTTTTTTCTTTGTTGTTCTTCTTTTTTCTTTTTCCTTCTTCCCTTCTTCCTTTTTTTCTTCCTCCTCCTCCCTCCATTACCTCCTCCCTTCTGTCCCTCCTCCCCCCTCCTCCTTTCTCCCCTTCTCTCCTTGTTTTTCCCTCCTCCCCCTTCCCTTTCTCCCATCTTTCTTCTTTCTCCTCTTCTTTCTTCTTCTTTTAGGTAAGAAAGAGTTTTTTGGAATGATCTTTCAGAAGCAGTTGCTATAGGCAACAATATTAGGTTTGTCTATGGCTCTACTTTTGTATTAGCCAATCCATTACTTGTGATTGTTGTGTTGATAATGGGAATCGTGAATTGATTACTTCATCAAAGCAATTTTTTCCACACTGACATTCTTTCTAGCAATGAACTTGTGAAATCAAATGGAATTTAGAGGTGATGCTCCTCTGTTTTGGAAAGGTGGAATGAGTTATCCACCTAGAAACAAATCTGATCTAGTCACTCTCCTATTTAGAGACTTCTTTTGACTTCTTCTCTAAAGAATAGAATCCAAATTTATTCTCTTAGTTTGTAAGATTTTCTTGGGTCACCTCTCTAGCCATGTATGTGCTTCAGACACACTGATTTCTTGCTGTTCCTCATCCTTGTGTTTTGCATCGACTTTTCTTCCACTAGGATGCTTTTTGCCAGCTTCTCTGCTTGGTGAAACTCGTATGTTTATAGCTCTTTGATAAGGCTTTGCTCCTCCCCCTAGGCACAACTCCTCCTCCTTGTTCTCTACTTCTATTGTAGTGGTTCTGCTGCTATAGTTTAACTTACCTTACCAGTCCTAATCTTTCTTTTAATTTTTTATTGTGTAATTTATTGCTGCATATGTATTATATTTTACAATAATTAATATTATATATTTGTTACTATATAATTTACATATCGTAAAGTACACAAATCATAAGTATACAGTTGATGTATTTGCCAGGTCTGAATTTGTACCTGGGCTGTGAGCCTTCAGAGGGTAGGAACAATATTTTAGTCATTCTTATATCACCAGAGGTACTCAATAAGTACTTGAATATGAGCGACCACTACATAATTTCCTCAGTTCATCTAGTGTCTATTTCTTTATGGAAAGGGGACATTAACAAGTATTTTTTTGTAGATGTTTCAAACCAAGTAATATTTGTTTACTGTCTTGCTACTAATCTCAAAAGTTGAGAGATTCAACCTAAAATATTGATTTCCTAGTGGCAATTATAGATCAGTGACTAAAAACAAATTTCATCCATTTTTCTACTCACTTGATAATGTTTTATTAGAAACTATAAATCTTAAGACTTGAGGTATTAAACAGCAGAGAGATATGGTTAGGATCAAACTTCCTTTTCCTCACTATTTATTCCTTATAGAAAAAAAGCAACTACCCCTTCCCTTAAATTTATTATTATTATTATTATTTGTGATGGAGTTTCACTCTGTCACCCAGGCTGGAATGTTGTGGCATGATCTCGGCTCACTACAACCTCTGCCTCAGGGTTCAAGCAATTCTCCTGTCTCAGCCTCCTGAGTAACTGGGATTACAGGCACCCACCACCATGCCCGACTAATTTTTGTATTTTTAGTAGAGATTAGATTTCACGATGTTGATCAGGCTGGCCTTGAACTCCTGGCCTCAGATGATCCACCTGCCTTAGCCTCCCAAAGTGCTGGGATTACAGGCATGAGCCACTGCACCTGGCCTCCCTTAAATTTAAATTCCCTTAAATATTCCTTTTGAAAGATGCTTTTTACCATTGCTAAAGAAGTGGAATGATTTCAAATTAATTTCAAAATAATTTCAAATTAATTTCAAAATTCTCCCACTAAAAGTTGCTGACATATTAAAGGAAATGATATTTATGCATGTTTTCTAAAAGCTAGATGTAGAAAACTTGCTCGGAGTAATTTGATTCAACAAAAGAGTTTAGTAGTTTCCTTGAAAGATAATCCTGAAATCAATACCTTTAATTTACATTAGGCACTCAAAGAAAATAAACACATTTCCCTACTTAAAAGGCTGGTCCAGGTACTTTTTTTGTGCTAGAAAATCAAGGCTGAAATATCTTTACTTTGTATTGATTCAGATTTTAAATTGTTCTTTGAAAAGTATATATGGAAACAGATTTTTAAAAATGTATAAATAGATAAACATGTATAAGCAGAGTTTTAAATGTATAGAAAAACAGATTTAAAAAACATGTCCACCAAATGGACATCTTTTCCTACTATATTCAGTAACCTAAATGACCCTATCCCTTCTCAGCTTATCTTAATTTTAGTATACAGTTGCCCTTCTTCCATTAATTAATCAATAAGCTCATTCATTCACATAATCAGTCATTGTTGATGCCTGTTATATCCAAGGCACTCTATATTCTATATGCTTTATATTCTATGTACTCTATATTCTGGAGACATCAAGATGAAAAGTTCAGATTAAAATTTTCCTGACTCCATTTTTAAAAAGTTAGTTTTTACTTTTATGGTTAATTGTCTTAATTTAACAAGTGTCCATTTAGGATGTAATCTGTGCTCAGTACTGTTGTACATCATGATCTATATTCTCTCTAGAAGCTAGCATTTTATCCCATTGATTTAAATAATGTCTAATGAATTTTAAGTTCTTCATGTGGTTAGTGTTTTACATTTTATGAGTAATAATGAAATGGAAGATTCAAGCAAACTCCATTTTCCTGAGAAATATGCATCTCTTTATTTCCCAATGTTAATTATCTAAATGCTGTTAGTTAATGCTATATTACTACAAGCTTTTTTTTAAAAAAAGAGACAATATCCTTTCTTAAAAGAATGTTATAAATATAAAAAAGTACTTGTGTTAAATAAATGTTATTGTTCATTTTTAGAGAAATCGAGTGTTTTCTTGGCAGAGATGGGAGAAGAAATGTAATTGCTTAAATAATTAAGTATTCATGCTTGGAAACCCAACTTCTGTTGCAGGGTTAACATATGAACTGGTGATTAACTGACAAAAATTAAGCATATGTGTTTGGATCATGGTTTCTGTGGAGGCCATAGATTTGCTTTATGGAAACTTGAGCTTCTGTATAACAGAGTTTGAAACCATTACATGATCAGGTCATTTAGTAGGACAACCCAATAAAAGGTAACTTGAGGCCCCATGATAAGAAAGTGTCTAAGAACTAAGTGATATGGTTACTTACCAATTAAAATGAGAAAAGTCATACTCTTTTAGTTTTCATCTGTTATGGTCATGGGGAAAATATTTCTTTGAATTCGGTCCTGAACCCATCTGAGACTTGGGGAACATTAGCAGCTTCTCAGTGCATACTTTCTAGGGAAGGAGATAATGGAAGACCCTTTCTTCCTGTCTTCTGTGGTCTCTCTTGGGAGCCCAGGTCTTACTCAGAATAGGTTCTCATACTTAGAGGAAACTCAGATTGCTTTGGTCTTAGCCTGTAAATCAAAGGGTGAAGACTTTTTCTGTTTTCCTTAAGAGAGTTCTGCCCTCAGTAGAGGGCAGAGAAAGAATATGTGTCATTAATCACTTGAGAATTGTTTACAACTATAATCTAGAGAGCACTTACTTGCCCATGGCAGGCAGTAAAGTTACCTTGGTTGTGTAAGAATAACCTGAGTGGTTTACTCAGACTGTTCACAAATGTTTGGACATCATTCAAGGGCTGTCCAAGTCTGACTAGTTAGCTTTATGATATACTCAGATACACTCAGATTCACCTTTATACCATCCAATCACATTTAAAGGAGGGTGTTTCCTGAAATTGCAACATTACTGACTTCCCAGCCATGTGACATAGCTTTTCAGACTCTAAGTTAAATTTTAACCCAGACATCTCTCTTCAATTCAGGTCACCTACAGGCCAGACAAAGCCAAGGTCATGTATTGAGTGAATATAAGGAGTTTTGTTGGTTCTAATAACTGTAATGTTATTCACTGGTTGAAATACTATACCATGGTTAATCATAAGTTGCAGCTGTTGTGTCCTTTTATTTATGAGCCCTTAATCAAGAGGACACAGCAAGAGCCACTGTTTGAAAGGAGCCTTTCATGAGGTCTTCTCTTTGGGTGCTCCTTCTTGTTTCATTGTGAAAAGAAGAGAAGTTTATATTGCCTTGCAAAAGTTATTAAATAGTATATGTTGGCTTCTCTGAAAACAGATTTTTCTATTCCAAATTTGAAAGATCAAATTATAATCTTTATATTTCAGCTGATGATAATAGAAACACTAAGCCTGTGCTCTCCAAACAATGTCTTTTAATTGGTGCCAAGTTTGATTGAATCTCAATATCAGCCATCAGAAGTTATATGTTGGCTCTCTGAAAACAGACTTTCCTATCCAGAATTCAGGTTTTCTATTTGTGACAATATGTCTCTGCTGATGTTAAGGTAAACAGACCAGAGCTCTTTGTGCAGCCCTTTTTACTGGTCCTGAACCTGATGAATGAGATTTTAAATGTAAGTCAATCTCTCTCTCCTTTTTTAACTTTTTGGTTTTAAATCCTCCCTTATTTTATGAGAATTCATCTTATGAGTTACCCTTGTTAAAATATTGGCATATCCAGGAGTTTGAATAGGGTCATTTTCTGAATGGATTTTGGAATAATTACGTAAATTGATTTTTCTGATCAAGGAATTTAGTGATAGGTTATATTTTCAAATGTGTTGATTGTCAGCTTCATCCTAAATTGCAATGTAACACAAAAGCTGGTACACAGCTCTTTTCTTTGAGACACTCAAAATGTTTCCAAACTTTAAATTCATACTTTTTACTGATAACATTTTTGTGGATCTCATTCAGGTAAACTTTTCTTCTTCACTTGTTGATCCCGCGTGACCCCTCCAGCCACACAGGTTTCATGTGCTTCCCTGAATACAGCATGCACTTAGCACCCTTTATAGCCTGGATAGTGTTGTTACCCCAGACTAGAATTCTTTCCTCATCTCCATTACAATACTTGACATCCTTCAAGACAACACTCAAATGCTACTTATATCATTAAATTTCCTCCCTGATTTCTACTTGGACTTAAATGTTGCTCTTTGTACCACTTTATTTGACCTGTTGCTGAAGCACTTAGTTCACTGTACCTTGTATTTTAATTGATTTTGTACATGTTTTTTCCCTCAACAAGAAGCAAACTTATTGAGGTCTGGGACCATATCTTCAAGCAGCCTCCAGATAATTGGCTTGGCACAAAATTGCATGCATCTCTTGTTTTCTCATAACTGGATGGAAACAATGATATTTAGATTTATCAGAACTGCTACAGAGGGCTAAAGGGATGCAAAAACACTTGGTAAAATTCAAAATTCTCTTTAAAGTAGTCAGTATTGTTCTCAAAACAATTACATCAAACTTTTAGTGACTGAAGTGTTGTAATAATTTGTGATTTTCAAAGATACTCAAAATTTAAGGTGAACAGTGAGCCAGAACACAAGATGATATACCTAATCTCATTCACCAGTCTGTTTTGACCAAGTCAAGTTGAGGCAAGAATGCTGGGAACAAGCTTTTCTGATTGAATGTGTTAATTTAGCCCGCCTTCAAACTTCTTAACCAATGGCTTCCACTCTACCACCTTTCAACGCTTTTTTTTCTGTAAGATGGCATGTTATCTGTTAGAAATAATGGGGATCACATTCATTATACCAGCAGTAGTCTCTCTGTGATCACACTCATTAGACTGTTTACTACCACGAATTCTGGGAGAAATGGCCTGGGACATTAAAAGAAACAAACAAGCTAAGAGGGCTGTCTAGGACCAATGACAGTTATTGGATTTGTTTTAAGAATTAAGCTTATGAGTTACACTTTTTTCCTTTGCAGCATAGATGAAAATCATCACTTGAGGAACATTTCAACATCATAGTTGCAAGTATAACTTACACAATGGAAAATGTTTTTCATTTTGAGAAGAGGCAATTGCTATTTTGTAATGGAACGCAAGGACTACTGGAGATAAAACTTGCATGCAAGACCAGTACAGCTTGATGAAGGGAGCAGAGTCTAGTTTAACCTCTAAATTAGGAGATGTTTGTTTTAATTTTACTGCTATTCCAGGCAAGAAATATTAAGTGTCTGCTGTGTTCAGGACTGCTAAACATTATGGACAATACAGTAATAGTAGAAGACATGGTGTCTGCCCTTGAGGGAGTGAAAATTGAATAGACAACTCTTAACTATCAGGATCAACAAAAAAATGGTGTTAGTTAGGGAGTAATAAAAGTGCCACACGGCTAACTACAAACCAGAAGGCCAGGGACGGATTACTGTGAACTCAGCTGCTGTGTAGCTTTGAGTTTCTTGAATATTGTCCATGACCCATTTATTTTGTTTTAAATAGAGAATTATATCTGCCCTCTACCAAATACACAGGAATAATCTGAGTAATGTTTATAACTGTGATCTGAGAACTTTTTGAGTCTTTTGCAAATCTGTAAACACAGAGTGAGAATGAGATATGACAGTGTGGTAAAAGAGGACTTTTGAGATTTATTAATATTTAGAAGTACAAGGGGGAAGAATACTTTTATAGTATGATTATAATGTTAAAGATATTCTTCCTTTAGTTTTATAAAATGTGGCTTTTGATCAGTAAGTGGCAACTTAGAAGAAAAGTCTATCCTAAGTTGATTTGCTATTCCTTGACCTTAAGAACTATAGAACACTTTATTTTCTCCTAAGACCACTTTTTTGTTTTTATTTTACTCCATTCATTAATTCATTCAGCACATAATAACGAAGTATGTACTTGGTGGCAAGCACTGTGGTAGGACCTGGGGATATGAAGTTGAAGAAGACCTGGGCCATATCTCTAAAAACCTTGTGAGGGGAAACCAAGGGGGAAAAAGTTTCTACTATTTTAAATAATTAGAATAGATTTTATTTTATAGTTAAATTTGAAGAAAACTACAATTTTAGTTAGATTTACTATGCCATCTTTACTCATTTGTTCACTCCCATTCGTTCATTTTTCAAGTTAATGGGTGCTGGAAACCTGAGTCATCCTTGACATGTCCCTTTCATTTGCCCTCCAAATGCAAACAACCACCTGTTGTTTCAGTCCTTTCAAATGCCTGCCTCCAGAATGAGCATTAAATCTGTCAACATATTTACCATCTCAGCTTCTCCAGTCACCTCCTAACTGCTCTCCCAGTTTCCACTCTTACTTACCTCTAATTAACAGCTTTCAGACTTTTTTGAGGATGACCTACAATTAAAAAATACATCCATGATACTCCCAGTACACATACTTGTGTTGCTATGTATCTATAAGTAAATCCAAAATCAAAGATTAACAGAATAATACGTATCTTTTCTCAGTATCATGCATTTTGATATTTTTAAAAATTATATTCCTGGCCGGGCATGGTAGCTTACACCTGTAATCCCAGCACTTTGGGAGGCTGAGGCAGGTGGATCACCTGAGGTCAGGAGTTCGAGACCAGCCTGACCAGCAGGGAGAAAACCTGTCCCTACTAAAAATACAAAATTAGCCAGGCATGGTGGCACATGCCTGTAAACCCAGCTACTTGGGAGGCTGAGGCAGGAGAATCCCTTGAACCCAGGAGGCAGAGGTTGTGGTGAGCCGAGATCACACCATTGCACTCCAGCCTGGGCCACAAGAGCAGAGCTCTGTTTCAAAAAAAAAAAAAAAAACAACAATTAGGGGCCAGGTGCAATGGCTCATGCCTGTAATCCCAGCACTTTGGGTGGATCACGAGGTCAGGAGTTCAAGACCATCCTGGCTGACAAGGTGAAACACTCTCTACTAAAAATACAAAAAGATTAGCTGGGCGTGGTGGCAGGCGCCTGTAGTCCCAGCTACTTGGGAGGCTGAGGCAGGAGAATCGCTTGGAGCTTGCAGTAAGCAGAGATTGCGCCACTGCACTCCAGCCTGGGCGACAGAGTGAGACTCCATCTCAAAAAAAAAAAAAAAAATTATATTCCTTTGTCGCTTTCTTGCTGGGCATGATTAATTAAATTCACTTTATGATCCATTAATGATGTGAAATTTACTGTTCTAATACTTTTAAACACAGGTTGTTTAAAGCCAGGGTGATAGGTTTATATTATTTCCCTGCTTAAAATGTTTCATTGGCTTCTGGTTGTACTTTTAGAATTCAACGTAGAAATCATTGTATGGCCTACAAAGTCCTGCATGGTCCCACTCTGCCTCCTCCTCACTCTTTCCTACTTCTCCACATCTTCACACAGGTTCTTTCCTCTCCATGGAATAATAGTCTTCCTTCCCCAATCTTCACCTTGCCAATTGCTATTATTCTATGGGTCTCTGTGTAAAAATCACTCCTTTAAGAAAATTAGATCTCCCCTTATAATTCCTCTTCCTCCTCTTTTTATTCACTGTATTTATTATAATTGTATAATTATATATTTATTTGTATGACTTTTTTATTTAATATTAGTGGCCCACACTAGATTACAGGTTCCCCAATATCTAAGACCAGATCTGTTTTGTTTATTGCTATATCTACAATACCTGGTATAGTCCTAGCATAATCAGCAAATATTCTTGGTATGAACTTTGGATCAAATGCTATGCTTGCCCCACAAAGGTGAATAAAACATAGACTTTATTCTCAAGGAGTTCTACTCTTTTGACATGGAGTATACTTTGTTTGAAGACAGGTATCTAAAAGACAAAACAGGTTAATAAACATCTTAGAAAGGGTATTAGAATGCTGGAAATCCTATAAACAATGGCTTCTTTAGTTTAAGACTCTAACTGGAGGGAAGTTTTCCTTATTTACTCATGATACTAACTCAAGGAAATGCAATGATTTTTTTTAAAGGAAGCAGAGATATTATTCTTTTATTGAGGTAAAATTTCTAGAGATTGAAATGCACAGATCTTAAGTGGACAATTCAATGAGCTTTGAAAAAAATATTTTCTTGTGTTCCCTTCCAGTCAATCTCAAGCCTCCTTAGGCAATCACTCTTCTGATTTCTATCACTACAGATTAGTTTTTCCTGTGCTTGAAACTCACATACGTAGAAATCAAGCACTGATATCTGGCTTCTTTCAGACGGCCTTTCTTTTTAGATTTATCCATGTTTTGTGTGTATTTTTTGTTAATTCCTTTTTTAGTAATGAGTAGTATGCCATTGTAAAAATATAAGACAATTACTTTTTAGCCATTCTTTTAGGGATAGATATGTGGGTAATTTTCACTTTAGGGTTATTATGAATAATGCCATTATGAATATGCTTATACAAGTTCTGTTTTTGAAATTGGTGGGTCAGAGGATAGACGAATGTTTAACTCTAAAATAAAGTGCCAAACTGTTTCCAAAGTAGGTTATACAAATTTTCCATTACCAACAGAAATATAAAATAATTATGTTTGTTCTACAGTTTCACTAAGAGCTTTTTTCTTTAATTTTAGACATTCCAGTAAGCTTGAAACAGTCTTGCACTGTAATTTTAATTTTGATTTCACTGATGACTAATGATATTGAATACCTTTTCATGTGCTTATTAAGCACTCACATATTCTTTTGTGAAGTGTTTCTTCAATCTTTTGATCAGTTTTATTGGCTGTTTGTCTTTTTATTGTTGGTTTTGGAAGTTTTTAAAAATATATTCTGAATATAAGTCCTTTTTCAGATATATGTACTATAACTATGTCCTCGCAGTCCGTGGCTTGTCATTTTACCTTCTTACTGGTGTCTTTATTGAGCAAGTTTTAATTAAAATGGTTAGTTCTTTTTATAGCCTTTTAAAGAAATCTTTGTCAACCTCATGGTTGCAGCAATCTTCTTCTACACCTTTTTCTAGAAGCTTTATTGTTTCATCTCTTATGTTTATGATCAATCCTGAATTAATCTCTATGTGTGTCATGAGGTAGCTATCAAGGTTCATTTTTTTCCCATATATTTTTCCAGCGTTCTCTAGCTATCTTTTGAAGGGTTTTCTCTTTTTATTAAATTATCTTGGAGCCTTTGTAAAAATTATCAATTTACTGCATATGCTTTACTCTAACTGGACTCTCCATTTCGTTCCACAGCAGGATTTGCTATCTTTACACCACTCCTATGTTGCTTAGGCTCTGAGGCTTTATACTAAGTCTTAATATCAGGTAGTGCGAGTTCTCTGACTTTGTGAGTTTTTTAAAAAATCAATTTTTTTGGTATAAATATTTTGCACTTCATATAAATTTTAGATTCAGCCTGAAAATTTTGAGAAAAAACTATTAAGTTTTCACTGGGATTGTAATGAATCTGTGTTGAACTCAGGGTGAATTGACATCTTTAATAATATGGAATTTTCCATGACCATGATCATGTTTTCTCTCCCAATTGATTAGGTCTCCTTTAATTTCACTCAGAAATATCTTATGGTTCTCAGTGCAGAGGATTGTGATGGTATTTTGAATGACTATGAATAAATTTTTGGCTGATATATTAAGTCAATAATAGATACCTTTGATTTTTATTATTATTTCTATATTATTATGCAGTTCTCAGCCTTGAAGTTTGAAAGACTTTAATAAGACATTGACACCAGTCTCCCACTTAATGCTGGAATGCTCAATTACAAATCCCTGGCAAATGTTCATTAGACTTTGAACTCTTCCAATGCTGGAGAAATAACTGTTACACAAAACACCCTATTCCATTTGGGGACAGTTTGAATTGTTGGAAACGTTCTTTTTATATTGAGCTAGTTTTCTGCCTGTTGTCTGCCCTTTGGAGTCATGGAGATGAGTTTGCCCTCTCTCCTACAGAGTACCCTCCAGCTATTCGTAGATAGCTAATCTGCCCAATGAATTCTTTTTTCTTGTTGAAACAATTCTAGTTTCTCTACTTATTCCTCGCATGACATGATTTTTGTATCTTTTCTCTTTCTCTGACTCTTTTGACATGCTCCAGTTTTCTGTATTTTCTTTAACTTTTGGCATCCAGAATAGAAGCAACACTCCAACTGTGTCCAGACCAGTGCAGAGCACAGAAAGACTATTTTTTTTCCTTACTCTGAACACTATACTTCTGCTAATCTGGCCTTAAATATCATCAGGGTTTTCAGCAGCCAAGTCACACTGTTGGCTCATGTAATGTTCACTGTCAGCTAAAACCCCTAGATCTTTTTCACATGAACTCTTATTCAGACTGCTCATTCTTTCATCCTGAACTTAGGCCTGTAATAGTTTTCTTTCTTGTGTTCATGTAATAGAGTTTACATTTATTCCCATTCAGTCTCAGAACTTCAGACCAATCTTCTAGTCAGTCTTTTGTGGAGTCTATAGGCTTGACAAAAGAAAAAACTCAGACTCCAGTGAATACCACAAACAGTTATTTGCTTTAGGTTCAGGAAATGAAAATGTGCTGGTTTTAAGTTTCTGAAGTTGCCTCCCTCCTTCATCTCATTCCGTCCTCCCCCTTCAGTTCTTTGGTCCGAGACCCAATAGAGGATGTCTACAGCCACTCTCCCTCTAGGGAGGGCCTGGGTCTCATCTTCCACCCACTGCCATTCAATAATAGCTTGGGTCTGTCTTGGCTAAGCCAAGGGAACATCCAGCTTCACTGAGAAAACCTTTGCTGCATGGTGATACGCCACCTACTTGCACTGTAGCGTTGTCTGGCAGGTTTGGCCCATTGTCTCCCAGAGGAAACAGAAAACAACTCCCCAGCAACCCGCCAATCTCTTTTGTCCCCACAGTCGAGCTCTGGAAAATATCTGAATGCCACAGAAGTGGGAGTACCCTTTGATGTTTATATTGGCTGGCTCCTTTTCCTTTTTGCTTTTTCTTTTTTTCATTTAATAATCAGGGTAGTAGAAAATGCGGAGAATTAACCGCATGACAGCAGCAGAGGAATTCATTAGAGAAACAGAGATGAATTCTGCTCAGATTTCAGGCTCTCAGGCAGAAGACACAAAGGAGTAATCGTCTTCTAGTTTTTTTTAATCATTTCTTTTGTGGCACCTTCCTTGTCCATGAAGGCAATCTCAGCGTCTGGCATGGGGGAGCCCAAGAACATAGGCAGTGCAAATGGTGGCTTTGATTTGGGGATTATTACAGCAATATTAACCACTTCCTTCTTACCTCTCTTTGAAAAGATGGAGCTTGTCATTCTTGGAGAAGGCAGTGAACAGTGCTATGTTATTGCTTTTATTTAAAGTATTACCCACTAAAACTTCATTTTAAAATTGGGAAAAATGTGCATAACATTTTACTATGGAAAATTCTTGAACAGAGCAAAAAATGCTGAGGAATATAATTTTGCAAATGTGTTCTCTTCTAACTTAATATCCTCAGAGACCCTTCCTTTTATGAGCCTCAAAGACAGCTTTAGTGATGGCTTACACAAAACTAAGTAAATTTACGCATACAATTTTACTTGAAGGAAGTTGGTAAAATAAATCAATAATTTTTTTTTCTTCTTGAGACAGAGTGTCACTCTGTCACCCAGGCTGGAGTGCAGTGGTGTGATCACGGCTCACTGTAGCCTCAACCTTGCAGGTTCAAGTGATCCTCCCACCTCAGCCTCCCAAGTAACTGGGATCACAGGCATGTGCCACTATGCCTAGCTAATTTTTTTTTTTATTTTTAGTAGAGATGAGGTCTCGCTATGTTGCCCAGGCCGGTCTCAAACTCCTGGACTCGAGCAATCCTCCCGCCTTGGTCTCCCAAAGTGGGATTACAGGTGTAAGCTACCATGCCCATCCACATGGTTTTTTCTATAATTGTACAAAGGCAGCAGCTGGATCCCCAGAAGCTACTGGTAATACTAAGATTTCCCTCCCAAAGTCGAAAGTAGTCCTGATTGCTTTGCTTAAGTAGTAGAGTTTCATTACTATTTTAATTCCTCATGAATTTTTTAAAAAATACAAATCATATTCGGAGTTTCATATTGAAATTATTTAAGAGAAAATTTTTTTCTCAAGTACTGTTACACACTTTAAAAGCGTGTATGTAATTTATTGATTTTATAAATATAAATGATTTGCATCTTATGAGAGCAAGTTCTATAAAGCTCTTTCTTGGTTACAATTTTTAGCATGGTTTTATTTTTAAGTAAACATATCTACCTGAAAGCAATGAAAAGAACAGTTTTGAATCTTAGTGATATTTCTGGAAAGAGAACTCATTAACCTGAAGTACTCATGCATATAATTAATTTAAAAACCATTTGGTTTTAACCTTAAGCTAATCCAATCAACTTGTGCTTTCATCAAACATTTAAGGCCTAACAGGGACAGGTCTGGTATCACAAAAACTTTCCCAGGGAATACTCTTCTTATGGCTCATCTTAGGACATAGGCTGTAGAACTATGTCCTAGAACCAGACCATTAGCAAGTAAGTCACCTTTTCATACCATGTTTCTCCTACCTGTCAAGCGAAGATGCAGGCACTTGCCACCTGTCAATGGGAGAAAATACTGTATATCAATCTTTTTTATATCAGTGATAAGGAGGAAGGATAGTGATGACTGTGGCCTGTAGAGGGTATAGGGAAGGCTCTGTGGAAGAGGAGAGATTTAAATAAGGCTTACAAGAATATGTAGGATGTTAGTCAATGACCGTTTTTTGAGAATATTGATAAAAAGGCATTTAAGATATGTTGCCTGCTTCTGATTTGGATTGGCATAGAAAAGGCATGAAGACAACATCAGAAAGGGAGTAAAAGCACAGGTGTGTCAAAGCACATGCAGGCATATCTTGGAGATATTGAGGGATTGGTTCCAGACCACCACAATAAAGTGAATATGGAGAAAAACTGAATATTGTAATAAAGGTACTCACACAATTTTTTTGGTTTCCTAGTGCATATCAAAGTTATGTTAATGCTATACTGTAGACTCTTAAGTGTACAGTACCATTATGTCTAAAAAACCAATGTATATACTTTAATTAAAAATAATTTATTGCTAAAAAATGCTAATAATCATCTGAGCCTTCAGTGAGTTGTAATCTTTTTGCTGGTGGAGTGTTTTGCCTGGATGTTAGTGGCTGCTCTCTGATCACGGTGGTGGTTACTGAAGGTTGGGGTGGATGTGCCACTTTCTCAAAACAAGTCAACAGTGAAGTTTACTGCATTAATAGACTCTTCCTTTCATGAAATATTGCTCTATAGCATGTCATAATGTTTGATAACACTTAACCCATAGTAGAACTTTAAAAATTTGAGTCAGTCCTCTCAAACCCTGCTGTTGCCTTATCAACTACGTTTATATAATATTCTGAATCCTTTGTTGTCATTTCAATGATGTTCACAGCACCTTCACCAGGAGTAGATCCCATCTCAAGAAACTACTTTCTTTGTTCATTCATATGAAGCAACGTCTTTTTTTTTTTTTTTTTTTTTTTTTTGAGACGGAGTTTTGCTCTTGTTGCCCAGGCTGGAGTGCAATGGTGTGATCTTGGTTCACCGCAGCCTCTGCTTCCCGGGTTAAAGCGATTCTCCTGCCTCAGCCTCCTCAGTAGCTGGGATTACAGGTGTGTGCCTCCACACCTGGCTAATTTTGTATTTTTAGTAGAGACGGGGTTTCTCCATGTTGGTCAGGCTGGTCTCGAACTCCCAACCTCAGGTGATCTGCCCACCTCAGCCTCACAAAGTGCTGGGATTACAAGCATGAGCCACTGCGCCCAGGCATGAATCAACTTCTCATCAGATTTTATCATGAGATTGCAGCAATTCAGTCACAGCTTCAGGCTCTACTTCTAATTCTAGTTCTTTTACTATTTCCTTCACATCTGCAGTGACTTCATCCAGTCTTAAACCCCTCAGAGTCATCCCTGAGGGTTGGAATCAGTTTCTTTAAAACTCCTGTTTATGCTGATATTTTGACCTCCTCCCATGAATCATGAATGTTCTTAATGGCACCTAGAATTGTGAATCTTTTCCAGAACGTTCCCAATTTATATATTTTGTGAAGATCCATCAGGGGAATCACTATCTGTGGCAGCTATAACCTTACAAAAATTTATTTCTTAAATATTAAGACTTGAATGTTGAAATTATTCCTCGACACATGGGATACAGAATCAGGCATGAAAACAACCTTAATCTTATGTATCTCCATCAGAGCTCTTGGGTGACTAGGAACATTGTCAATGAGCAGTACTATTTTGAAAGAAATCTTTTTCTCTGAGCAGTAGGTCTCAACAGTGTGTTTAAAATATTCATTAAGACATACTGTAAACAGATGTGCTGCCATCCAGACTTTGTCGTTCCACTTCTAGAGCACAGGCAAAGTAGCTTTTGCATAAATCTTAGGGACTCTGGGTTTTCAGAATGGTAAATGATCATTGGCTTCAAGTTAGAGTCATCAGCTGCATTAGCCCCTACCGAGAGAGTCAGCCTGTCTTTTGAAGCTCTGAAGCTAGGCATTGACTTCTGCTCTTGAGCTTTGACAGTCTGAGATGGCACCTTCTTCCAATATGAGGCTATTTTGTCTACATGAAAAATCTGTTGTTTAGTTGAGTCGCCTTCATCAATGATCTTAGCTAGATCTTCTGGATAAATTTCTGCAACTTCTACATCAGCACTTGCTGCTTCACTTTGTATTTGTATGTTACAGAGGTGGCCTCTTTCCTTAAACAACTCATGAAGCAACCCCTGCTAACTTCCAACTTTTCTTCTGCAGCTTTCTGATCTCTTTCAGCCTTTGTAGAATTGAAGAGTTAAGCCCTTGCTCTGGATTAGACTTTGGCTTAAGGGAATGTTGTGGCTGGTTTGGTCTTCTAGCTAAACTACTAAAATTCTCCCTATGAGCAATAAGGTTGTTTTGCCTTCTTATCATTCATGTGTTCATTGGAGTAGCACTTCTAATTTCCTTCATGAACTTTTGCTTTGCATTCATAACTTGGCCAACTGTTTGGCACAAGAGGCCTAGCTTCCTGCCTGATTCAGCTTTTGACTTTCCCTCACTAAGCTAAATTATCTCTAACTTTTGATTTAAAATGAGAGAAGTGTGATTCTTTCTTTCACTTGAACACTTAGAGGCTATTGTAAGGTTATTAATTGAACTAATTTCAATATTGGTATTGTCTCAGGGAATAGAGAGGCCCAAGGAGTGGGAAAAAGATGGGGAAATAGCTGGCCAATGGAGCAGTCAGAATACACATATTTATCAATTAAATTTGCTGTCATATATGAGTGTAGTTCATGGCACCCACAAACAATGACAAGAATAACATCAAAGATCACTGATCACAGGTCACCATAATAACATAATCATAATTGAAAAAGTTAGAAATATTGTGAGAATTACCAAATATCACACAGAGACATGCATGAGCACATGCTATTGGAAAAATGGCACTAATAGACTTGTTTGATGCAGAGTTGCCACAACCTTCAATTTGTAAAAGTTGAAGTATCTGTGAAGCACGATAAAGTGGAGTACAATAAAGTAAGGTATGTCTCTAGTGTGTTTGTGTACATTAAGTGGTGGAAGATGTGATTTAATTTTTTAAAAAATAGCCGTTTACCCTAGATAAATCAGTAAGAGATGAGTACAAGTATGTATCTACAAATTATTTTTATTTGTGCTCTTTATAAGAATTAAAAATTGAAAAACTCCCAAATAATTAATGAAGTAAATTATCTTTCAAGTATACACTGTATTGTTCTATAGCTATTAAAAATCATATTGTATAAAAATATTTATTCAAATGGGGAAATACTCATGATATAGGAAGAAGTGAAAAGTAGGTTATAAAACAGAATGTATAGTATGGTCCCCATTTTGGGAAATATATTTACACTTATGACAATAAAAAAATCAGACAGGATACATAATGAGTTGTTAGCAGTGGTTATATATACTCTGAGACCATGAGTTATTTTGATTTTTGAGAGGCGAGTGTGCTTGTTGGTGTTTTCAACTCTTTCCTACCATAAAATGTATTAATTCACTATTCAATTTTTTTAAGTTCTAAGAAGTTAGACACTTATTTATTTTAGGTGTTATACAGTCCATAGTGGAAATTTGAGATGAGTGACAGAATGAAAATAATATGGTTGCAGACAAATGTGATAAATATGTGTAAGATGTTTTTGAATAGACAAAGCCTATTTTAGGAGTGATGAATTGTAGCAATAATTTATTGTAAAATGATAGATGTTTGAAATAGGGTGGGAGTGGTAGGAATTCAAAGGAAGGGATAGATATGAAACATGAAGGATGAATGGGCAGTATGTGGTGAAATGGCTCTGAGAGGTGAGAGAGAGAAGACTCTTGAGGACAAGTGCAATGTTTCAACCTGCTTAGGATAATAAAGCCAATAAAAGATAGAGACAGCTTGTTTGGGGGCTGAGATAAAAGGTTTCAATCCAGGCTTTTTTGGTTGTTTTTTGTGTTGTTTTCTTTTCTTTTCTTTTCTTTTTTTTTTACTTTTTATTTGGAAGTAAGAAAGTTGCAAGAATGAAAACAGTCCACATAACAGTCAAATACCTTTACCCATATTCACCTGTTGCTAATATTTTACCACATTTGCTTTATAATTTACTCGATCTACATATGCATATATATGTATAATATTTTTCTGAGCCATTTGAGGCTAAATTACATTCATCATGATTCTATACCCCCAAATACTTCGGTGTGGTATTTCCAAGAAAGGGGATATTCTGTTATATAACCTTAGTAGAGTTATCAACTTTGGTAAATTTGATTAAATACTTCTATCTAATCTACCATTTATATGCCAGTTTTGTCAGTTGGCTCAAAGATACAATAGTGTTGTTTATAGCACTTTTTCCCTCCAGCATAGGATCCAGCATAGGATTAGGTATTGCCTTTAGTTGTCATGTTCCTTTAGTCTCCTTTAATCTGGAACATGTCTACAGCCTTTATCTTTTATGACTTTGTCAGTTTTAAAGAATTTAAGCCCCCCCTCTTGCTTTTTAAAAATTTGTCTGATGTTTCCTTATGATTAGAATCAGGTTATGCCTTGTCATCCAGGTGATGTTTTGTCCTTGAGTTATCACATCTGCAGGCACATAATGTCCATCTCCCACTCATGGTGATGTAAATTTTGATCTCCAGGTCAAGGCATTGTCTAATTTTTCCTTTGTGTAGGTACTGTTTTTCCTTTAAAAGCACTGAGTAATCAGTGGGAAACAAATAGCTTGCTCTTCATCACTACCCCCAAATTTATTATCTGTTGATGATTCTTGTATAGTCCAAACTTTATAAGATGACTGAAAAATCATGATTTTCCATCTTTGACATTCCTTCCACATTCGCCTGTCAACAGTAGACATTTTCTAATAAGCAGGAGCTTTTTCTTCTCTCCATCCAAACATGCATCTCTTACCAGTTTGTACTGGTCATGGAATCCACTGTTCTTTTCAGTGGTTGATACTGTACCAGATCATTTTGGTATATAAACTGTCTCAGATTTAGCCAGTATGTTCTGGTATCATATCTCCACCGTCTATTTTTTTTTTTTTAACACTTCCTTGATTTTTGGCATAAGTTATTCTAGGCACACCTTGTACCTACTCTGCCTAAGCTCTGAAATCACCCATTTTCCCAAGAAACCCCAGTTCTTTTTTTTTTTTTTTTTTTGAGACGGAGTCTCACTCTGTCACCCAGGCGGTTATGCAGTGGCGCGATCTCGGCTCACTGCAAGCCCCGCCTCCCGGGTTCATGCCATTCTCCTGCCTCAGCCTCCCAAGTAGCTGGGACTACAGGCGCCCGCCAACGCGCCCGGCTAATTTTTTTATATTTTTAGTAGAGACAGGGTTTCACCCTGTTAGCCAGGATAGTCTCGATCTCCTGACCTCATGATCCGCCCGCCTTGGCCTCCCAAAGTGCTGGGATTACAGGCTTGAGCCACCGCACCCGGCCACCCCAGTTCTTTTCTGGTGGAAATAGTGTTAAAGACTAAGTTCTGGGCATAGGTGTGCTCATTACTATTGAGGTATCTTGGCTCTTGGCTCTTTCAGTGAAGTGAACTTGGGGAAAAATACACACACACACACACATACATATATATATAAATACACACACATATACACCTACATATGCATATATGCATATTTTAGAAATCATGAATTGATTCATTGATATCTCCAATTTTAATTCATTCCCACAGGTTTCTTACTTGCCCAATTCAGTTTTACATGGCTTCTGAATTTGAAATAATAAGGCAAAATGGTAGAGATGTTCAGCTTGCAGTGGGGGAAGATAGAAAATCGAAATTCACATGACAGGGTGAAGCATAGTGATTAAGATTAGGAAGTCATCCACACAGAGTTAGGAGAAAATACATCTAGAGTTTGCCAAATCCAAAGGCAAGACTGTAAGAAAAAGATACTAAAAGAGAAAAGAGCAGAGGATGTCTCTGCATTTTGTGATACATTAAAAAGTTATGGTAGGAGAAGGAGATAAATTAAGAATAGCCTGGGGAAAGAGATGTAGAGAGTGAAGTCAAAGAAGCAGGGGAGCCAGTACTAGGTAGAGTCATGGTGGTCAGGATTAGAAAGAATTCCAGCAGTCCAATACTGCAGAATAGTCAAGGAAAATTGAAGACCGAGACTGGGCCTTTGGATTTGATATTTGGTTACCAAAGGTTTTTAAATCTGGATTTAGGAACTCATTTGAGATTTTTTTTTTGAGAATATAACTTTTAAATAACAAGTCAGCTCACGTTAATTAATGTTTAATGTTTTGGGGACATTTACATTTAGCTTTTCTTAACCTTTTAAATGTGTTCACTAAATATTATTTTATTTCTAACTGCAGGCTAAGCAAGTTATACTGTGTGTATAAAGTGCCCAAGTCTAAGAGGCATTGTAGACAGGCTATTTTTAGGGAAACTCATGTTTTTCTTTAAAAGTTCAGCTAGCATTTGGAATCGATATACAGTATAATATTTAAAAAAAAAAACAACATATTTCCTCATCCCCCAAGAGGTTTCTTAAAATAGCATGTAATCTTACCTACAGTGGGAAAAGCCTCAAATTTTATAAATTGGGTTGGATCTAACCCAGATTACCTGACCAAGAGAGTCCCCAAGAAAAACAAGGTGTGGTAAAGGTTATAGTAATGGTAATTAAGAAAGTTGTGTTGTGCCTGCTGGGCCTCACTAAAAGCAATGACCCAGCCTGTGGCTACTGGCATCATTTTGACTGCTGAGACATGCTTTCTTTTGGAGAGAAGTCCAAACCAAATCTTTGCCCACTTTGAAAGCCAAGATATTCTCATTCCTTTCAGCCACAGAAAGGGCTGGTTTTTCTAACAGGATCATGTCCGTGTGACCTTCTGATGTATCAACTTGTTTTCTATGCAGTATATAAACAATAAAGGGTTTAATTTTAGTTGCTTTTCTTCACAGAGTCATGGAATATTACAAATGTTAGAAGCTAGAGAGGATCTTTGAGGTTATCTGCTTTAAGCCCCTTGCTTTCCACAGGAAAACACCAAGGCTCAGAGAGATAAAATGTGTCCATGCTGGACACAGCTGGAAAATGATAGAGCTTGAACTCAGGTTAACTGACCCTCCATGCAGGTCTGTGGCTGCACCATACATTACAGCATCTCTATTCAACAGTAAAACTCATTGGGGTTATATATTATACCCTAGTGGATATTACATCTGTGGGATGACAAGCTGCATTATGATAGAGTTGCACTGTGCTCAGCAGCAGTTGAGTAGCCAGCACCCACAGGCAACCTCTATGGGCAATCTGAAAGTGAAATCTTTACTGAATTGAATGGAATCTGTGGAGATCTTCGATAGTCTTCCCTTGAGGTGAAATCTTGTTTTGTTGAGTGGTTTAAGATGTTTTCTAGGGTGTAGCACTTTGCAGAAGTGCTTTCCTCTTTCATGATAGGTGACCCAGTTTGGAGATCAGGAAGATTTTGTCATCCTTCACATTGCAAGACTTGAAGACTTGCAACTCAAAATGGTATATTTTTTTCTTTTCTTCCAATAGAGAACAATTCCACTCTAGCACTCAAGTATCTAATACTTTTGGGACATGTTGAAACTGTTTCCATTTCATCTGATTTCACTCAGCAATTATTTATAGAACTCTCTGTGAGGTAGGCACCATGCTAAGTATCCTGAGGCTGACAAAGACATCCTTTCTAAGTTGAGGCAGTGACAGAGGGCACAGCAGCCATTGCTAATTGTCCTTGCTGCAGCCTTGTTGGGTGACACCTCTGGCTTCCAGGGCCTCATATTTTCACAGCTTCACTGATAACTCTCTGAGAGGAATTGTCCCTCCCACTAAGATTCCCTTCTAGAAGATGAGTTTTTCCATGAGCATTTTAAAATTTTCTTTGTTGCCTTGTTCATTTTTTTTTCCAACATTTAAAAGAGCAGAAGTGAGGGCGAAGAGAAAGGAGAATATTTAGATCTGAAAAATGCACCAGTCCACTTTTAATCTACTTTTGGGAAGATGATTGTAAGATATTCTGTACCCACTTAGGGATCTCCTGCCCTTCGGATACACATGCCTTAACTACCATCTTGCTAGAATAGAAGGTCCTGTGTTTAGGCATCAAAGAAAGGAATTGCACTGAGAAATTTTAGTGATAATTCTTTTATTGTAATCGTGATTTTCTTCCTCCTGCTAATCTTTTTAAGTGGTATTAAAGGAAGCTTCTTGCCAGGCAGTAATATTCCTCCATGAGCACACGATCTTTTTCCTTATTTGGCACTGGAATTTCATCAGGCTGTATTAGTCTGAGCGAAACATACTCTAGGAATACCTTTTTTTTTTTTTTTTGAGACAGAGTCTTACTCTGTCACCCAGGCTGGAGTGCAGTGGCGCCATCTCAGCTCACTGCAACCTCCGCCACCCGGGTTCAAGTGATTTTCCTGCCTCAGCCTCCTGAGGAGCTAGGACAACAGGCGTACGCCACCATGCCCAGCTAATTTTTGTATTTTTAGTAGAGACAGGATTTCACCATGTTGGCCAGGCTGGTCTCTAACTCCTGACCTGAGGTAATCACCTGCCTCAGCCTCCCAAAGTGCTAGGATTACAGGTGTGAGCCACCGCACCCAGCCAGGAATATCTTTAGAATAGTTCTATAGTTAGGAACGTTGAGACCAGGTAACAAGGGATTTATTCAATGGGATGACAATTTTTATACACCATGCCTGAAGCAAATAAAGGTGATCAGTATTTATATTGCAGTATTCAAATACTCTGGAGCCAAATAGATAGGACTACCTTAAAAATGTTCTTGTACATGTGGGTTTGATCTTAAAGATATTAGGGATGGTAACATACCATTCTATGTATATACATGACCAGGCCTTAGGTTACTTAAGGGTGATGGAATGACCATTGTGTGTGTCTTGTGTCTTGGTGGCCTTCAGTGAATTCTGCATGAGCTCTAGTAGTAACTGCCACTGCTGTAGTATCATGGAAAAAACACTGAACTTAAAATAGTTTTCTTACCTGTAACAAAATGGACAACAATCTCACAGAGTTTGTGTGAGAATTAAAGGAGAAAATACTTGGGAAGAAGTGCTTTGAAATCTCCATTGCACTCTGCAAAAGCAAGGAAATGCGCTTGTGATCAGTATCATGTTGACGTGGAGTGAGTTACTCCCCAGCTGTTCACGATATGGTCGCCCACAAAGAGCAAGTAGGTCACTTCACCAAACAGAATTCTGTATGTATTACAGAAACTCCCAGGCTGAGTCACCAAGTAAAATGAAGGGCAGTGTGCTCTATTTAAAATGTTCATTTCATTTTCGCATTCCATTCTTTACTAACAGAATGGTTTCACTTCATTTCCAGTCACTTTCATTTTCAGGTTGTCAAGCTTCACTTAGTGTCAGTTGTGTTCCCACACTCAAACATGTGCCTTGTCTTCCTTGATCTTCTCTCTGAGGATGTTTCTCTGACTAATGTGCTGTGGTCAGAACAAGAGCATTGCCACATGGTGCATTTCCTAGGTAGGCATGTCTAAAATCATTAAGTGGCCTAGCTCAGAACATTCTTTGTGACCCTTTCCCCTCCCCACCCAGTGCCTAGTGACTGATTTATCTGAATATAAGGCTACTTCCACTTTTAGTTCAAGGGCCTTGCTCCCTGCCTGCAAGAATCTCTCTAATCACATTGCCCTCCCTCCACCCGCTTTCCCCATTGAAACCAATGTTTGGAGAAGATAGAAGAATGAAAAGAACATCTCAGGTCCTGTTTTTGTACCACCTTCACTATTGTAGCACCTCTTTTGTGTTGCCAACTGAATATGGTATACATGGCTTTAAGGGGGAAAAAAGAAAAATAAAACATAAGAAAGTAGGAGAGCTCCTAGCTTTCTTAAATGAATTAAAGGCCTTAGGCCAGAGTGAATTATATTATAGATTGTAGACTAGATATGGTGGGGAAGGTTACTCAACAACTTGGTTGGGAAATAAATTAATATATAAAACCATCAGATATCAGAGCATAGTTGTGGAAAGTCACCTAAGGAAAGTCATTGTCTCTAGGCCAAAGACTGGCCTAGACGTAAGTAATGCACCAGTGTGTCAGAAAGGGGGTTGGTCGACATCAGAAGCACCCAGAGGCAAACACTGGTTGTGCCCTGTACCCACAGTAACTGTCCATAGAAATGTGAATGTTGGTAGTCTTCAAAGTTTCAGTGTCACTGGCAAGTCCTTCTTTGTTGGAAATTCAATTTAACATTCAAGTTCTATAGCAAATGCCTCCTATTATGATGTCTTGTGTTTACAGTTTGCCTCTGTAAGTAGAACCCTCTAAAGGGAAAAATGCTCTGGTCAGATTGTTATGGTCTGTATGACAGATACATAACTGTTGTAAATCAACACATTGGCATTCTCGTTTGCTCCACCAGTTTGTTGTGAACTTCGTCAGGGGAAGGCATCATGCCTAAGTCTATTCAACTCTGGGATACTGACAAGGTCAAATTTCTGTGCCTGCAAGGCTGGGACTGGACCCAAGCTGTACAGTTCATACAATGAAATAGTGCCATTTAGTAAAAAAGGGAGATAATATGGCACTTGGTTGGAAGTTTGGCTCTAGAATCTGATTGAACTGGGTTTGAATACTAGGTCAGCCACTTACATGCTGTATGACCTAAGACCCCGCTCTAAAAAGGATATTATCTTTACACTGACCTCAGAGGGCTGTTTTGAGAATTAAATTAGACAATCCATGTAAAATACTTGACTCAGAGCCTTACATAGAGCTGTTAGCAGCAGCAACAACAGCAGCACCAGCAGCAAGGTAAATACCACCATGTGTGTCCTTTGGGTGGTCAGCAGTTTGCTGAACAATTTGGACTGGTTTAGAACCCTCCTAACTCACTACTGGGGACTTTCCATTGGAACCACAGCACTGGGTAGTGACAGAATTTGCCAGTGTAATCACATCATTTATGAGAAATGATAGCAATAGGGTTTGGTGTCATAGTAATGGAAAATGGCACTGGACACTATCCTAATTTTGAAGAAATGGAGTGAAGAAGAAGACATGTTCCAGAATGCACAGGACATTGATCTTCAGCAAATTTTTAGAGTGGATTACTGAATGATTACGTGTGAGAAAAATGTGATTATTAGGAGTCAATATGAGCTCATTGAAAACAAAACATTCCTATTTCTAACATCCTTAAAGTCTTTCACAGTTCATCTTATTGGTTATGGAAATGTCAAGGGATAGATTTTTATTTCTGGGAGGAGTTTGGCTAAGATTTTTATGATACTCTTGTTGTCTTGTTGAGGTTAAGTAGATTCATAGCTGGTTGAACAAATGTCCACTGGCAGTTTTGACCTGATGGATGGACTAATGTCCATCTGGAGAGGGGTCCTCAGGGTAAGCCTCAGGAACCTGTCTAGTGATGCTGTTCTATCCAATTTTCTCATTAAAAATTTCTGACGAAAGCACAAATAATGTGCTTTTGCAACAAGTGAGATAGGATTTTTTAAAGATCTGTGTAGGTTGATGGGCGGATTTGCTAATAACAACCATATGTAGCATTTATTGAGTACTTACTGTGTGCCAGGCAAAATGCTAAATGTGTTGTATGACTTCTCTCATTTAATCCTCACAGTGACCCTCTGAGGTGTATACTAGTAATATTCCATTCTATAGATAGATGTAGAGGCACAGATATGCTAAGTCATTTACCCAAGTCCCACAGCCAATAAGAGGCACAGATGGCAGAGGACCATTTGTCTATCACCAAAGCCCATGCTCATAACTGTATTATGCTACTAGAACCAGTGAGTCAGAATTTTACACAGATTAATGTAAAGTCCTAAGCTAAGGTTAACAAAATAGTATGTTAAGTCTTGAAGGAGGAAGCTTAGGTTGATAGCAAGTAATAAGGAAAAGATTTAGGGACATTAGTTGGTGGGAAACTCAATGTGATTCAATACTAACGTATACCTACTTTTAAAAAAGAACAACTAATAGGAGGGTGCATTATTAGAATATAGCATCATGGATCATGGTGGCAGTAGTTCTTCTCTAAGAGTCCATGTCCAGAGTACTAGGTCAGGTCTGTCATTAAGGGGGTCCTTGACCATTATAATCAGGAGAATAAGAGGTCTGGATTTACATCCTAAGAGGAAAAACGGTGAACTAATGTCAGGCTGGAAAAGAGAAAAACCAAAGAGGAATATGAAGACAACCTTCAAATATTAACATAGTTACATGATGAGAAAGAGTAGATGCCATTGGTGTCTAAGAGAGTAAAAAAATCACTTCTCATTCCCTGTTGAGAAATGGACTCTGGCATCAGGTTGATGGAGAACAAAATGTCAGCTTTATTCCAGTAAAACCATATTAGAGAATGTGGCCTGATCTGTGGCTACAATCAGGCCTTTTATACCCTTCCCTAGTTAAACACACTCTCAGAGTCAGGTAAGGCCCTGGACAACTGTTGTTTGCAGGAGGAGGGCAGTTCCTGTGTGAAGGAGAAGGAGAAAGTGTGCATCCTGAAGCCAGGGGTGCACCTGACTTCTCGACTGTGAATGAGAGAGGAGGAAACCTAGTTCATATCTGCACAAAAATTCTTTTTGGTATCCTTGAAGTGGGCTGAAACAAAAAAGATCAAAATGTTACTCTAGCAGGAGGCCACTCATGGAAACCTTAGGCAGGGGAATTGTGTTACCCCTGGTACTTACCAACTTTAACTTCAGTGGGGCAACCAAGCCAATGGAGCACTCTTATCTCTGAAATGTTTGGCCTCTGTACAGAATGATGTGAAAAAGAATCTTCTAGCATGGGGAGGTGGAGGGGAGGGATGTCTAGATTACTTCTACGGCCCCCACTCCCTAAGATTCTTTTGAAATCAGTTAAGACACGCATAAATAAAAAAACTCCAAGTAAAGCATGTCAGTATTTTAAAGGCTTATTTGTTTGAGCAATGAGAGATGATCAGTGTTCTAAGTGCTATGGTTCATCATGTTCTGGAGGTGGCTTTGTTCCAACTGTTTGTTCACGAGTGTTTTGAGTTAAAGGGAATTACAGTCTACAAATTTATGCACATGGCACTTCACAGAATAGAAGAGGCCAACTTCTGGCCTCTTATACCCACATGCAACAAATACAGCTCGTGTCCTTCCCCCAGGACTCAATTTGTAAGCCTCTTTATTGCATTGTGCTGTAGTAAAAAATTCTCAGTTTTGTGGGCAACCTGTGAAACCAGCCTTCTTTTATTTCAACTTTGTTGTTTTGCCTTTATACTGTGAATTAAATGAATCCTTGGGGGTTCTAATTATATTATGGAAAAAAGAACTTGATATTCTGAGAAGCTGAAGAACAATTTGTTTTCCTCAGCTAGGTATTTAGGACTTTTAGGATTTAGTTACCATTTTCAAAAAACTTGAAGAAGATTAATTATCTCCATTGCCTCAAATGACAAAGATAGTATGTTCAATTCTCTCCTGAGTTATCATCATAATAACCCTATATTCTTAATATGGCCTTTTATATTTTACAAAGTTTCTCAATAGGGAATGAGAAGAAAGTGATTTTTTAATCTCTTAGACACCAATGGCGTCTACTCTCCCTTATCATATAACTATCTTAATATTTGAAGGTTGTTTTCATCTTCCTCTTCAGTTTTTCTCTTTTCTCTTTTACCACAATAATCATCACAAATAATCCTGTTTGGAAGGTGGAGAAGAGGAAGCAAGACAGATATTATTGTACCCATTTCAGAAATAAGGAGAATGGAACTCAGAGAGTGGTGGTGGGAACAATTAACAAATGTTTTCTGAGCACCAATCTGTTCCAACTACCTGCAGTAGTGCATTTAATCCTTATAATAGTTCCGGGAGTTAGGTGCTATTATCCCCATTTTGAGATGAGGAAACTGTGGCTCAAAGTGTTAGTTGCCCAAGGTCATGCAGTATTAAGTAGAAGAACCAAAATTAGACCCAGGCTTTCTGGTTCTGAAATCCATACTCTTAAGCACTAGGTTGTTACCACTGGAGAGGTTATGAACGTGCCCAAAGGCACTGGCTGCCTAGTAGCTGAGGCAGGGCCAGAACCTGTCTTTAGACTGCTTAGCACATCTTCTAGATCCTGTAGCTGCTTCACTGGTTTTCATTAACTTTGGGGTTTTTCAATACAAAAAGAGGAAACAAATGAAAGCTGAGCCGAATTTTGCTTTTGTAACATAGAGGAACTTACTCAGTACCAAGGATAATCTGAGGCTCTTATGGGATTTTTTTAAGTGCCCAGTGTTGTTTCATATTCTGTTTATTCTTCACCACCACCACCAGTAAATGCAGGTGGTTCTTGTCTCATAGTGATTCACATGTGGGTTTATGCCAGGTACACCTATTTTACTACTTTTGGCATTTATAAGGGCAATATGTTTCTGAACTAATTTGGGGAAAATAAGTTCTTATATTAATTGTAGCAGAAAAACAAATGGGAAAGTCAGTGAGGTTCAATGCAAAGAGCTCAGACCAACCTTTGGCATCAGCCCAAGCAGAGTTGGAAATCCCAGCTTAGTCTCTTCCTAAAAGAGGGACTTTAAGTGAGTTACTGAAGCTCTCTAAAAACCTATTTCTTTATTTTAAACTGGAGATAACACTTGACTCATGCGTTGCGTTTGTTAGAGAGAACAAATGAAAAAGGTCGTTAAGGGTTTATTGGCAGTGAACTGTATGGTAGGTGCTGTGCTTGTGTTTGCTTCACTTAATCCTCATGACAGCCCTAGGAGATAGGTATTATTATCACCTCCTGACAGTTAAGGAAATTGAATCTTAAGGACATGTGATAACTTTCCTAAAGTGAACTCTACCTTAATGTGTTGGAAAAGAGTGTAGCAAATCAAATATATCATTCAGTTTCTCCAAAGCCATGAAATGTCTTTAAGTCTCCCTGAAAGATTTCCCAAATAAGGCTGTCAAAGTCTTCTTAAAGAATCCCATCTAAGTTCTATTATCCCAGTGGTTCCTTTATCTTTTTATTTCTTGCCATAAAATTAAATCTAGAATTACAAAGAAGTATTTCAAAGTATATATAATATTCCTCTGTTTTATGGATTTACATATCACCTCCTCCATCAGCAGGGATTAGGAGGGGTGTAAATACTTGGATAGGGCTCTTTTCCTTGGACTTCCTCACCTCCATCAACAGGGGTCAAGAGGAGCCTGGACAGTAATCCCTGTCCGACCCCCCTCTCAGCCTAATCACTACTATTTGCCTCAAACAATCTTATTTCATGAGGCCTTTGATCAATGTTGAGATTAGTCACTGTAAGAAGCCTGACTTGTAGGAAACCTTTTACCTCCCAGACTCTAATTCTTCTATTCCGTTTCTCCCCAAGTCCTGTGTCCTCTGGAATTCAGAATCTGTCATTGGCAAGATCTCCTGTGTTCTCAACCCCTTCTCAGAACAGTCCTTTCACCTTCCCACTCTAAACTGAACTGTGGCTGTCGCCTAAGGATGCTGCCTCCCCTGCTGCTCTCCTAAGTGGTGGTAGTGTTATCTTCCCCAGTCTCCTATGACAAGGCCTGGAGGTGGGCTAGGTGTCCTCTTTCTTGTTCCCCACTGCTGCTTTCAGACCATTCTTCATCTCCTCTTTTCTAAATCCAGCCCTCCTCCCCCTTAAAATCTTATGTTATCAGTTATCTATAGACCTCTGTGAGCTTAATCCTACGCAATGTAAAGGCATATCTTTCTGGCCAATCAATATGGAGTTTATGGCACTTTTATAAAGAAAGTGGATAATGGCCTCCTGATCAAGAACATAACTGCTATTTTCATTAGTCGGTACTCTATGATGCGGGTGCATGGTCCAGGGGAAGTGGGTTCAGGCCCATCAGACTGACTGAGAGTTGAGTTCTTTACCCACTCAGAGTCAAGAATTGTGGTATGGGGGGAAGCACTGTGTGAAGCATCCTACAGGGGTCTGTTCTGAACACTGAAAATGTACAGTCCCTGTCCCAGAGTGGCATTCTCAAGATTTTTTTCTTGATGGGACTTGTGTGGCTATGGGCCAAATTAAATTTAATATAAGCCTGACTCTCATAGCCTTTGTAGAGGAATGAAACCAGAAGAATTTGGAGCAGAGAGTCGGGCACTCATAGAATATTTTTCTAAAACAGAGGAAGTCATGGAAGACTCAGGGTCTAGAGTATAAAGTGTTTGTTACTTAACTTTGAAAGGACAACTTTGTATAATTTAGCAAAGCCTTCTTGTTTAAGATTAGTCTCTAATAAGTAAGAGGGCCTTGCTGGATTTCTTCATAATTCTCAGTAGTTACCAGAAGTCAGAACTATTCCTTATCTGTAAGTAACAGGTCTTTAGATTATAGACCTAGTGGGGATATAACTTTAATGTTGTACAGTTAAATCAACTTCACACTATTTACAAGACATGTCATACAACACTGAAAACAAGAAATTAGAGTATGTGGAAACTATGCTACTAAAATTAAGCAGCATAAGGAAAATTAATGTAAGCCTATAAGTCACAGCTTGACTTCTGTTTCAGCAGCTGACCCAGAGGCAATGAAGCCAAAAACAATTTTAAGACCTGTTCTGTTCTGACTTGTAAAGATTATTTGATGTTAACCCCATACCCTTATCCCCTTTCCAAGTGAGTACCAGGGGTTAGGAAAAAGATATAATATTGCCTGGCTCATTTCTAATCAAACTTTAATGCTGGCTTCAGCAAGGCCAGATGCCTACTTTTTGTAAATATCATTGGCAGTTGGCAGTACATTTCATTAACAGTTTTTATGGCTATCAGTAGTATTTTTGATACTCTGAGGATGAGCACTAGAGAAATATGTGCTTGCTGAAAAGCCTGCTAATCTCTGTGTGATAACTTAATTTTGCTATTACCTGAATGTAAGTGCTATTGATGTGGCATTAGCATTGATTTCATAGCTATTTAATAAAGAGACAGAAACTTCAAATGCATAATTATGACATCAATATATGAATCTTTCTTTAGAGATGAAAAACACATAGTTAAAAACTGTGAAAAACTGCCCTGCTTATATCAGAAAACTTATACTTCTCTGTTGAAAAAATAGGCAACTAAAATAGTTTACAATATAATCTAAAAGGATGAATTGGTGGAATTTTCAGTATAACTGGAAGGTATGATGTGTTAGATAGTGGGGAGAGTGTATATATATTATCAAGCCACAATATTACAACCTGACACTATTAGATATAATAGATTATGCAGCCAAAAATGTGGTCATGGACAGTGATAGGGGAGCAGAATGGTTCGGTAAAGTACCAAGTCTGGTGACAGGACAATGGGAAAATTTCTGCAGCCTGATGGTCTGGGTAGTTGGATATAAGTCTGACAGCAGAGATACTTTCATATTTAGGGAAAACCTGCAAAATACTGAAAAGATTAATAAAGAGAAAGGGAACTTCTAAATAGCTAAAACTCCCGGCAGAGCAGCATAGCTGACAGAGCACCATAATCTTGCGTATCAGAGCTTCTCAATTCCTTTGGAACAGGAGAATTTGATAATTTTTTTCTCCCATGAGGATGCACTATGAAGGAAACCGCTAGGAAATTGGAATTATTTTAAAGTGATTATTTTAACATTAACTTGGTAGACTTCATCTATTCCATAGCATTTCTTTTCTTTTATCCCATTCAATTGCATCCTCTCTATAGGATTAATGCACTCTTGAAAGTGTCACCTTCTAGCCAGTGGCCAACTAACACAAAACCAATTCACTAAACAAAAACACAACAAAGGACCCTCAGAGAGTCCACTTCACTCCCTGCTACCTCCACTGGAGCAGGTACTGGTATCCTCGGCTGCAAGACCTGAAGACAGATCACATCACAGGACGCTTTGCAGACACTCGCCAGTACCAACCCAGAGCCCAAGAGCTCCACTAGATGGCTAGGCCCAGAAGAGCCAAAACAATCACTAGAGTTTGGCTCTCAGGAAGCCGCATTCCTGAGAGCGGAGCACCACCTAAGGGAGCACCCCGTGTCCCAAAGAATCTGAACAGCAGCCCTTGAATCCCAGATCTTACCTCTGACATCGTCTACCCAAATGAGAAGGAACTAGAAAAACAATTCTGGTAATATGACAAAATGAGGTTCTTTAACACCCCCAAAAGATCATACTGGCTCACCAGCAATTGATTCAAACCAAGGTGAAATCTCTGAATTGCCAGAATAATAACTATAATAATTCAGAAAGTGAATTATTAAGCTAATCAAGGAGGCACCAGAGAAAGGTGAAGTCCAACTTAAAGAAATCAAAAACATGATACAGGATATGAAAGGAAAATTCTTCAGTGAAATAAATAGCATAAATAAAAAACTCTCACAACATCTGGAAATCAAGGACACACTTAGAGAAATGAAGTCCCAGCAATAGAATCAAACAAGCAGAAAAAAGACCTTCAGAGCTCAAAGACAAGGTTTTCAAATTAACCCAATCCATCAAAGTCAAAGAAAAAAGAATTTTTAAAACTGAACAAAGCCTCCAAGAAATTTGGTACTATGCTAAGCATCCAAACCTAAGAATAATTGGTGTTCCCAAGAAAGAAGAGAAATCTGAAAGTTTAGAAAGCGTATTTGAGGGGATAATTGAGGATTAAGTGGGTTTCAGATGCAGAGATGGTTTAACATATGTCAGTCAATAAATGTGATATACCACATAAACAGAAATAAAATTAAAAATCACATGATCACCTCAAGAGACACAGAAAAAGCATTTGACAAAATCCAGCATCCCTTTATGATTAATACCCTCAGCAAAATCGGCATAGAAGGGACACACCTTAAGGTAATATAAGCCGTCTATGACACACACACAGCCAACATTATACTGAACAGGGATAAGTTGAAAGCATCCCTCATGAGAACTGGAATAAGACAAAGATGCCCACTTTCACCGCTTCTATTCAACATAGTACTGGAAGTCCTAGCCAGAGCAGTTAGACAAATAAATGGCATCCAAGTCAGTAAAGAGGAAGTTAAACCATTGCTATTTGCCAATGATATGATGGTATACCTAGAAAACCCAAAAAGACTCATCCAAAAAGCTCTTAGAACTGATAAATGAATTCAGCAAAGTTTCAAGACACAAAATTAACATACACAAATCAGTAGCTCTGCTATACACCAACAGCAGCCAAGCTGAGAATCAAATCAAGAACTCAACCCCGGCCAGGCATGGTGGCTCACACCTGTAATCCCAGCACTTTGGGAGGCCGAGGCAGGCAGATCACGAGGTCAGGAGATCGAGACCATCCTGGCCAACGTGGTGAAACCCTGTCTTTACTAAAAATACAAAAATTAGCTGGGCATGGTGGCGCACACCTGTAGTCCCAGTTACTCAGGAGGCTGAGGCAGGAGAATCACTTGAACCTGGGAGGCAGAGGTAGTGAGCAGAGATCACGCCACTGCACTCAATATGTGAAAATGACCATACTGCCAAAAGCCCTCTGCAAATTAAATGCAATTCCCATTAAAATACCACCAACATTCTTCACAGAACTAGAAAAAACAATCCTGAAATTCACATGGAACCAAAAAAGAGCCTGTGAGTCAAAGCAATACTAAGCATAAAGAACAAATCTGGAGGCATCACATTACCCAACTTCAAACTATAAGGGCATAGTCACCAAGACAGCATGGTACTGGTATAAAAATAGACACATAGACCAATGAAACAGAATAGAGAACCCAGAAATAAAGACAAATACTTACAGCCAACCGATCTTTGACAAAGCAAACAAAAACATAAAGTGGGAAAAGGACACCCTATTCAACAAATGGTGCTGGGATAATTGGCAAGCCACATGTAGGAGAATGAAACTGGATCCTCATCTCTAACCTTATACAAAAATCAACTGAAGATGGATCAAAGACTTAAAGACCTGAAACCATAAAGATTCTAGAAGATAACATCAGAAAAACCCTTCTAGACACTGGCTTAGGCAAAGACTTCATGACCAAGAACCCAAAAGCAAATGCAACAAAAACAAAGACAAATAGATGGGACTCAATTAAACTAAAAAGCTTCTTCACAGCAAAAGAAATAATCAACAGAGTTAACAAACAACCCACAGAGTGGGAGAAAATCTTTACAAAATCTATACATGTGACAAAGGACTAATATCCAGAATCTAAAAAGAACTCAAACAAATCATCAAGAAAAAACAAACAATTCCATCAAAAAGTGGGCTAAGGACATGAATAGACAATTCTGAAAAGAAGATATACAAATGGCCAATAAGCATATGGAAAAAATGCTCAACACCACTAATTATCAGGGAAATGCAAATCAAAACCACGACGTGATACCACCTCACTCCTGCAAGAATGGCCATAATCAAAACATAAAAAAATAATAGATGTTGGCATGGATGCGGTGAAAAGGGAACACTTTTACACTGTTGGTTGGAATGTAAAATAGTGCAACCACTAGGGAAAACAATGTGGAGATTCCTTAAAGAACTAAAAGTAGATCTACCATTTGATCCAGCCATCCCACTACTAGGAAAAGAAGTCATTATATAAAAAAGATACTTGCACATGTGTGTTTATGGCAGCACAGTTTGCAATTGCAAAAATATGGAACCAGCTAAAATGCCCATCAGTCAATGAGTATACAAGGAAATGTGGTATATGTATATACCATGGAGTACTACTCAGCCATAAAAAGGAATGAAATAACGGCATTCACAGCAACCTCGATGAAATTGGAGACTATTATTCTAAGTGAAGTAACTCAGGAATGTAAAACCAAATATTGAATGTTCTCACTCATATGTGGGAGCTAAGCTAGGAGGACACAAAGGCATAAGAATGATGCATGGGACTTTGGGGACTTGCGGGAAAAGGTTGGGGTGGCGAGAGATAAAAGAGTTCACATTAGGTACAGTGTACACTGCTTGGGTGATGGGTGCACCAAAATTTCAGAAATCACCACCAAGGAACTTACTCATGTAACCAAACACCTCTGTTCCCCAAAAACCTATTGAAATAAAAAAAATAAATTAATAAATTAATGTTTGTGTTATTCAAATACCCATAGGAGAAGTAATCTCCTTGAGACTGGAGCTCCATTTTCTTCACTTTTCTATGCCTGGAAATACCTCACAAAATGACTACAGAGTAGTTACCCAAGAGGTATTTGTTGACTCGTTATCTCTTACAGAATTTTAGATACCATCTATACTTCTTTTCTTACTGTACATTTTCCCTGGGTGAGCTCTCATTTATTCCTGCGGATGCACACATACCCTGACCAGTCACAGATCTCTACCTCCAGCTCAGGCTCTTCTCCTGAGCTCCAGCCCCACGTGTCCAAGTGTCTGCTGGGAATCTCCTAGATGTTGTGGGCTAACTCCAACTCAGAATGCCCATGTCTGAACTGTTAGTATTTCTTTCCAGAATGGCCATTTCTTACACTTCCCCTACCTTGGCTAACAGGAAAATCGTTATCTACTCAGTTGCCTAAATCACAATTTTGAGGCGTAGAAACTTTCCCTCGTCCTTTCCTCCCATTTTTAATCAAACATGTTTACATTCTTCTTTTTCCTTCTGGTTTAGGATCTCCTCCAAGACGGTTTCTGTCTCATTACTTATTAGCCTTGCCTAGGCCAAGGCTTGATTTAGGATATGTATGTTTTTAATACATGTCTAATGAATGGGAATTTTTTGTAGCTTTTAGATTTTCTGTTGAGAAACACACATAAACACATACTCACAAACACGTGTGTGCCTGGAAGCACATACATGTAGTATTCACCCAAGTCGTCCAAGTTCACTGAGTCCTGTCCAGACCTTTAATTCTCTCAGTTTATTTGTGAGATTGTTGTGTGGCACAAGCTTACAGGCATGTGTAATTGTTAAGGGAATATGGATTGAGAACTCTGCCATGATAACTCATAGCTCCTTCTGGGTAGTTAAGCCTTACATCCCATTCTGCCAAACCCTTCTCAGACATTCAACCATTTTCTTTCTCCCTTGTTAACAAATTTTTTAAAATATTTTTTAAAAGGAAAGAAAAGAAAATCCTACCTTATGAAATCATCTTGGCCTTGATGAGAATCTTGGCCTTGATGAGCTTAGATTCTCAATTGACTATTTTCCATTCTGTCACTAAGATGTATTTGGAAAACAACAAATAACCCCTGAGCCCTGCTATTGTTTCTTTATGGTTTATGTTTCATGCTGTGCTGCTTAGCCAGCAGGGAGGGAGGCTTAACTGACAAACCCAGTTTTTGTAGCTGTGCTGATATCATCCACAATTCAAAGCCACAGTGAAAAATTACAAATCAGCCTCAGCCATGTTTTTTTGTTGTTCTTCTTACTGAGAAACACACATGCACAGACAAAGAAGTTCCATGTTTGCTGAGTGGGACCAAGCAATCTTGGTGTAGAATGAAGAAAAAATGGTGAAACTATGGAGGGTGAAATTATTTAAACTGTAAAAAGCAAATGACTTTGTTTTCCGGATCTTTTATACCACCTCCTTTGATGCAGCCTGCTTCCTGCATGAAGCCTGTTTTGTTTGTTACTTGTTTTCTTATCCTGAGATTGCGCTAAAATTGCATGACTCTGTTACAATTCTTGGATAACTTTTCAAGAACCACTTTGGAAAAATTATTGTACAATAGTATCTCTCTGGAATCCAGTTTTATTCTCTCCCAGTCACTTACTTTGCCAATGGCCCATTAGCTGTGTAAGTGATGTAGCTCTTCCTTTTTTCACTCATGGATTACTTCTGCTTGGCATATCTTCTTTCACCTTGAGCAGCAGTCAAAATTTTACTTATTTCTTAATATTCAACTTAAATATCACCTTTGTGAAAAGCCTTTCGGGTTCATATTATTATGATCTATTCATATTTATTCAGTTCTCTAGTAAGTACTGTATGCATAAGTAGGCATCTGATAAATATTTATTAAGTTGATATTAACATATGGCTTAAGAAATTGCTAATTTTATAATACAGTAGTTTTATTTTTTATGCAAACAACAAAAGACATCTTAAAAAGCTATTCTTTTTTTTTTGAGAAGGAGAGTCTCACTGTGTTGCCCAGGCTGGAGTACAGTGGCGCAGTCTTGGCTCACTGCAACCTCTACCTCCCAGGCTCAAGCAATTCTCTGCCTCAGCCTCCCGAGTAGCTGGGATTACAGGTGTCCGCTGCCACGCCCAGCTAATTTCATATTTTTAGTAGAGACGGGGTTTCACCATCTTGACCAGGCTGGTCTTGAACTCCTGATCTCGTGATCCACCCACCTCGGCCTCCCAAAGTGCTGGGATTACAGATGTGAGCCACTGCGCCCGGCCCAAAAAGCTATTTTCTTTTTAAGCCTCAACAATACATATTAAAAAATACAAGAGAAAGAATGTTTGTTAAGAAAAAAATTTAGACATACAAGTGTGCAATTTAGAGAAACTTTTTTTCTAAAATATTATAAATTTAGAAAAATTTTGCAAACAGAAAACACTGTAGGGACAATATATGATAAGTAAATTGTACTTCAGCAACTCATTGCTTTTTAGATACCACTGAATTATTTGCACTAATGGAGGAACATTGTTATACCAACCTATTTATATTTGATCCACATTTTAAGATTCCTGTTCAGCTTATTTACTTTCTTACTTATGTCTTATCTGGATTCTTATTAACGTTAGTTCTCCCTTACTTGCTTGGAGGAGAAATCATTAGAAACATGCTGAGAACTGGGAGATGGCCACTTCAAGTTTAAATTTGCTATGAAGAAGCTACCAATAACCTTCTTTCAGTCTAAATTAAGGTGGCCTGTAGTTTTACAACCCAAAGCATGATTGTGGGATGCTAATTTAGGGAACTATTCTGCAGAAACCATGACACAATCAGCTTGCTGGTCCGTATTTAGAACCATACTTGGAAATTGTGCTCAGGTCTGCAATTTGTAATTCATGGGTAGGGGTTGAATCTAGAGGTGGCTGAGAGTTCAGCCACAAAGGTGATAAAAGGATTGGGAAAGAACTATGAAGGAATTTAAAGAAACTGGGATTAGCTTGGAAAGAGAGGAAGATAAAGAGCAATTTAATCGCAATCTTTATGTACATAGAGAAGCTTAGCGGAACACAGTGACCAGTGTTTTCTGCCTCACCTGAGGACAACACAAGAGGCTTAAACTGCAATATGAGGGATTTGGGATAGGCATAAGGAAGTATCTACTAACAAGCAAAATTGGAGTAGACTACTGAGAAATATGGTAGAATTTCCATCTCTGAGGACTGAAAATGTATATATTCTATTCCTTTCGAGTGTTTTAAGGTAAATCTTGCTCAAAGATGTTGACCTGAACTTGATGGCTTCCTGGAAATCCATTCATTGTGTGACATTACTGTTTTTAGAAGCTTCTTCATAGATGGCAGGGAGGAGCAAGTACACCAATCAAGTCACGGGCAGTGTGATATGGAGAAAAGGGCTCCAGGCTGAGAGGCAAGGGAACTTGATTGCTGTCTCTGATGTACTGCAATTAGTTGAGTGTTCTTATACTTGTCACTTAACTCCTCTGTGCTTCGGTTTTCTAATCTATAAAATGAGGGAGCCAACCTAAATGGCTCAAAAAGGAGTTTAAAAGTAAGAAAGCATAATATTCAGTAAACATAAGCTAAAACCCTCTCCCGGGCCAGCCACGGAGCAAGACTTCTTCACGTATTATCTTCTAGAGCATCTCATCTGATATAGTTTGATTGTGTCCCCACCCAAATCTCACCTTGAATTGTAGCTCCCATAATTCCCACGTGTTGTGAGAGGGACCCGGTGGGAGGTAATTGAATCATGGTGGTGGGTCTTTCCTGTGCTGTTTTCATGATAGTAAATAAGTCTCACAAGATCTGATGGTTTTATAAAGGGGAGTTCCCCTACATAAGCTCTCTTGCCTGGTGCCGTGTAAGACGTAACTTTGCTCCTCCTTGCCTTCTGCCATGATTGTGCAGCTTCCCCAGCCATGTGGAACTGCAGGTCCATTAAACCCTCGGGTATGTCTTTATTAGCGCATGAGAACATACTAATACATCCTCCAACCCATTTTACAGGTGAGCAAACTGAGGGCCAGAGAGACTAAGTGACTTGCCAGTTTTACATAGCTAGTTTCAGTTCTGGGTAGAACCCAAATCTCCTGACTCCTAGGCCAGGACTCATTTATTTTACTGAGCTAGGTCTTTGATAATCATGCTTTGATACAGTCTTTGAGAATCCATTCTAGTTTTTCTTTACTTCGTTTCTTTTTTTCTTCCAGAAATGTTTATTATGCCCTACTAAATGATAGGCACTATGTTAGGTACAGAATGGAACTCTGATGGACTCTTCCAGGATTTTAAATTCAAAACTCAAGTGTTTCAGTTAGTGAAGGAGGCTTCTGGATCTTTCCAGGCATGTAGATGTCTTTAAAGATGCAATCAGGCCTCCTCGTCACAAGTGTGTGGCCAGAGATGGAGAAACAAAAGATTGACATAAGTATCCTCCAAGGTTTGGAGTCACTTCTGGCTTTGCCTAAGAAGGCAGTAGGGCACTCTTGCCTTTCTTCAAATAGTCTCTTCCCTTTCTCTCCCTCCAGGCCCCAGATATGGATGCTTAGCATGACTTAGGCGAAACTTTTCCAACTCCCACAACTGCACCCCTGTTCTCTCCTTGGGGTCCAAGGCCAGTTATTCAGTTTGAAGACTGCCTGGGTTTAAATCCTACTTTCCCACATACCAACTGTTGACCTTAGATTAGTTACTTAATGCATTCTGTGAAATGGCAGTAATACTGATATCCACCTCAGAGGGTTGTTATAAGAATTAAATAAAACAATTCCAGTAGAGCTGTGATTCTTACTAAAAAAGTAATAAGTGTTAGCACTCAATAAGTTTTAGCAATTTATATTAATATTTCCAATGTAGCGATAATACTGTCCTCCTCAGCAATGGTCCCTTCAGCCCAGTTTTGAGACCAAACCCCTCCCAGGTCTTTTTAAATTGTGCTTTTTTCTTCAGGGTCCGTCAACTGGGGTATATTTCTGTTTGGAGACAGTGTACAGACACTTACATATTCAGATTCTATAGTCTGACCATCCTAAGTTCAAATCCCTGCTCTAATGTATAATTGGAGGAAACCTTCCTGTAAGTATGATGGGCATGCCTACATAACGGCTTTGAAATACATGTGCTGGCCATTCATGAATTTAATTTTGTTCCTTTAGAACCATTTAACAGAGCATATTATTATGCCATTAATTATTATTAGTAGTAATAATAATGATAGTCATTATGTATTAAGGGCCTACTCTGTGTTAGCACTGTGCTAAATGTTTTGCATACATTATATCTAACTTTTACAATAACCCTCTAAAGTAAGTTGTTTCATCCCCCTTTTATACCTGAAAAAATTGAGACTAAGGAAGGTAAATAAATTGTCCAAGATTACAAGCTAGTAAGAGACAGAGCCAGAATTTAGTCTGAAAATCAGGTTTCTGTAGCTCCAAAGCCCAAAGCCCATGATCACTATAACTCCTTCCTTACCATCTGAGATGGTAAGGACAAGGCATCTTACCTCTAGGTTGGGAGCTAAAGATCATAATGGTTTCGGCCTTACTAGTATGATTAGCTTAGTGAAAATATGATTCACTTAGTGAAAATATTTATCAGCTTAATGAAATTTTATTAGCTTAATGAAACTTTCATTAGCTTAATGAAAAGATTTTCTCTTGCTGGCAAAATAATTCATGTACTGCTTAATCAATGTTGAATCATTATTCTTACTAGATTTATACAACCTATTTCATTGTCTCGCCTTTAACACAGTGTGAAAATTTGCTGAAAAACTGAGAGATGTCATTTTTAGAAACCAACATCTTTGATTTTTTTTTAAAAGAACTTAGTTCTATTCATCATTTTGGGTCCATACCTAAAACAGCTCTTGATGTGTAAGACATGCTTTATAAATTTGTGTTGAATGACATGAATGAATGAGAATTCAGTCTGGTTAAAAACAGCTTTATTTTAAAGCACTTGATACAGTGAAATGAGCTGTGGACACACGTCAAATAATCTATTCTCTAGATTTAGCCTGGCATTGACCCGCTGTGTGACTTACGTCAAGCCACTATTTCTTGACTGGCCCTCACATGCAATTTATCCTTTGCAAAATGATGGGATTTAATCTAAATGATTGCTAAGGTTCCTTCCAGGTCTCAGCTTTTGCAGCTTCCTATAGACTGTGAACATGGGAATACAGTCTGATTTTCTCAGTGACTCATCTGGGACCCTAGAAACTGGCAGATTGGGAAAGAAAACTAATATTCTCTAAAACTGAATTTCTTAACTTACAGATTATAAAACTCTACTTTTTACCATGTCTAAAAATTCAGTATTCGTGGAACAGCTGATATTATCTTTTGCTGATGGGCAAAATTAACAGGCACCTTTGAGACCTAGCTTCATATCTATGAAAATTCATTAAGTTGAAAGTTCATTTGTAAACAAGCTTCTCTAGACAGCTGAGAAGTGATTGTTCTATCTTGCATTGTATATATTTTAATCTTTTGTATTGACCTGTAGTCATCTCACTGGTCAAGCTAACATGTTTTTGATAGCCAAGAGTTGGAAAACCTGGTCACTATTGGCCTAATTGTACTCTTGGACCACCCATGGAACTCTTGGCAATTAGATTTTCTTATAAAACTCTTTCCTAGAGGGCCCTTTGTGGATAAGATGAGCCTCACATTGCATTTTAGAATAGTACGTGCTAAGAAGCAGTGCAAGTAAAAGTGTGACATTATAGAAGATGCCTCTGGCTTACTCATCTTCATTATGACAGGAATTTGCCATTGTCAATGTCTTATATGTTGTAGAATGAGAAAGAAATGACTCTTTGGAGTAGATATCTGCAATAAAATCTGGATTGATCTACTTACAGTCAGTTTCAGAGTAGGCAGTCTCCAGGGCACTGGGAGTAACTAGACTCTGGTCTCCAGGCCTAGGTTCAGCTACATTCCCTACAAGGCCTTTGGCGTGTACCTGTTCAGTTGGTCAGTCACCCTGTTTCCAAACAAAGGACATGGCCCTGAAAACTATACACAACAGGGCAAGATCCTGGCTCTAGTTTGGGATTCGTCATGTCTTTTTAGTTAGGCAAGCCTTCAATTTAGGGGACAGGATCAGAGCTGTGTCATAGATCTCTTATATCTTTGTGCCCTATCTTGCCCTCAAGACTGCCTCATCTCTTTGATTAGTTCCTGATGCTGTCATGGGCTAGGCCACCTTCCTCATTTCCTACTAAAATTTTCACTTTAACTAGGTTGAAGCAACTCATATCATTTCTAGCATGTCACTGAATTCTATCCCTGCTCTTCAGAATCAGTTACACTTTTTCAACTAGGTATCCAGCACTGAGAAGGCACAGAGGAGACCAGGCCTGTAGCCAGTTGAGAGGTTACAAAAAGCATCAAATTGTAGGACAGTCTTATACAGGTGACTTTCTCATTCAGTGTAATGTGGATTATATAAGTTGAGGCTTTTTGATTGCAAGCAATATAAATTACTTTGGCTAACTGAAAGGAAAAAAGAGTAATTTTTGAAGGTATAGAGAGTGTGTCATAGAATTGAAGGAAAAGTAGAACAGATTTTCAGAGTAGGACATCTGTGGGAGTAGAGGAAACAGAAACTAATGGTCACGTCAAGGCACCACCACTGGAATGAGTTCACTCCAGACATTTTCTGTTAAACATCTTTATTGTTTGACTAGTCATTCAGATTCCCAGCAGAGAATCTGACTGGCTTTGATTATAAGCCTACCTCTTAGCCAGGGAAGGCCCTGTACCTTAGATGACAGTCCTACCAGCACTGCCCATAATAAAGGTCAGGGGTGGTTACCCAAAGCCAAGCACTTTTGGTGTTCCTACCAAAAAAAGGACATTCAAAGGCAACAGATGTCTACTACAAAATCTGTTCTATGGGATCTACAGTGAGGGAATAGATTCAGCCTTACAGCTAAAGAAACGGATTGCTATGCAGAGATTTCTGCTTCTTAGGAGTTGCCAAAAAGACCCTTATCCGGCTTAGGAGTTCTTGGCTGTGATTTTAGTGTTCTTTTGTTTCCCAAGTATTTTTAAAATGTAAATCAGTAACTAGCAAGAGGCATCTTTGGTCATTGTAGTTGCTTGGAGTAGAATAAATTTAAAAAATTCTTTGATGTGAGAAAAATTACTATCATCATTATCACACATGGAAGGTCAACATTAGGGCCAGTCATTGGAGTTAAACTGTCAGAAGAACATCCCAGTTACTTTCTCACTTTTGAGTTGTGTAGACTGACAGGATTTGAGTCTTTGAGGGCTTTGACTAGGGTAACTGACCTCAAAACAAATAGCTAGAGGGATATTTCTACTTCTATCCGCTGAGGGATTTGTAGCAAGAAGCCATATTGTGGATGGTATATTTTAATAACAAAGGGGATTTTAAAAGGAGGATGACACATTGATTTGGAATGTTTTCTCAACTGTATTTACTTATTCTTAAATATTTTCCTTCATGCTTTCTTTCTCAAGTGGATGACCAGCTGGTTGCCACCTTTTTCTTCTCTCTTTGCCTCTGTTCCTAATTTCTTTCTTATCCTTAACCACTCCACTTTCCTTCCTCCAATCTTGTTTTCTCTCTAAATCTTTCCTCCAACCTTATTGAATCTCTCCCCTTCTTTTTGTTATCTGGTCATTTGATCTATAATTTCGATTCCTTTTCCTGAAATTCCCTCCTTTTTCCTTTTCCCCTAAACCATCATTCTAGTCCTCCCCACACCCAAGCTTCTTATCTCTTTGCTGTTAATCTCCAATGTGTTTATTGACTTGTGTGCCAAAAGGCAAAATCCCCAGCCCCCTCCCAACCATGCCAGTGCATTGAAAAGCAGCAGCTGTCATTGCTCAACAAGTTCCTTGTGATCTACAAATCAATGGATAAGAATTCTCACAGTGAAGGTTTACATGTATATATTTGTATGTATATATGAGACATGTGACCATGTTTAATGAATGGAGAAGGACTTGGATCTTTTCTAGTAGAGAAGAGAAGCAGAAAGCTTTGCCTAACCCTATTTCTTTACTAAGGTAATGAAAAAATTATACAGGGAAAATAAATGATGTTAATGAGAGAAACAGGGACAGGAGACCAATAAACAATCATCAGGCATGAGAATATCTTGCTGAACTTATTATTGATAGTAGACACAGGAATGTAATATAAATGCAGTGATGGAACAGAAAGCAGACTCAGGAAAGAAAGAGATGATAATAAATAGTAATAAAATCCAAGTGATTCATATGCTCAAGTGAAAGAAAGAAGAAAGAGGGCAGTGTACACAAAGTAAAAGGGCAAGAAAATGGAAGTAGAGTCATCACTCGTAGAGATAAATAGTTGGGAAATATGAGAAGCCTTCCTGACATCAGTAAAATATTACATGTTAAACAGCAAACAAAAGACAACAACAGTGTCTGTAGTACTTTTGGAATATAAAAGTTAGATAATACTAGAGTAGTATCTTCAAAATAAGCAACTTCAGAAATCAAGTCCCCAGTAAAGGGAATTGGAAGAATTTGAATAGATGAAATAAGGAGCAGTGGCAAGTGATACAAACCTTAAGCAGGAAAAGTGATTTTAAATGGTACTGGCAGGTTAACAACTGGCAAAAAGAAAAAAAAAGAAAAGAAAAGCAAGATGGTGCTATATCCCCCAGGTGCTGGGAAACCAACCTGGCCTAAAAAAGGAGCAGACCCACCTAACTTTTTGCCAAGCACTGTGCTAGGTGCATTGCATACACTTTTAATTTAAGCCTCGCTGTACATAAAAGTGAAGCCAAGGTCTGAGAATGATATCCATTGGGAGGAAAAAACAGGAAAATTTTCTGAGCCAGTTCCAAAGTCATAAGGCTCAGGGGGAATAACTTTGACTTTGTCAAGTCAGAGTGAACAGCCAGAGTCAGCAGACATAGGATATTGTCAGAGGTAAATCACCAGCTTGGTCTGGTCTGTCTTATTGCAAGGTCAGAGGACCATAGCAAGCCAGCCAAATGTTTTCAACCATGGAAATCCCCTAACTTTCCAACTGCTGCAGTCCCACAGCTCTGAGCTTTTACTCACAGGATGGCTCCCTTCCAGCTTTCAAATCTCTCCAAGTTGATTAATCATTTTCTTGTTCTGACTCATTCAGGCCTCTAGAAAAATAGCTGTAGGTACTGGAAGGGCTATGTAGATCAAGGAGGTCAGATAAATTGGCTTGATGTTGGTCTATAGAAAAATCTAGAAGATATTGCCAAAAGCTTTTAAGCATACCGTCTTCAGATGCTGGGATGTGGGCTATATCCACAGGCCATTGGCTCATTCATGTGTTTGAAGCAGAATATTTTTGTGTGCATTAGGAGACTTGGGTATGTTCATTTCTTAATGTAATGTTAGATATTGTAAGCTGGTTGTTTAGACAGTAGAATTTCATTGTGACCACTTATTTTTATATCTATTTAGATGGAGTACAGGCCAGATTATAACCCCCTAACAAGAACAGCAACAGTAAACACACAGATAGTGCTTATTATTAGTTAAGCATGGTACTAATATTTTCCCTAAGAGGCCACATTCACAGGACTGAAATGTCAGTTCTGGTTGTCTGAGCCAAGGGCATATATGCTGATTACATTATTTTGTCTGGCTAATACACTTTATCATGAAGCTTATTTTAGAAGAAATGTTCATTTTTAGATTTCTGTTTGTATATTTAGGTCATACTATAAGGTCCATTCTCTTGCTTTTATAATAATTTAGTCTTCTGCTTTATTCATTCAATTCATGAACATTCATTAAGTACCTGAGTATGCTAGTCATTGGAGATGCAGTTGTAACTAAGGCATCACCCCAGACCTGAAGTTTTATGTTGTGTTTTGTGCTTAGTGATTGGCATAAGTAAAATACTTGAGGAAACACAGAAGCAGCAGCAAATATTTCTGCAAAGGAGAAGAGAAAATATTTGAGTTGAAGCTTCAAGAATATATCAACATTTTCCAGTTTGACAAGGGTGGGAGGAGCCCCATCAATACAGGGAACAGCATGTGGAAATGCAAAGAGGTGTGAAAGAGCATAGTATATTCAGGGTGAAAAAATACATTTTTTATGAATTGTAGTAGAAAATGAGCCGAAATAGGTTAAGTTGAGGTAAGATTGTGATGGGTCTTACAGCATACTAAGGCATTATCCTGTAAGTAATAGAAGGGCTTATGGAGGTTTTAAAGAAAGAGAGTAACTTCATTTGATTTCTTTTTTCAGGAAGAGAATTCTGATGATAGTGTAGGGTGGAAAAAAGGGGTAACAAAGGAACCAGTGGGAAAGCTGCTGTATAGTCTGGAAGTGGTAGCAGTAAGAGGAGAGGTGAAGGGACAGATTTGAGATGCATATCAGAAGTCAAATGAGCAGACTACTGTGACTGGTTGGATACAGGGGTGGGTGTTTGAGTGGGACCTCCAGTTAGGAACTCAGATGTCTGGATGGGTCATGCTGCCTTCAACAAGAAATTCAGAGGAAAAGCAGCCTTGGGGAATGATGAGGTCATTTTGTAACATGTTGAGTTTAAATTAAGGCACTAATGAGAAGAGACATTCAGGTGGAGAAGTCCAATGGACGACAATAGTATGGGTCAAGAAAGAAAGCTGAGAAGTATCTGAATTACAATTATGCATCACTTAATGATAGGAATGTGTTCTGAGAAATGAGTTATTAGGTGATTTCAACATTATGCAAACATCATCGAGTGCACTTACAAAAACCTAGATGGTATAGCCTGCTATACACCTTGGCTGGATGGTACAGCCTGTTATTCCTGGGCAGCAAACCTGTAGAGCATGTTATTGTACTGAATACTATAGGCAATTGGAACACAATGGCAAGTGTTTGTGTATCTAAACATAGAAATTAAACAGTAAATATATGGTATAAGAGATCAAAAATGGTATATCTATGAGGGTACTTACCATGAATGGAGCTTGCAGGACTGAAAGCTGTTCTGGGTGAGTCAGTGAGTGCACGGTAAGTAAATGTAAAGGCTTAGGATATTACTGTACACTACTGTAGATTTTATAAACACTACACTTAGGCTACACTAAATTTATTTTACAAATTTTCAACAATAAATTAAGTGTAATTACTGTAACTGTTTGACTTTATAAACTTTTAATTATTTTTAACTTTTTGACTCTTTTGTAGTAAAACTTAAATCAAGCACAAGAGAAAATGATATACAATCAAGAGGTAAACAGGAGATATATGAGGCTGCTGCTGCTGTTACATATAATATTGTTTTACAGTAAAATATTTTTAATATGTAGAAAGAGTACACTGTAAAATAATGATAAAAGTATAGCAGAGTAAAAACAAACCACTAACATAGTCATTTATTATCATTATCAAGTATTATGTGCCGTACATTATTGTATGTGCTGTGCTTTTATATGACTAACAATACAGTAGGTTTGTTTACACCAGCATCACCACAACCACGTGAGTAATATCTTGCACTATATCATTAGGACAGCTACAGTGTCACTACATGATAGGAATTTTTCAGCTCCATTATATTGTTGACCACGTAGCACATAACTGTACTTGAAGCCAAGACAGCCAATTAGATCAAGCAGAAGAGGAGGGGGCCAAGGACAGTAGTGTATTCTGTTTTGCTTTTTTTCCTCTTAAGAGCTGAGATCTTCGGCCGGGCGCGGTGGCTCACGCCTGTAATCCCAGCACTTTGGGAGGCCGAGGCGGGCGGATCACGAGGTCAGGAGATCGAGACCATCCCGGCTAAAACGGTGAAACCCCGTCTCTACTAAAAATACAAAAAATTAGCCGGGCGTAGTGGCGGGCGCCTGTAGTCCCAGCTACTTGGGAGGCTGAGGCAGGAGAATGGCGTGAACCCGGGAGGCGGAGCTTGCAGTGAGCCGAGATCCCGCCACTGCACTCCAGCCTGGGCGACAGAGCGAGACTCCGTCTCAAAAAAAAAAAAAAAAAAAAAAAAAAAAAGAGCTGAGATCTTACCTGCGTGCATGTGTTCATTGTAGCACTATTCACAATAGCAAAGATAAGGAATCAACCTAAATGCTCATCAGTGGTAGACTGGGTAAAGAAAATGTGGTATATATACACTGTAGAATACTACACAACCATAAAAAAAGAATGAGATCATGTCCTTTGCAGCAACATGGATGGAGCTGGAAGCCATTATCCTAAGTGAACTAACACATGAACAGAAAACCAAGCCATGTGTTCTTACTTATAAGTGAGAGCTAAACATTGAGCTAAACATATAGACACAAAGAAGGGAATAACAGACACCAGGGCCTACTTGAGGGTGGAGGGAGGCAGGAGGGTGATGATAGAAAAACTTCCTATCAGATACTATGCTTATTACCTGGGTGGCAAAATAATCTGTGCACTAAACTCCCATGACAGGCCATTTACCTATATAACAAACTGGTATATGTGCCCCTGAACCTAAAATAAAAGTTTAAAAATTAATTAATTAAACAAATAAGAGAAGAGGTCTTGCCATGTTGCCCAGGCTGGAGTGTAGTGGCCATTTGCAGGTGCATTTCCGCTACTGATCAGCATAGGAGTTTGATGTGCTCTGTTTCCAAACTGGGCAAGTTCAACCCTCCTTAGGCAACCTGGTTGTCCCCTGCTACTGTAACGTCACCATATTGATGTCAAATTTAGTGAGGATACCTGATCAGCATTGTGTCCTATAGCCCAGAACTCCTGGGCTCAAGCAATCCTCCTGCCTCAGCCTCTCTGGGAGCTGGGACTATAGGTGCCACCACCATGCCTGGTGAGATTGTGTATCAAGGAATTTATTCATGCTATATAGAGAGTTTTAGGAGTTCACCAACAGGGTTTTACAACCATGTTTGTTGTTTTTATGGCAGAACACACTTTGGATTCTGTTCTTCTTCTACATATGACTAACAGACTTTTTAATGAGGTCTGATGCCTCAATCAAAGGCTAGTAAAACACTGACCCCTTCTAGGCCATTATCTTTGTGTCTATTTGGGGAGGAGTTGGGGAGTTGTTCTCTGAAACGCAAACATGTACTCCTGCTCAGCTTTCCCTGGCTGACCTGGATTCCAAATGACTGTTGGCTCCTCTATATAGATTTGCAGACATCCACACAAAGGAGTGTCATTTGTATGCAGCCCCTTAACTAATTGTAACAGTCTGTTCCTTAAGTCTCTGAGAAAGCACACAAATTGATTCCCCAGCACTTGCCTATTTTTGAGGACACCTGTATGACCCTTCATCAAACCAGCTGACACATTCTGCCTGCCTTTATTCACCTGCTATTTCAATTATGTGAGCAGTGATGTATCTGTCTCAAAAATCTCTGTCCTGGGAAATTTCTTCAGAAGAGAATTATTGGAAAAAAATTTTTTTGCTGTGGAGCCAACTCAGGGCTTTAAATCTTTTCCAGCCTACAGAGCACCTGGATTCAAGTGTCTATTCCCTCCTGACTCTGGAAGAATGAGTTACATCTTGAATTGAGGATCATAAGCACATTGAGAAACTATGAGTTTATTTCTTCCTGCTGTTAACTGAAGCAATGAAAAATAAACAAATCTAGATAGCCCAGAGCCAGTTTTAAGTATCACAAGATGGGGCCTAGCAATGTACTAGAACTTAGGAGCCTTAGTTTCAAAATATTTTTAAAAACTTTATTGAAACATAGTTCACATACCATCAAATTTACCTATTTAAAATGTCCAATTGAGTAATTTTTGTGTATTCCCTGAGTTGTGTAACTATTGTCATTATCAAGTTTGAGAACATTTTTACTCCCAAAAGAAATCTTGTACCCATTAGCAGTCACTCTGCATTTCTTCTCCTTACTCCCCATCCCAGCCCTAGGCAAACACTGCTTTCTGTCTCTATGGATTTGAGATTTTTTTCTGCTTTTTAGCTATTATAAATAATGCTGCTGTGAACATTTACATGCAGTGTTTTACATGGACATGTGTTTTCATTTCTCTTTTTTTTTTTTTTTTTTTTTTGAGACGGAGTCTTGCTCTGTCACCAGGCTGGAGTGCAGTGGTGCAATCTCAGCTCACTGCAACCTCTGCCTCCCGGTTCAAGTGATTCCCCTGCCTCAGCCTCCCAAGTAGCTGGGATTACAGGCATGCACCACCACGCCCAGCTGATCTTTTGTATTTTAGTAGAGATGGTGTTTCACCGTGTTGGCCAAGATGGTCTCGATCTCCTGACTTTGTGAGCCACCCACCTCGGCCTCCCAAAGTGCCTCAGCCTCCGAAGCATTTATCATATGAATATATCTCCGAGTAGAATTGCTGGGTTATATGTTAACTCTGTTTTCTTTTAACATTTTGAGGAGCTGCCAAATCATTTTCCAAAGTGACCACACCATTTTACATTCCCACCATCAATATATTGAGGGTTCTAGTTTCTCCACATCCTTGCCAACACTTTTTATTGTCAGTCTTATAGCCATCCTAGTAGTTGTGAAGTGGTATTTCATGGTGATTTTGATCAGAAACATTTTTCACAAAATAGAATTCCTTAGTTTAGTTTAGTTTTGTTTTGTTGTTTTTTTGTTTTTTAAGATGAGGTCTTGCTCTGTCGCCCCAGCTGGAGTACAGTGGCACAATCATAGCTCACTGCAGCCTTGAACTTCTGGGCTCAAGCAGTTCTCTCACCTCAGCCTCCCAAGTAGCTAGTACTACAGGTATGTACCACTGTGCCCAGCTAAATTTTAAAAAATTTTTTGTAGAGACAAAGATCTCACTGTGTTGCCCAGGCTGATCTCAAATTCCTGCCCTCAAGCAATCCCCCTTCCTTGGCCTCCCAAAATGCTAGGATTACAGGCATGAGCCACTGTGCCCAACCATATTTATTGCTTTTTACAAGAAAAAGTTATTGATAGGTTATGCTAACCCTTACTCATCACTGTAACACTCAGCTTGGTCTCAACTCTTAAAACCAGACCATATAATGTAATACAATGTATCCCTGCGTTGTGGTCTGTGGAACACCTGCAATTAATTCTATCAGTTTGGGGTTGATGTGATACTGGTTAACAATTCAGATTCCTGCATTCCACCAGGGATCAGAATATCTGAGGTTGGAGTGTGACCTTGGGCAAGATGTGTTGCTCTTCTTAGCCTGTTTCTGGATCTATATCAGAGAACTGGTCATGATGATATCTCTGTCCTTTTCAGCTGTGATGTTCTGTAGCATTCTGTGAACCACTATCAGGAGACACTAGTTCTACAGAAATCTTGGGACCTTAACAACAACAACAAAATGACAAATATTTATCAAATAGTCACAGCATATAATGCGCTATACTGGTTACCAAGTTCACATAGATAACTAAGCTGTGGCCCTTGTCCTTGTAGAAATACAGCCTCCTGGGGCCCAGATAAGACAACTGTTATCTGAGGAAAACGCCTCCACTCCCTCCTCACTTCCCTCCTGGGCACCTGGGGGGATGTGGTTAGACACCTGTCCTTCCTATGGCATTTCTCCTGCTTATTCGCCCCTTCTCTGACTCCCTTTCTCAAGGTGTCACCAATACCAGCACAGCCACTCTTGATGGTATTGAGTTTACCAAACACTGAGAAATCCTAAGTGTGTCAAGTCAGCCCAAGAACACTTACAACCCTGCTTTCTGCCTGACATGGAGGTCACAACTGCTTTCTCATCACACGCTGATCCTCCAGAGACGGAAGCAGTCATCCTGCTCCAGCCTCAGCCTCTACTTCCCAAAAAGCTGTCCTTCTCCACAGTCTTTTTTTTTTTTCTTTTTTAAACTGGGCACCAGGACTCCATTCTAGTGCCTGACTTTGATATGTTTTCTTCAACTCACTGCTCTCTTCTTTTGTTCACTGTTCTCTGTCTTCTTCCACTCACCTATCTCATCAGCCCAGCCCTGTGGTACTGCCCCAGTTCTGAGACCCTGGAGTTCCCTTTATAATCTCCACCAGCCAAAAGAACCATATGAGGCCTCTTTACCTAGCAGACTCTTGATATAACTATCAGATATTCCAACAATCTCATTTCAGATACTTTCCATTGTCCCTTTAAGTATACATTGCTGACAAGAGCCCTGGTTTTTAGTTGAGAAAATCAGGCCAGTATAACTGTAATTTAATATCTAAATTAAAAAGTGAAAGGTCTTAGGTTGGATGTGAAAAAGCTACATTAGTCACATTGTTTTGGGCCACAACTGTTCCTTATTTTTACACAGTCTGTCCATCCAGAAGGCCACTGTCTGTCCATGAGAACATCCACGAAGGCATCAGAGCTGAGAGACCTTCTCACTAAATGTGACACTGACACTGTCCAGGAGCCGCAGCCTCACTCTATCAGCAGCTGAGGTTTTTATAGGGTGCCCCTATTACCCTGGGTGTTGTATCTACCATTATAAAGACTGCCTTGGATCTCTAGTTTTTTTTCATCTCAGAACAGACCTCATTGTGTCTATTTGGAGCCCCAGCCCATGCCTGTTGTGTGTGTAATAAGTGCGATGACTTAGAACAGCGCCTTTCACTCCAGGAGCTGGAAACCTTTAACAACCTCAACTCCACTTCCTTATACAGCCACTTAGGGAAGGACAGACAATAAACAGGAACTTCTGGGGATTGTCTGTTCAGGAAAAGCGGAGAGAAAAAGAAGACATATTTTTTACTTACCTAAGATTTCATTAGAGGTGCCTTACTAATCAATTGCCAGGCAGTTAAAAGTGATAAAGGATGATTCTTTATCTAACGAAAGAAAAGCCAACTGAAGTTTCAGCTGGCTCAGGAACTTGCTTTTCATGGTGAATTGCTAGTAGAGTAAGATAAAGCGTCCAGAGTACAAAATGCCTCTTGTTTTCATGTGGCCTGACATTTGTTCATATCCCTGCCCTTGTTTACTTCTCAAAGAAACAGGTTCTATTCCCGTAGTCGTCCCAACTCACTCATAGGTAATGCCAGACTCAAGGACATTAGCCCAAGGAAATTTGCCTTGATGTTTTTCTTCCTGAAGAAATATTGGACTGTTTTCTATTTCTTCAAGTTATGCTATCAAAGAAAGAAAAATTATCTTACGCTTTTGTTGGGTAAGTAGGGAAGAAGCTGAGAAGGAAAAGGAAAGGAACTAGCATATGCTTTGCCTCATGTACTAGGCTAGGCACTTTACCTACATTATCTTATTAAGCTAAAATAAAACCAAATTCATGTGACAAGTCTGCAAAGCAAAGCAATTCTAGTGAGCTTACCATCTGTGCTTGTTTATCGTTTGTTAGCCAGTAGCTGTTTGGATGTTATCATAGCTTTCACCCCAGATATCTACCTGGGCCTAGTCTATGACTTTTTCTTGTCTTTCCCTTTAAAATGTGGCTCTGGGAGGCGGAGAAACCCAACGTGTGTATTCTTTCCTATTGGAAGCTGCTATACGTGGTTGGAACCTAGAATCTAAAAACTTCTTCTCTTTCCTTTTTTCTCTTCTTTCTTCCTTTGTTATGAGAAAAACCTGTTCTCTTTTTAAATTGTCAATCAGGCGGGCGTGGTGGCTCACGCCTGTAATCCCAGCACTTCGGGAGGCCTAAGCAGGTGGATCACGAGGTCAGGAGATTGAGACCATCCTGGCTAACATGGTGGAACACCATCTCTACTAAAAATACAAAAAATTAGCTGGGTATGGTGGCGGGCGCCTGTGGTCCCAGCTACTCGGGAGGCTGAGGCAGGAGAGTGGCATGAACCCAGGAGGCCGAGCTTGCAGTGAGCTGAGATCGCGCCACTGCACTCCAGCTGGGCGACAGAGTGAGACTCCGTCTCAAAATATAAAAAAATAAAAAAAAATTGTCAATCATGGTGTCATGATAAAATATTTCGCTTCATCATTTTGGCTAAGTCTAATTAACATAGGTTCCATTTAAATTTAAAATTTTTTAGTTCTCAGGTTTTATTTTTTTTTTAAATAGTTAAAAAGTAGTTTCTGCCCATCTCCCTGCCCTCTCCCTGCAAGCAGTCCAGCTCATGTATGTTTTGTCTACCATTCCCAAGACCATCAAATGATTCCCCTGCCCAGTCATGTCTCCCTTCATGAATTCTGGTGCCACACTGAGTTTCTGTCCTACTCCTATCTCTTTTGAGCTGTGCAACCTTGGGCCTACACTCAGTTTCCCCATCTGAGGATACTTATTGGGTTGTTATGAGGATTAAATGATTCTGGCAGTGTCTGCCGGGTCTCCAGACTTCCCCTGCTTATGTTGACCCTGTATACAGCTGCCAGATCAGTTTGTCTCAGCCTGGCTATACCTCAGCTCTGAAGCTTCTCTGGTTTCTGCCACCTGTGCCTTGCTATCTGAGCCCCTTCCAGGCTACTCCACACTACCCTTTCCAGATCTGTCTCTCACTAATCTTCGGCATAAACCCTTGTCCTCCAGCCAGCCTGGACTAGTAGGATTTCTGTAAAGATGCATTTGTTTTCTTCACTTTAGACTTGGCTCAGTCCATCCTGTTTGCCCAGAATGAATTCTTTTCTCATCACACTTCAAGGTACGCTCCGTAGCTGTCCTACCCAGGGAGTGGTTGGAGGTGACTGCCAACCTCTGAACCCCTAGATAGTCTATACGTGGACCGCACTTATCACAGATTGCCTGGAAATAGAAGCTACTAACACATCTTGTTTCCCTGTGCAGGTTGTAGACCCCCTGAAGGTAGAAAGTCTAGTTTTTCTTACATATCAGTGCATAATAAAAATTTGTTGAAAAAATAAAGCTCCTTTTTTCACCTTTTCATCTCCTCATTTTGAATTCAGTAGTTTCCTCTAACGTTCAAACAGAGGAAGGTAGGGTACATAGCAATCAGGACTTTGCCTTACTTCATCATCATATACTTTTCAAGTACCTGCTAAGTGTTTAAAACTGTGCTAATTGCTGGGGTTAAGAATAATATTATAGCCACAATTTACTGAGCCCTTCCTAGGTGCTAAACGCCATGCTAAATAAGTACTTTTCACACATTATCTCTTTTAATATTTGTGACAACCACATGAGGAAGATATTATTATTATCAGTATATTATTATGTAAGCTCTAGGTCAGAGAAGTTAGTAGCTTACTCAAGATCACCCACCTAGTTAGTGGTAGAGCCTCTTAATTATGGGATATGATCTACTCCTGGACATGATCTTGGGCATGGAGGCCCTAGAAAGCTTAAGCTCACCCTAAAGGAGCTGATGCTAGAGGCTGTCTGCTGATCATACTCCCCATAGGAGGACAGCAAGTGCTTCCTTGAAGGAGGCTCTTGGCACCACATTTTAATGTATACTATACTACTAATAATACCATAAGTAGTGTGTGCATCATATATTATTTATTACTGTTATTAAGATGTGCTCTCCGGAATTAATTTACATCTAAAACCTGGGACTATTTAAAACAGAAATTTTAAAGGAAATCGATACCCGTTGCCTTCAGATTGCTCATTGCTTTGATTCACATATGATAATTAATGATATTTCTCTTTTTTTCTAGCTAGGGAAATATTTTCAAGATTATTAAATTTTTTAAACTTGCGAAGGTTAAAAAATAAAGCATTATTCATATTTTTCCCTATTGTAAACTTTTTTATATTATGCACACTTTTAGGCAGAAACAACTTTCTGCATGTTAATATTTCTAATAGTTTATCTTTTTGGTTAAGTCATCCAGCTTCTAAGAATTATTGAGTAACATCGCTATTAAATTGTCATGGTTGATGTTATTTTATATTTTCCGAGACCTAGACCTTGCTGATTTTTTTGATCCAGGCTTTTCCTTCCTTAGGGAATTTAGTTTCCCTTTGTTCACTTATTTATAGCTCTGCTGTGGGTATGGTTTGGAGCCTTGGTTTTTATTGCTTTAATTGCTTGGTAGTAATTGACACACTGTACACATTCCAGGCCCCATGTTCCCTTTACATATGAATTCACACTACTTGATGACTCAAATAGGCTATAATGAATCCCCTTTATCCTGGGATATCTTTGAGATTCTGGGTTACCGTGTTGATCTGTTTCCTTTAAACATGGTTCTGGCAGTGTTGCCCTACTGGAAACAACTGACCTTTCATTTCTGCTGGTATTTCATCATTATGGGTGCATCCCAATCTAATTATATGTTGATTTGTAATGAACAGAGGCTTCCTCTCATTTAATTTTCTGTTGACTTTATATTCCCTCTGTTTGGAAACCTCCAAGATTATGGTATCAGTTTCAATTTTGTTAAACTGATGTCTTTTCGTGATGACCTGCTTCCAGTGTATTACTTTTTTATTCAGTGATTCTATCAACCAGTGTTATCTGTTAAAAAAACAAACAAAAACAACCACTGATATGCTGGTGGGCTCTATGCTGTCATCTAAAATGTTATAGAAAGATCTGTTTGTATTGTTATTGTTGCTGTGAATTAGTCCAATGGCCTACCTACTATATAAGATATATTTGACCTTAGGAGTGAAAAAAAAAATCTTAACGGGAATCCTCACTGAAGTCTGATTTGGGTACAATAAGAATTCATCAAAAACATAGAAGCTGCATTTCCTAGGAAATCGAGGCTTTTTCCTGTATTTGGGAGTGGTAAAGAATACGCCCAAGAACTTGGAACAGATAAAGCATTGGCAGACAAACAAAAGATCTGTAGGGCAGGACTTCCTTTTTATTCTCCTGAGCTCTCTTTCCCATTGTTTCAGAGAAGATGGAGCAAACACCCAGACAGAAGCTGCTTCAGTATTGTCTTCTATTGATAGGCTGCTTGTGTTCAGTGATTCCTCTGGCCCATAGTGTCTGCTGGACAGTTGGAGGCTTTTTGAAGCCATTGTATTGTTAGAGAATAATTAGAGTGAATGAAACAGTGGGTAGGGGTTAACAACAATTCTTTGTTGCAAGCAATTGGTAGTCTTGGCATCAGTATTGGTAACAAGGCCAATCTACTGGAAGGAATCGAAACAAAAGATGGAAAAGTTGTGGTTGGTTTGTCTGATCCATCCAGCAAATCCACCCATGCATGGCCATTGTGTCCTGTGAGCTCTCTGGAAATGCCTTTGGTCACACTGCATTCCAAGCCACGGGGTGGGTAATCTCTGGGTAGTCTTGTACATGGATTTCCTAGACTTTCCCATAACAAAAATGGCAAGGCACAGGTGTTGTCTTGGCAATTAATCATACACTTTATAAAGAAAACAATGTCCTAACATTTGGGTAGATGAATGGCATGGTAGAAAAGCCCCATGATGTTTCTTTTGGAAGGAGGGTTAAAGAATGCCGTAACACTAACTAGCTCAGATGTGTCTATTGATACCAAGGTGAAAACATCTAGGCAAAACCATAATCTATGTCCTCATTGTCTCCTCCATCTCCTCCAGACCTACCCTGTCCTCGTCCTAGGAGTTTATATTGTGATCTAGAGGAGGCCCAGCCAGGGTGGGGTCTAACAAATTGGGGTGGGTATAAATTTAGTACTTCAAAGATAGTGGCTCTTATTGGAAAACTTTATAAGCTGAATGCCTATTTCCCCCTCACTAATTTGGGGAACTGCAGCTGCTGCTAAATTCTGAGTCAAATAGACTTGCAACTATGGTTGATCAGATTTGTGATGTATTAGTAACACATGGAAGTGGTGCCTTATGTCGGGGCCCTGGGTTCCTACTGGAAACCCATCACTTAGATTTGTATGATATTGGTATGATCTGCTAGTGTGTGATGCTTTGTTACATCCTCTTTTCAAGTCAGCTTTCCACCAGAGCTTCCCAAGAACAGAGAGGCCTGCCTCAAATATTTGGTTCAAATTATGCAACATAAGTTACCTTATATCTCTTTTCCTGTTGCTTATCTAAAAGGACAGAGACTCAGAGGCAGTTTAAAAGTGGAGGTGGGCATATCTCCAAGGCGATTTATGACTTTAGACGCATATCCCTAAAAGGCGAATTCCTGCTCTCACAAGTTGAATAGGGCTCTAATCCCACAATCTGATTTAGGCCAAGAATGACTTACATTTGAAATCCCAAACCAAGACTGTTCAAGATTGGTATTAAAGTCGGAGCAATGAGGTGGAGGTAGGGTTCACCTCCACATTATTCTGAGAATGGGCCTGACCCTCATGGATCTGTGGGTGTGAGGAGTGGTGGTTGTCAGGAGCCGGGGAAGGTAGTGCGGGGAGTGAAGGAGGGGAGACAGCAGTGTGCTTATTTTCAGTTTGTCAGCTGCTCTGGAAAATGGCCAAAATGAATGAGATACAACAAGCCTTCAGGGCTGCTGTAAGCCAAGGAGAGACAAGGCCCCTCCTTTTAAAAAGCTCTGTGGAATTTAGACTTAAAGTTTTATATGTTATTTTGTTTAGGGTAAATGTGAAATCCCTAAACACTCCCCAGGAAATGTTAGCTCCCAGGAACACACAGTGGGCCCTAACTCCCTGGACAGAAGTACGTCTTGAGGGAGAAAAAAGAATTCAGCACCATTCCATGAAGCCTCCTGGCTCTGTTTGGCCATGGGAGAAAGATTGATGAGAACCATGATTAGATCTGTCTCTGTGGCCTCCAGCAGATTATTGGAAAGCCTTGAAAAAAAAAAATCTTTTTGACAAAAAAGGATAGAAGTTCCAGTAGACAGGGGAAAGAAAAGGGCTAAATCTTCCAGGCCAAAATATGCCAGGGTTTGTACAAACCAGGGAGATGGAGCAAAGCTGAGCACTTTTATGAGAAGAGGCACTGGCATCAATCTAAAGGAGAGAGAATCTGGGACATTTAAGAAAAGGGGGCTTCCATGTGGGAAGAAGGGCTTGTGAACCCAGTGTGGTTGTGAATTCTGTAACGGAAGTCACCAGCTGGGCTTTTTCTAGGCAGGAGTTATCTTCTTTACTGGCAATCATGTTCCAAGTTTAATCTCTCCTCAGTGTGACTTTGGTCTCACGTTCACATCATGAAAACTCCAGGCTGTTTTTTGCTATACTCCTGAGTAATGTTGACATTTCTAAGGAGAGAGGAAATCTGGATAAATAGAGTTCTTTTCTTGGCATTGTTAAAAATATTACTAAAAAGAGCAAAGGGTGTTTTCAGAGCTAAGTGGAAGTAAAGTCTTTCTTTGCAATTTTGAAAGGCCAGGTAGGTGGCTGGGTACGCACTTTCTTGTAGCCTGTTTGTTTTAGCCCGCAGTGGTTTCTGAGCAGCTCTAAGTTCTGATAAAGGACACAAACACACCCATGCTACAGTGGCCATCTCACTTAATGCTGTCTTTTCTATCCTGTGACTGAAGAGCAGGGGCTCTTGTTCATGCCCAGTAAGAAGTAAACCCTGAACTAAACATCACACACTGAGAATCTCTTCATAATCTAGGCACAGATAATCTTTAACACTAAACTACTGTGAAATTCTACCAGCATTAAGTACTGTATATTGCCCTGTGCTTGGATAGGCTGGCTAACTCGTAGGAAGAGAGCACTGTATGGTATCCTTTTGCTTTATTCACCAGCATTTTGGGGGAACATTTCTTTTACATTTTAAATAAAACTTCAGCTTGAAAAAAAAAATGTATGTAACTTGTAGGACATTTCTGAAAATTACATTATAGCTAGTCTATCACGGATTTTGAATTGTCTTTAAATTTTGCTATCAAAAGCAGAACAACAACTTGTCATCATAGAACTGGAAGGCATGGTTATTTTGTTTACCTCTTACTTTTTGCCCATTTGGAAACTGAAATTGCTTAAAGTTACATAGCTAGTTAGTGCAGGAACGGAAATGAAAAACTATTTCCTGATGCCTGGTTTATCACAATGGAAGGCTCTGCCCACAAGAAGGAAAGTTCAGTTCAGATTCCCTGTAATTTTAAGAACTTTCATGAATATACTAATTTTAGTAGAAACAACTAACCAAGATGGCTTATCATTCTCAACGGAACATAATTTTAAGGAGAAACACTTGGAATAATCTAATTTTAAACTGTAATGCTAATTCTTTATTAGTCTATTTGGGGGATTTTTTATATGTTGCATGACATACTTGCACATTTTCCTATTTAATACTTCTTTTAATCCTGAAAGCACTTATTTAAGAATGATCACTAGCACTCCAGGACAAGTTAAATACAGAAAGCCATATACATATAAATGGCAGACATAACTGCAAAAAGAGAACAATATAGTGAGGGAAATGGTCTTCAGGGTGCTGCAAAGCGCTTTATAGTTACAAAATGCCTTCATGTACATTTCTAATTGATCCTCAGGACAGTGTTGTAAAAGGAGGAAGAATGTGTGTGTAAGTGTACAGCTGTTTTCCAGAACACCAAATCGAAGCTCAGAGATATTGCACAACTCACCAGCACAGCGAGGAAGCTACTGAATTGGGACTCACACTCAGACCTTCACCCCAAGCCCATAGCTCATTTTATTACTTCATAATGCGTTAGTTGCAGAAGTAATAATACTTTAAAAAGCAATCCACATTTTTTCTGTTTACTCTTTCCTCTCTTCTTCAGGACAGAAACTGTACTTTCCTTGTCCAGTTCCAGTTTGTATTATTGTATTCATGGTATTTACCTTACCTGGAGGGAATAGGCCTTTTAAATATCATTAAAATTGGGTTTTTGAGGTTATGTTCTTTTCTCCTTCACATCCTAAACTTCAGACCTCATGCTCTTTGGCCTTCCATTCAATTCAAATGAGAAGGGCTGTTGTAATTGTTGGCAATGCCTCCCCAGGCTGCCACTGTATGTGAAGGATCTTCATGTTTGGAAAGAAAAAAAAAATGCAGTTTAGTGAAGTTCATGATTCTACTTTTACTCTTCTAACATAGCCTTTTTTTTTTAATTTATTTGTTTGTTTTTACATGTAACACTAGGTGGCAGAATAACTACACCACAAAGCACCACATCCTTTGTTTCTCACTACTCTGGGGAGTGGGTATCTGAATAGTGAGGCATAAAACCATCTGTGGCTACATGAGATTGGACCAACCAACAAGGCCAATATTTTCTTGACAGGGAACTGGCTGCAGTGATTCTAAAACGTATGCTTCCAAGATACTGTCTTTAAGATTTCCATCTTTCTTTTTTCCCCAGCTCCCCTGGATTTTAATTTCTCTGCCCCATTGCACTCTGCTAGCAGAGGGCGGACACAGCCTGCAGGCAGCTGCTTTGAAATGGCAGATTGGGATGGATGTGCCCATTGGTGCTGGCACCCTCGCCTTTGTGTGGCAGTGGGTCATGAAGGGTCTGGGGGTAAGGCACCTGAGTCCTTGCCCGAATGGCACCAGGCCCTCTGGCAGAGGGGCAGCAGTGGCTGGGCTGAGTCAGTTGGAAGATGCTGCCCTCACTAACTCAGGTTTACAGAACAGGTGTTTTTAAAGAGCAGTCTGATCCTGGTTCAGCTCTGTCACCGGTTTGGAAATACTGCCGTGCAGTCGGTGGGTCATTGCCTCTCAGTTTCTTCCTAGCAATTTGCTGGTGTCTGCTACCCTGGATGCCTCACATGCCACAGGACACACTAAGCTAAATAAAGCAGAGCAAGTTCTGTCTTTCATGTTGTGAAGAGTATGAACTTGGGCTGCGGAAATACTTCTTTGGATTTTTGCTGAAAAAGAAAAGAATAGCATTAAAACAAAACAATACTTACCAACTAGTAATAATACTCTAAGTATACCCTACATTAAGAAACTCCTGTAAAACCAAGTCTGAATGTATAAAATCGATCAAACAAAAAGGTTGTATTTTAATTACAAAAGCGTTCTTTGTAACTGGAACCACAATCGGATTTCATTAAATAGTGAGCTTCTGATGTGAATTGTAAATGTTTTAATCTACAAAAAAAAGTACTTAAATCTTGACTTTTCAGGAACCCACTTGTTATATAAAACAAAAACCAACTGGACTATAGTTTTACACACATACTTACATCACACCCTCACCACTTTCCGACTGGGAATCCTAGAGTATTTTTTAGTGTTTAGCTGGAGGTCCAGGTAGTGTCCTAATTTTGCACACACAGCCCTGGTGACATGAAAGGGCATTGTTGAAATGACCAAGTGAGTCATGGTAATCAGGGCAATCCTGTAGGTTAGAGATATGGGGGTCTTGTTTATTTGTTTGCCTGCTAGAGCTGCAATTCTTTCATAAACTACATGACTTTTGAAAATACCTCAAACAACATATATAAATCAGACCAAGGATATTAATCTCAGGCCACCGCCATAGTGAGGCTTTGAAGCCAGGGGAAGGTGGTGAGACCTTCTTGTTTGTTAAGGAAGAAATGTCATAAAAATTCCAAAGCAGGACTCAAATTTCCAGGGGAGAGGGCCTCTTTATTGTTTCCTCTAATAGCTGCTTTGGCGCTTTAGTGAATAAATGTGTTGCACAAAGTAACCCTAGATGCATCTGAACTTTAGTCTGGCTTGGCTCCCACTTTTGTATTTAGCATCCATTCTGAATTATTTATTTAAGATATTTTTGCTGTTGTTTGTCACTCCTTCTTCCTGTCTCCCTACCAGTCCCCCTCATTCGTCCTGTCTTTATTTTTACACTTCTCTAATTAATTGATATCTTCTGCTCTTAGCACTGCAGCAAATGTGCCTGCATTTTTATGTGGATCTTCACTATGCAGGCTATGCTTTTAAGTTTCTGGAATAGAATGATGGTAAAAATGAGTCATGGCTTGTTTCTATATTTGTTTCTGAGTCAAGAAGCTTAATTTTCTTACTATAATGCCTGAGATATCAAGCTATACAGTTTACTTTTAAGGGAAACAATCACAATTTCATCAATTCCTTTAAGTAGATGTTTTCAAATATTATAGAATTCTTTGGATTTGTGTTTCCAAAATGAACAACACAATGGTAGTGCTATTATTGTTTTAAGGAGAAAAAGAAGCATATCCAAAATAGGTAAAATCTTCCCCTAAATCCCCTGGGAACAGGCCTATGGGTGTTGCCCTGGCCTGCTCACAGCCCCAGGACAACCGGCATTAATTCACTGAGGGCCTCATACCTACATCTCAATGACTGCTTAAACCAGATACCTGAGGGTCTGGGGTCTAACAGAAGAAAAAAGGAGAGTAGAGCTGAGGGTTATGGAACATTCCCAGGAAGGGAGAGAATATCAGAAAATGCAAGACTGCCCCAGTGCAGCAGCAGTGATGCAGCCAGAGGTTACCAGAAGTTCTGGCACCTCCACCTTCATGGACACAAGCTGTATATATCAGTTTACCATGGTTTTCAGTGTAAAAAAGCAACTTATGTCCTTCAGTGTCAGTTTATTGAGCTCTTCAGTGCAGCCTCATAACTTATATTAATTGGGAGGAAAATGCTTCCAGAGAAAGGAGAGATGCTGGACAAAACAACTTTGTCTTTGACTAGTTGTCAAGGCCCTGCTGTTTGGAGTCATTGACAAGTCCTTGATTCTTGTATGACAGATCCAGGGGAAAAAAAGAAGTGATTCATCTTCTTCTGTTGCACCTTTCAAGGAGGAATTAAAAAAAAAAAAGATTTTGCTTATGGACTTAACATCACTGGCAGCAGTAAGTGGGCTCTGACTCTTTGCAAGGTATAATTTACCATTGTGCTCCTCCCTCCTGAGTTTATGCACCTCGATGAGCCCCGGCCCATTAAAATTCCTTCTTAAAAGCAGGAGGTGAAAAGAGCCAAGCGTGTGTTTTTTTTAGAGGAGAGTGTAGCTATACAAGGAAAGAGGTCCCAGTCCTTTTTCTATTTTAAATGCTGGTAAACAACTTGAAACCTGTTAAAGCTTTTGAAGGAATGTGGAGGAGTTGTCCTTTTGACTCTAATGTTGGGGAAAACAAAATAAAGGAAATAATTTTAAGAAAAGAGACTTTCCCATGATGAGCTTTAGTCTGAAGCATCCTGCAGGTGTCACATCTGTTCCTCTAGGTGTGCAGATTAATTTCAGTTGCCTCCATGTCTGCTGGGTCCATTATCTTTGCTCGGCTGGGTCCAACATCTTTGCTCATTTCTCTACTGAACTTTTTCCAACTTTCAGTGCTGTGCTTTTCCATCTCAGCCCTTGTCAAAGTATGAAATACCATTTGTTTGATGGTGAGACAGAATAGTGTTGTTTAAAGATGACATGCTAATACAGTTATGTAAAAATTCTCCATTTTGTAATGTTACAGGAAAAAAACACCAGTGTCCGTTATGACTGAACAAAGTTATCACTCAGCCATGTTATCTCAGTCATGCACATCAAGATTGACCTGTCTGCCATTTGGGGAAGCCTTCATAATTTGTAAGGTGCAGGAAGGAACTAGTTTTAATTGAGATTTAAGAGGAATGTCTTTCACAGCCAATAGCCTTTCTTTTTGAGTCCCTTATTTCTAAAGGGTCTTTTGCAACTTGTACAAAAGAGCAAGATCCTTCATTCCTCTTTTAATCCTACAGCCTGCAGGAGTTGAGTATACCTATAACCAGGCAGCTAAATTTTGAAACAAGGTGGTGAAGTTTAAAATTACATTTTAGCTGTGGAAATTTGAGCTTTAGAGAATGATTACGTTCTGATTGTCTTGGAAATATTCTCTGTATAGAGACTCAAATGTGGGTCTTCCCTATTATTTATCCCAACCTCTTCAGAAATTATATGAATGGAAGAGGGAGAAATAAGAGCCATCTAAAATTATGTAAATCTAGCTGGGATGTGTATTTTTGAATTGACATTTAAATATGGTCCTAGCTTATATTCTGGAGATTCAATACACTCCTCCAAGCCTTACTTTATTCCCTACTTCTTCACCACCCTTCCGTCCATCACTCATACACACATGTATGTGCACACACATGTCTTTTGCCAAACAATGGAGAAACATACATGGTATTTTAATAGGGTCACACTTATATAAACTGTTTTGCAACTTGTTTCTTTTTGTATAACAACATTGCAGGAAAAAATACACTTTATTCTTTTTTAACAGCTGCCTATTAAGTCATACTGAATATATACATACAAACCCATTTGTTATTGATGGATATTTAGGTGGCGTCTAATTTTTCACTATTTCAAGCAATGTTTCACTATTTCAAGCAATGTTATATGTTCTTTTTTTCTTAAAAAAGGAATGTAGCCAGGTGTGGTGACTCACTCCTGTAATCCTAGCGCTTTGGGAGGCCAAGGCAGGCAGATCACCTGAGGTCAGGAGTTCGAGACCAGCCTAGCCAACATGGCGAAACCCCGACTCTACTAAAAGTACAAAAAAATTAGCCAGGCATGGTGGTGTGTGCCTGTAATCTCAGCTGCTCAGGAGGCTAAGGCAGGAGAATCACTTGAACCTGGGCGGCGGAGGTTGCAGTGAGCCAAGATCATGCCATTGCACTCTAGCCTGGGCAACAGAGCAGGACTCCGTCAAAAAAAAAAAAAAAGAATGTTCCTCATTGTAAATTTGGTCAAATTCTCCATTCCAAAAGGCAGAAAAATATAAAGAAGAAATAAAAATCACTTAGTCATAATTGTCTATCCAGAGATACCTTTAATACTGTAGTATATTTATTTCCAGATTTTTTCAGTGTATTTGTTTATTAACAAAATTGGTATCATGCCATCTGTAGCTTTTTTTTTCATGTAACATTATACTTAAGATATTTCCTCACATCCTTCAACCTTTCTTTTGGAAAAATTTTTCTGTATGTTGTGTTTTGTCTTTTGTGAATGTTTGTTTAGTTTTCTGTTCTTCGCGTTTCTATTGGAATGTTAATGTGTGTTTTTGTATTGGCTTATACAGTAAGGCTATTAACCTTTTGTCTCATATTTGTTTCAGTTATTTTTCCCAGTTTCTCATTTGCCTTTTAATTTTGTTTGTGGAATCATTTATATGCAAAAGTCTTACATTTTTTGTATAATCAAATATGTCAGCATTTTTCTTTATAATTTCTTTTAAGCAAAACACATTTCTTTAAAACACATAAAATGGTAGCTAATAAGTGATTTTGAAAAGTTTCCATTATTATTACTACAGCTTTTAAATCTGTATTTATTTATGCTTTACAGTAACCCCCCTGTGGGGTAGGTAATGTTATCTCCGTTTCACTGATAGGAAGTTGAGGCACAGAGAGTAATACAGATAGAAGTGACATAAATGAGATTCAAACTCAGGGTTGTGGACAGTACTCTTACTCACTAAATATATTGCTATATATTTTACTGTTATAATTGGCCTCAAATATTATCCTGCTCTGTCTTAACAATTACTAAAAACGAGAAAAATATGCATCATTTATTCTAGTTTTTCAAATAGTTTTATAATTAACTCTATTTTGTCTGGATCTTATCTTGATGTGCAGTGTTAGGTGAAGCTCATATTTAATTTTTCTATTTGTCAGTGTCCCCAGTATATTAGTGCCTCTTTAGGAACTTGGAAAGGACTTGCCTTCTCTAAGAAGCCTTTGTGATTAGTGCCACTTCATGTTACTTGTTTCTGCAATTGTTTATTTCTTCAGAATTGTTGGTTTCTCAGCAGCTTTGATCTGAATGATTTTGTGGAATCTCATGTTGCTCCTAGATTAAAAGATTTATTTTAAAAAAAGAGGTGCTGTCTCTTCAAGTCGTTTCATTCTTTACATAAGAACAGGGTGGGAGGTTCTTGTCCTAGTTAGCATCAGCCCCTCTCCCCCAACCCTCCACAGTCAGCAGATCCATGAATTTAGATGAGAGGAAAGCCACATCTCCATTTTCACTAACCTTTAACTGAAATTGATTATTTCCTTCAATTTTGATTGTGGGCAAAAAACCACAGTAGTATTAGCTGTTCCTGGGACTTTAAACCACAGATCAGATAGTTAATCTTGCATTTCAGTTGTTCCAGGTACCTTTAAATATTCTTTATACGCATCACTACTTTGACAATATTGTAGTTGATCCACCACTAGATTTTGCCATTAATGCATTAAGAAGCACATTCATTAATATTTCAAATATTCAAAGCTATTTTGGAAACTATATTTCTATAAAATTAGTTTTCTTTGTAATCCTATATGTTTTATTTACTTAAAAGTGTATATATTTTATGCACTTAGAAACATTTTTCTGAGAAGGGCTTATAGGTTTCACCAAATCACCAAAGGGATCCATGATAAACACTGTGAAGAGTTCTTGTCTGTTTGAATACAAGGCATACCATTGGGCCTTGTAAATTACCCACTGGGTACTGAGTAATCAAGAGGCAATTTAGGAGGAGCTGGAAAATAGTCCAATATATTCCTCTCTAGTGCTTTGATTCTTTCACTTCTGGAATAATTCTCTTTATAGTCCTAAAGAGAACTGTGTATTCTCTTTTTCTCCATCTCCTTTGCCTTTCATCCTCCCCTTTTCCTCTTTTTCACTTAGTATTTTCTTTCTTTCACATGCTCCCTTTTTTTTCTTTCTTTCTCATTCTCTTCTTCCTTGACTTTGCTCTTTTTCCCTTTTCTTCCTCTTCCTTTTCCTCTCTCCCCACTAAAAACATTAATATCTTACGGAGTTTGTGTTTCAACTATTTTCAGAAAACTTTTTCTCTTTGTGGTCTAAGAAAGAGTTCAAAGACAGAGATAAACAAAAAGAGTTGACAGAAAGAGTTAATAATATCAACAAGAAGTTGAAAGCAAGATTTGTCAAAGATAAACATAAGGTAATTATCTGGAAATAGTTGACCTTAGAGGTCACCTGCCTGGTTTGCTGGTCTGGCCCCTGGGAAAGCCCTTGTACCCTGGTTCTGGTTCCATCATTCCAAGTCCTACTTTCATACCTTAGTTACCTAATTCCTTTTATAAGACAATCATTCACACTAATTTTCAAAGTCCCACAAGGAGGGACTTGTTTTGAGACAATGAGGCAATTAGACTGTATTGTTGAGTTACAGTCATTTCTTTGAGATTAGTTCGAAAGTATATATATTCATGGACAAAAGTTATCACATAATTTTCTCACCTAAAGTGGAACTTTTGATACCTGTAATAAGTTAGTAGTTTCTCAACTGCCCATACCATGATCTCACCTATCTGCTGCAATGTAATAGTCATTGTTCATGGATGCCTATTTATACAATGTGTATTGCTACAGAGCTTTTCCTTCTTAAAGTAATTTCTATGTCTGGGATGATGCCATTTTTCTACACTAAAAACATTAGCTCGTCTTACAGCTAATATAAGCTGAAAATTAGAGGTGCCTGGGGGAGGGAAATGAGGCAGATGGATTGTTTACATGAGTGCTATAGTTTCACTTTTTATGCACCAGTCACCTTGGAAAAATTAATGCCCTGTAAGTTTGCCAATCAGATTGCTCCAGTCATCTCTAAACATTCCATTTGGTTTATTAGAATAATAAATACTGTGCAAAAAAAGTTCATCTGGATCCAGGATATTATACTGTGGTCAGTGGAAGAAATATGTGCTGCACCTTACCTCTGACTAGATTTGGTCAGGTGACACAGTGAGCTTGACAAAGGGATACAGATTTACCCTATTTGGGTGTTGAATCTGAGGACTAGTCACTGGAGTTACAGCCTTTAGAAATCTTTGTCACCTGTCCAGGGCTGGTGCTGGTGGCCTCTTCACTGGCCATTTCTGTCATGCACCTGACCATTTGATGTCTGCTGAGTGGTCTATTAAGAAAGGATTAAAGGATCTCTCTTCATCCTTCCAGGTGGATTCGGGTGTCTGTAGTCACCCAGAAAAGACTTACTGGAAAGTCCATTAAAGGTGTCATCTAATTTGATGACGATGACTCTGAATTAATTTCAGTTGGGGAAGCTTCCATTTTTATGTCTGGCTTTTAGGTCCTTCCATGATATGTCCCTTCTTGTCTCATCAGACTCATTCCAGTGGATCCCCAGGAACAGCTCTACTGCTCTCAGCGAAAGAGGCCTGAAGTCACACTGCTTGGTTGATCTGTCGTGACATCCTAATATTTTCTCTCAAACTGTTTTCTTTCGTCCTGTGTAAACTTTGCTTTTTCTCTGAGGCCTATCCTAGTGTATTTCCAAGGCCCCAGGTTAAATCCCACCTCCTTCCCGAGCCTTTCCTATTGTCTTACTCACTTCACCAATCTCTCTTGCCCCTAACCTTCTACAGTTCTGAAACCCGATACAAAAAGAAAAACTTTTGGCACAGGAAGCGATTGAATAGAATCAGATAAATACTAAAGTCATAAACATAAAATCTGGATTTATTCATATAAGGGATATTAAAGTTAAAGTTAATATACATAAGTATATTTCAAGAGCAAAGCTCATATTTTAACACTTTATTTCTGGAGTATAGGTTCCAGGAAAAAGGAATAAAATCTGTAATTTTTAAAAAGGCAATTACAGAATGTCCCCTGCACTAATCAAATTAATTGCAGCATTAAAACATGGATGGACTTTGAAAACATGCTGAGTGAAATAAATCAGACATTGAAGGATAAATGTTGTATGATTCCACTTATATGGGTATCTGGAATAGGCAAATTCATAGATACAGAAAGTAGAATAGAGGTTTCCAGGAGCTTGGGGAAGGATGAATGGGGAGCTGTTTTTTAGTGAGTACAGAATTTATTGGGAATAAGAAAACATTTTGAGTAGATAATGGTAATAGTTATGTAATGTTATGAATTAATTTAATGTCACTGAATTATATACTCATAAATGGTTAAAATTATAAGCATTACGCTACATATTTTACCACAATTAAAAAAGCAATGGAACAAAAAATTAAAAATTAAAATAAAATTAATTGCACCATTATTTGTAAAGGGAAAAAACTCCTTCAGTGTCTAAAAATGGAAGAATTAAACTGTGACATGTGTAGTATACTATTTATGCTCAATTGATAATTTAAAATTAAATGATTTTGTATATTAATAAGAATTTTTACATAATGTTAAGCAATTAAAAACAAAATATAAAATTATTAAAATGTGTATATATGGAGCAAGATGAGAAGGGAACATGAAGGAGTGAAAAGAGTTTTTGCTAAGATTGCGGGATTGAGAAATTCTTTAATTGAAAGATTTCTCTCTTAACAGTATTATAAAACTCCAAAGTTTATTATATAAATATGTTAGGTTTCATAGTGTTGTTCTCTGTGATTGTTTTTGACATCTTAACTCAATTGTAAACTTCATAGAAGTGGAGTCCATGTCATTTATTTCTTCCATAACCCATGCTTTTAAAATGGTAGAGAACCACAATAGATTATTAATGTTTTTAATTAATGGATAGATTTATTAGTTATGGAGAAAGTAAGTCAAACTAGAGCATAGGAACTGACATTTTTTGAACGCTTACTAAGTGCCACACATTATGCTGGATGTTTAGTATAGTTTTTTTAATTTGAATATTCATAAAACCCTGAGAGAAATGTATTACTAATCACCTTCTAATGATGAGGTATCTGAGATTCAGAAACATAAGTGAGCTGTGTGAGTGATATGATTAGTCAAATTTGAGACCAGGTGAGTAATCCCAGCACTTTGGGAGGCCAAGGTGGGAGGATGACTTGAGGCCAGGAGTTTGAGACCAGCCTGGGCAATATAGTGAGACCCTGTCACCACGAACAGTAAAACATTAGCCAGGCGTGGTGGTGTTCACTTATAGTCCCAGCTACTCAAGAGGCTGAGGCGGGAGGATCGCTTGAGCCTGCAAGGTTGAGGTTGTAGTGAGCCATGATTGCACATGCCAGTGCACTCCAGCCTGGGAGACCCTGTCTCTATACACACACACCACACACACACACACACACACACACTCTCTCTCTCTCACACACACACACACAATTTGAAACCAAGTTTTTATTGTTTTTGGTTGATTTTTCTTATTCCAGAAACATATCTCTTTAACTAGTAATATGTTAGTGTAACCGTGGAACATTGCGATGGTTTTTGTGTCTTAAAAAAACTTAAAGATGCTGGGTTCATGACTAATAAAATGGGGTGTGTGTGTGTGCGTATGTAAGGTATCAAACAATGAACACTAATGAACACTGCACCTTTTCCAACATTGCCACTCAAGGACTTCCCACAGACTGCCTGTTATTTGGGGGCAGGTCATGACCATCCCCATGAGATAGTTTACTAGAGAGCATTATTCTTCCTCTCTCACACATTGGTATTAACTTAGACTTTTGTGGTCTTAAGGAATAAACACCCACTCAAGCCAGCTCAGATGACAAGAAAGTTACTGCAAAGAAAGAAGAATCTTCTAGAATATCAAGAGCAGGAGCCTTCCTGTGTAAAAATTCTGGAGCCTCTACTGCCGGTGGCCTAAGTAGTCATTTTTCAGACCAGAGTGACCTGTCCCTAGTCAAGGTTAACTAGACTAGAATTAAGCAACTGAGTCAAGGGCAGAAACTAAGGGGAGAATTTGCCAGTGGCAGGTGGGCTTGAAAGAAGCTGCTCAGACATATTTGTGAGACATGTCAGTGATTGAGGCTCTGCAAATTCCTGCTGCTGAAGTCCAGCCTCCAGTGCCAGCTTCCACAAAGCTCTGCCCTGTCATGGCCCCTGTTCTTGAACGAAATGCAAAGCAAGGGAGGATGATTTAAAAGCTCTCATTGTTCAATTCCCACCTGTGAGTGAGGACACAGGAAGGGGAACATCACACACCGGGGACTGTTGTGGGGTAGGGGGAGGGGGGAGGGATAGCATTAGGAGATATACCTAATGCTAAATGAGGAGTTAATGGGTGCAGCATACCAACATGGCACATGTATACATATGTAACAAACCTGCACGTTGTGCACATGTACCCTAAAACTTAAAGTATAATAATAATAAAATAAAAATAAATAAACATAAAAAAATAAAAGCTCAGAGCACAAATAGAGTACTCAGAAGTTTTTGCTAGGTTATCATGTGTAATTTAACAAGATGGCATTTATCTTTTTTTTAAGAGACTGAAGAAGAATTAGACAAGGTTAGCTGTGTAAAGCCAGTGGTAATCTGCCACATGTGGTTATAAATGGCCATAATTTTGTATGATCCCAAAGCAAGATAGATAGCAGATTAAGGGTCAGCACAGATCTGCAAGTTGAGCTCATGGCACTTTATTTCCCTCCCTAGCCCCTTTTCTAGTGCTTAGGTAGCAGGCACCAGTTAAGCATGGTGTCTTGACCATGATACTGTGGACCAAGCAGCGATATGGCTATGGCTATATCACTGTTTTGCCTGAGAGTCATTTATTCCTTCATTATATATTTATTGGGCATCTACTCCGGGCCAGGCATGTGTTGGGCATTGAGAAAGTGGTGAAAAAGACAGAGGTCCTGTCCTCAAGGAGCTTTCATTCCAGTGGAAGAATTCAGATAATACACAAAATAACAAATATATAAGATATTTTCGAGTGGTGATATATTTGACCAGGGAAATAAAACTAAGGAAAGTGATAATGGGGGGGTGTGGAGACTGGCTGCTATAAAATGGGTGAGCAGAGGAGGCCTCTATGAGGAGGACTTGCATTAGCTGAGACCTAAGTCATGAGAAGCATCCCCATGGGTCTTGGGAAAAGTGAGGAAAACATATTCAAATAGAAAGAAATATCTGGTGCAAAGGCTCTGGGATAGGAGTAAGCTTAGAGTATCCCAGAACAAAAAGAGGGCCAGTGTGGCTGAGAGACCGTGTGTGTGTGTGTGTGTGTGGAGAGGGGAAGACAGCGGGGGTAGAGATAGTAGGGGAGTAATTACCTCACAAGTTTCATGGCTGACACCTCTATAACAAAGGAGATTAACAAGAGAAAAGCATAGCACATTTATTTAACCAAAGTTTTACATGATGCAGGAGCCTTCAGAAATTAAGATCCAGACCCAAGGAAAGCTGTATTATTATGGTTAGGTTTGATGAAGCATGGACAGTCATGTAGAAGTATAGTTGGACAAAAAGCAGATATGACCTAATGATGATAAACTAGGGGGATCTTAGCAAAGCCTGTTTGTTTAGTTTCTTCTTGGCCTCTGTGTTTAACATTCCATCCCTCCGGGTATAGTCAAGACACCTGTCTCATGAGGGTCTTCAAGAGAGAAGGTCAGAGAGACCTTTTTGCTTCTGCAGTTTTCTTAACTTCCTTCAGCTTAATACTCAGTGCGCCAAGCTTCCATATTTGGGGGTAGCATTTTCTGCACTCTATCATGCTATAAGCTGATTTTCTCACATTTAGAGGAACATTCAACAGCTAACATAAACAATTACCTGATGTCATATTTGAAGATATACTTAGATAATAAGGTCTTAAAAAACAGTAAGTACATTAAGTACATTCACAACAATTGTTAATCTTCCATTAGTTCTGAAATGCCTAATCTAACCTTTGTTTTATCTCAGACTTGGGCTAGAATGCTCCTTTTAATTCATTCTGCATGATTTCATAGAATCAATTTTTTCTTAAGGTCTCATATCCTTCAAAGACTTTAGGGCAATTGGTCACGAAGACCCTTGCACCTCCTCAAGGCTGTGTGCTGTGGATGTTGCAGCTTAAGGAAGCATTTTGAAATTGGGCATCTTTCACAGCCTAGTGTAGAAGTTATTGGCCCGCAGTTTTTACCGGCTTTCTCTTTCAGAAATCTTCTTTTGTTCCTGCCACAAGGCAAAAACAGGAAAAGAGATCTGTGTGAAAGAATGCTCTCCCTTTTCCTTTTGTGGTGATTGTGTATCTTAAGAGAAGGCCTCAAAGGTTCCCGGAGCTGTCTGTCTTTTCATGTAAATGGAGCCCTTAAGCCTATTTAGAAGTGTGCGAAAAGACTGTGGGAGTTGAGGTGAAAGATACAGAAGAGTAGCATCAGCACCCCGTTTAATGTATTCAAGTTCAACTGTGCACTCTCTCTTTCTTGTATATAATTAAAAATACTGCAGAATTGTATTTTGCACTTGTACTTTTAATTATATGCTATTCATATTACTATATACCCATATAGTGTGCAGCGTTGCAACTACAAAACCATATATTTTGTATTGGGAGGTTTAAGGGATTTTCCAGGGTAATTTTGACCGCGTAAAATTTGCCTTACATGCCAACTCTAGAATACAATCCCCACGTAAGATGTAACCCTCTATATTAGGTATTTTTAAATCCCTGCTTATCCCAAAGTGAGCAGAACTGGGACTCACATTCACCCCTTGCCCCCAAACCAGTAACAGGTATAGGGTTGTCACTGAATTTTGTGAGAAGAAAAGAGGTGAGACAGAAGGAACTTGTGAGGTTTGACAGAGGAGCAAGGAAATCTGTGGCAGGACACAGTAGGCCGGGGACGCTGGGTCAGGCAGGGAAGGGGGCTGAGAGAGAGTTCCTGGGTGAGACTGTTTGTACTAGTAAATGCAGGGCTCAAAGCCATACTAGCCATGGGGTTGGTAGAGTTTGTAAATAGGAGTAACTCCTACTGGATGGATAATAGCCATTTTTCCCTAGAGTACCTTCACCTTACAGGAAAGTTTACTGTGCATTGTTCCATGTGAATGTTGCAGCATGTGTGTGTGTGCACACACGTGTATTTGTGATGTTGTAGACAGAGTAGGAGGAAAGAGTAGCAGTGTGGAAAGAGGAGAAGGCATGAGGATTTAGCATCCAAGGTTTAAGAACAAGGTCTGCCTTTTGTTGTTTTGTGGCTGGGGCAGTATCATTAAATGGCTGAGGGGACCTGAGATATTGGCATGAGAGAGGGAAGGTCACCCTTGTAGCCCCTGTCACCTGCTACCTTGGGAGGCATTCCCTTCCCCTCTTCTCACCCACCCTACCACTCCAAGGCAGAGTTTGTTTAATCAGATGCAGAAAATGTTCTGATTTGGTAGTAAAGAAAGGTAAACAACACATCCCCATGCCCCACTTAAGGTTTTTAACAGGTGCAGTTGAAATTTATATTCATGGATGTGGGATTTTCACCTGCCCCCTGACCCAGTTTGTTTAGGAGGTTAATAGAATTCCAAGTCGCATCTCCCTGGGTTGGAATTTTCTCTACAACTCTTGGTAGTGATGGGGTTCAGGACACACTACCCCACAATATGAAGCCTGGCATTTGTGAAAATTGCAGAAGCAGGAAGGTCATTCTCTTACTTTCCCCCTGCCCTTCTCTCCTGAAGCTAAGGAGTGTCCTTATCTCTGAAGACACACGGACTCAGAGAGGAGTTTGAACAAACAGGCCTTGCTAAATTCCCTCTTGTTTATTGCCATTAAATTATATCCCCTTTTTCCAATCATACTTCTCTACGACTATCCATCTCTTCATCAAACCTAAGTAAAAATACTTAAGTTTACTTGTTTCTTTGGATCTTGATTTCTGAAGCCTCCTGTGTCATATAAAATTTATAAATAAATTTGTCATGCTTTTCTCTTGGTAATGTGGCTTTTATTATAGAGGCTCAGCCATGAAAAAATAAATCGTTTCCTCTCCCACAGTAGCTGTTCGTCTTTTGAGCAAGTCTTTTAGCCTCAGTTTCCTCCTTTGCATCAGAGATGATACTGACCACCCTGATGCTCTGTGAGGGCTGAAAGGAACAGGATACCTGCAAGCATTTTCCCACAACTTATGCAGATGACCTGTGAACAAACTGCTAACCAGCAAGAGTGTTTGAATACAAAAAATTCTAATGCTTAATACAACATTTTACTCAAGACTCTGTTACATATGACAAAAACTCAGTTCTAAGAAGCTTATGTAAAAAGCAGAATTTCTTGTTTTATAGAAGCCAGGGAAGACCTGAGGAGTGAAAAGGGAAATCACCACATATAAGGGATGAGGCAGGTGAGTGCTCCCAGGACAGACAGTCCCAATGATGTTAGCAACATATTGGAACAAAAAATTAAACAAGGTCTTAGAACTTAAATCTGATTTTATAATAATATTCATTATCAATACTTAATTCTAATTTTACATTTTTAGATTTATGTAATTAACATTAGTTACCTATACAGTAAAGATAAATATGTTTCATAATGCTTTTTTTCTGACATTAGTTCTTGTTTGAACACACAAAGCTACACTTTTCTATAAGTAAAAATGAATATGTCAGACTTTCAATTCGGAAACTTGAGTCAAATCAGCAGTCTCTGGGAAGAGGAAAGTTGTAAGGCCTATGTTCTTTCATAATGGCCTAGCCCTTCCCCCTCATCTGACATTTTCTTGTGGAAAACATCTGGTTTAAATAAGCACTAATGGCAAACTTGATCATCAGAAACTAGAATGCAGAAATCACAAACAATGTATAGTAGGTTAAAGGGATGCCAAAAAGCAGTATGCAAAGAGAAGTCAACAGCAAATTTATTTTATATATAAATTTCACCATTTTGGTGCTTGTCTTCTAACTGCCTTACACTTTTCTCTTCTGGGAACGGCCAAGGCCCCCAAAACACAAAAGTGAACTATGATCCCACTTTGCTAGACTCTTGAGATGGCTCTGTAAACATACCCTCTAATCTATGGTCCTTCCTTCCTACTTCCTCAGAATTCACTGAAAACAATAGAGCTCTAGGAACTCCTATTGCTTAAAACAGGGGTGAGGATCGTGTTTATTCAGGACTATGGCTGTTAAATTAGCAGGACTGTTTTGACTAGCTGGTACTCAGGGGTAGGGTTGTCATGTTGGTCAACATGCCTATCCCATTTGGGACTACTCTAAAGGAAATAGGAATGCCTAAAAAGTTTCTAGACTTCTAAGAATTCTATGACTGGGGTTAGGGATGACTTATAGGCAGGAACGGAGCCAGACTCCTGACGGTATCCAAGGTTTATAGGCTTGGTGATAGAATTTACCAGAGTAGAAGAGAAAGTTTTCTGAGTAGCTAGTGTTTTGAATGGCATGGGGTTTGTGACAAGATTTGGGGTAAGCCAGTGAGAGATGCTTTGGAGTTATCTGGGACCTCATTTATTCTGGTGGAATGCCAGAAGTACAGGAGGCATCTCCTAGGGTATTTAGTTTTTTAGAGGCTAGGAAAGGTAGTAAAGGTAAAGTAGATACAAATTTGTTACTATGACTTTTATGGAGCCTTGAGATAGTTATACGAAGTAGGAGGTTGAGCAGGGATTATTTTAATCGGAGAAGAGATTAGTAGAAACTCATTTAGGAGGATTAGAGCATGCTGAATGAGATGTCAGAAGCTTTTAGGATCCAAGAAAAGTGGATGGCAGAGAGAGAGAGGGGTCAGCACTGTGTTTAATTTCCTTCTTTACCGTTTCTCGTCTGCCTTTCCTGGATATTACCTATTTCAAACTAAAGGGAAATGTGTGGAGGCTGCATCGGGTAGCAGAAAAACATGGAATAGGGAACTCTGCCTCTGAAATAGCATATAATACTTCCCACAGGGTTTAATGTGAAATAAGTGGTATAATCTAGGTCAAGTGGCTTAGGTAGAATACTGATCAAGTGACCAGATGTCTTGGAATGAGTAGGATAATCTTAGATTTTGGCTTCCTATCCTGTATCCAATTCACTTTACCATTAGGGCTTACTATTACCTTGATGTCTGGAGTGAATAGACCCTTATCAACTTACGATAAACATTTATCAGTAGTTTAGACAGAATTCTTAAACTGGATTCAGAACTAGAATTATAATAGCAGAGTTACTGTATGTTTCAAACAGTGATTTGGCCTTAGTAAAGTTTGGTCTCTTAAGATTTATTACTCATTTATGGCTAAGTATATCACAAATAAATGTTAGGTCCCCTAGTGAGTATTCAGCAATCATTTCCTTGGGATCTAAGGCATACCAGGTGCTATGTTCAAAATGAATGGGACATGGTTCTTGTTTTTAAGATGCTCCCAGACCAGTGGGGCAGACTGGTATAAAAATAACTAACTGTCGGCCAGGCGCGGTGGCTCACACCTGTAATCCTAGCACTTTGGGAGGCTGAGGCAGGTGGAACACCTGAGGTCAGGAGTTCAAGACCAGCCTGGCCAATATGGTAAAACCCCATTTCTACTAATAAAATACAAAAATTAGCTGGGCGTGGTGGCATGTGCCTGTAATCCCAGCTGCTCGGGAGGCTGAGGCAGGAGAATCACTTGAACCCAGGAGGCGGAGGTTGCAATGAGCTGAGATCACATACCACTGCACTCCTGCCTGGGCAACAGAGTGAGACTCTGTCTTAAAAAATAAAAAATAAAAATAACATAACTAACTGTATAATATAATAATATGATAAATGCTATTCTGTTGGTATGAATCAAGTAGCACAGAGGAAGAAAACAATTCACTCTAGTAGATGGTTGGCATTTTGAGAGAGATATAAATATAATTGTGCTCATTTATAACATGAATTATAAATGTAGCAGCATTGGAAATGGACATTTAATAAGGTGTAGCACTACTAAATTGGATTAAGTGCATGCACTGGGTTTATAGATGGATGTTCCCATCAAATTTGTTCTTTATTTGTATCCCTACCCCTGAGCAGTCCTTGCCTGGCAAGTGATTGGTGTTTGCACTGTTGGGGGTAGGCTTTAGGTTCCTGTTTGGGCACCAGGAGCTGTAGGGTTAGAAGAAGTAATGTCTTTTTCTCACCTATTGCAAGGTTCATTACTGAACCCTATAGCAAAGGCAGAGTAACAAGCAAAAAGCATAACAAATTTATTTAACAGAGTTTTATGTGACACTGAAGCCCTTAGAAATGACCCAAAGACCCAGGGAAAACTGTGTATTTATATGGATAGTCATACAGAAGTATGATTGGAGCACCACAGAGTATCATCTAATGGTAATCAACTAGGGAGAACTTTGCAAGCCCTGTTTGTTCGAATGGCTTCCAAGTATAGGGTAGGACCCCTCTGGAATGAAGATCTTAAGGCCTACTTTTAGGGAAGATAGGTCAGAAAATTATTTTATGGCCTGCTTCAGAGGGAAAGGCAAGAGAAGGTCAGAGAGTGACCTTCCTGTTTCTGTGGTTTTCCAATGTCCTTTAGCTTAAAATGCTTGGTATGCCAGGGTGCCATATTTGGGGGTATCCTGTTCTAAGCCCCAACATTTCCCTGGAAGGGCGATGGCTTTTTGATCTAAGCAAAGTTATCAGAGGGAATGAGGTACAAATCAATAGAGGACAGACTATGAGATCAAATTCTGACTCTACTACTTAAGAGCTGAGTGTCTTTTGACAAATTACATGTATTCCTGGTGACTCTGATATCTCTATAAAATAGGGATGATAGTAGTACCAACCTTACAAGGCTGTGCCTCAAATGTGTAATAAATATGAAAACACTTTGTAAAGTGCTGTAAAAATATATAAACATTATTGTTTTATCACAAATATCAGCACACCAATTATTTATGTAGTTCTATACATTACGCAAAAAGTTACAGAGATGTGGGGCTCATCTTCTAGGAAAACAGAATCAGAATTCTGAATCAGCTCTAAAGTCGGAGACCAAACCTCGAGCTCTCTCTAGGTGCTGTTTCTCCTGAAAAGTTGACTTGTAAGTCTAACCCAGTGCATTGCCTCTGATGGCCTGGTGTTCTTCAGATAGGTAAAAAGCAACTCGAAAAGGGGAAGAGTATTGTGCTTTCCGCAAAGACGATACTTTTTTGCTCTTTGGAAATTCTTGCTCTTTTGGTTTTGAGCTCTGAAGGTGAACAATCCAGCTGATTCAAATCCCCAGAGTAGCCCTAATAATAGGAAAACCGTGACAACCGCAGATATTAAAAACATACCTCAATTTGCACAACTGGGGTAAGACAAATACATATGGTATTATATGAAAAAAATTCCTTTATGCAAATCTAGAAACTTACTTTAATGTCATTTCATTTAACATCAAAGAGATGATGTCAAAGAGAACATGTTTACCACTGGGAGAGTCAAATGAAAGAATTAGTCTTCTAGAATTCTTTCAAATGAAAGAATTTGTGTGTAAGGTTTGATTGGTTATTTGGCAAACACTAATATTAATAAAAAGACCAGTACTTCTAGATATGGGCCACTTTGTAGAGGGATTATGCCAGAACTCCCATAGTATGTATAGAGACCCTTGAAGGAGGGTCCTCAAACCCATAAGGGAATTTATTTTAAAAATATTTTGCTTATGGGCCCATAACTTCATTTTATGTCTCTCTAGCTCACAATAGAGGATTATAATCTATTGGGCTGATATATCTGAGTTAACATCAGATTAATCGTATCACTTTGTGTATGAATATCATATAAAAATGTTAGTGGCTGCTGTTTTCACCATGCTCTGTCATAATTAAACAATTTATTTCATGCTGAAGCTTCCCTGTCCTGATTCTGGGATTGTCAGTTTTATGGTTCTCATTTTACACAGATAAAACCAAACTTTTCAGATGTCAAATAATGTGCTGCAGACTTCCATGCAGTTCTCAGCTGCAGTTATAAATCACTGTTGTTTTAAGTAAGTGACCTAAATGCCATTTTTATTAGGAATAGAGTGGCTAGGAGAGACTAACATAAAGCCTCTGATGGAGTTCTAACATTTCTCCTTGAGCAGCAGGAAGAGAATTGCATTTCCTGCTGGCTAGAGAAGCCAGGTCAATTTTGTCCTACCATTCTGGGAACTATCACTTCAGACACCTAACATATCCAGGTCCTGCTTATTTTTCTTGAATGAGCTATTAAAATGCATGTATGTGTGCACATACACACATACATACACATCATGCAGCCATTTGCCTCTGTGTATACATACATATCATTGTGTAGATTGCACTTTTTCAGAAAAGACAACTGATCACCAGCACGTCACTCTCACTTCCTCCCATGTACATTTTGTATCTTCCCCACAGGGAAGTGAAACTGGTGGTGGGTTGGAAGAGATTGAGTTTGCTGAAGTGGATTCTGCCAAGTGGCTGTTTGTGGATGACCTTTGTCTTATAGGGGGTAATAGTGGGAGTTACGGATTCCTGGCAAAATGTCTGTTCACATCTCATCACAATTAGAATCATAAACTATGGGCTTTGTGGATTTGTTCACCTGAGATAGTGATGAACTAGGAATCAAAAGATCTGGGTTTTAGCTCTATCTCTAAATATCTACATATATGTGAAGATAGCTGTGTATACCACTGTGGATATTTTCCCTCTTTTGTCTTATCTTCTCCATGAGACTTTCAAATCCTCAAAGGCACAGAGCATCTTTAATTTACACAGCATTCACTTTTTCATCTTTGTTTGTTCCTAGACTGCATTTAGTAGAGATGTAATAAGTACTTACTGACTGATAGAATGAGACCACATCCTGCCTTAGATGAACTGGAATTCCATTTGAAAGTGTTTCCAACCAGAAATATTCTGCTTTGGTGCCACTGCTACTGTTCAGATTCAACTATAGCAGCCACAGTGTGATCAGACACCTTCTCCCCTCAGGCGCCACCCTTGGCCACCCTGAGAAGATGGGCCCCCCTGCCAGCATGTCTTTGGGGCCCAGTGTTTCTGTCTCTCTGCTTCTCCCAACACTCAGTGGCCTGAAGAAGAAGAGCTTTGGTATATAATTTCTTTTTTCCCCCCAGCCAAGAGGAATTGAGCACTCATGAATATTTTAAGCGTGTTACAAAGAACACAAAAGCTGTGCCTTCATGGGAGGATTAAATGTTGGTGTTTGACTCCTCACAATCAGCACATTTTAAAACATAAACCAGATCATGTCAGTCTCCTGCTTCAGAGCCACCAGTGGTCTCCCACACTCTTGCAACCAAACCCAAGGCTGGGTGCCAGCCTCCAAGGCACTGCCTGACTCAGCCCTGCCCACTGCTCTGACCACCTCTTGCAGTAATTCCAGCCATGCTGATCTACTCTGGGTTCCCAGGGCATCGTAAGCATCTTTCTCTTTAGGACCTTTCTACACATCTCCCCTGCCTGGGACCCTGCCCTGAACCCTGTGCTACCGCAGGATCGTCACTCAGATCTCAGCCTGAATGTCCTGTCTCAGACAGGACTCCCCTGACTGTCCTATCAGTATCTACACCCGATATTTTATTTCCTCACATCACTCATCATATCTGAAATTGCCTGCTCATTTCCTGGTTTTCTTGTTTACTGTTGGACCCTGACTAGGGGGTCTCACTCTACAAGGGCAGAAAGAGGTTGTCTTAGTCTGGTTCTCTGTTGTTACCCAGAAGCTGGAACAACGCCTGTTCCCCAGCGGTTGCTCAGTAAACACATGTGGACTCAATGAGGGATTGAATTGGAAGTTATTTACCTCTCTCCTGGCTTTTGCTTCCCTCTCTTCCTTTGTCTCTCTTTTGCGGAATCTGTACCATGAAAAGGGCTGTTGTCCAGTAGTGGAACACAGGCCTTGGATTGAGGTCCTGGTTGACTCACTTGATCTGAAGCTTCTGGTCATGCACAACTGCCAATTGGAAACAGCTACTATAGAACCACCCTCTTTTTCCAAAGGGTCAACAAGGAAATCAAAAATAGAAATACATTTCAGGTAGTCATGTAATACTTTACTAATACTAACCCTAAGAATAACTTTGCGATAACTTTGCAACCTTAACTTCCATTAGTCTCACTAGGCAGTTCTGCTTCTTCAATTCCTTTAGTTTGTTACATGCCCTGCGATCCAGCCCAAAACAGGAGAAGCCCTGTAGAATATATGTTGCTATATCCTCAGATATGGCCAATAAAATTTGTTTGTGACCTGTAAGGAGCAGATGGTTCACTGAAGGCCATTCATAGAGGAGGCAAAGCACCAAAATTCAGTGTCTAGCCTTAATTTTTCCTTATTAGAGAGTCTGGAATAGAGGGATACATTTTCAGGATCTTTCCTAATAGAGGAGTTCTTTTTTTATTTGGATGAAGAGATTATTTCTGTAATTTCCCACAGTCTTAGGCTGAACTCTCCAAGTAATGAACTTTTACTCAGAATAGTCTAGGCTTTGTGTACTCATGGAAAGTGTAATATAGCTTGCCTTGTTGGTTTTTCTGGAGATAGCACATTTGGGTCACAGGGGTTCAGCCAGTCTTCGGCTGTTATGCAGTGTAATTTTATGGGAATAGTTTTATAATGTTAACATCTGTAGACTGAGAGCTTGATGAAGACATCACCCAGATTGCCTGGGAAACGCCACTGACTTTGGGAGCTAATTCTTGATAGGTAAAATATTTAGCTCTCTCTCTGTCTCTTTTTTTTCTTTGCCTAGATACAGCTACCAACCTTACCATTTCCATCTTTTATGGCAGATGAGCTATGTGTGTATTTTTTTTTATCTCCTTGCAGTATGCATTTTTGCAAGTTAGGGGATAAAGCCCAGGCCCTTGGCTTTTTAACTTTTCTGCTTCCTTGATATTTGTACATGAGATAAGATGTTAAAGGATTTCTCTTTACAGATTTCTGTTGAAGAGTTATAGAATTGACTGAATATTCATATGTGTACTGTCCTCTGCTTCATTAACTCTATGTTCATATTTCTTTTTCCCATGAAGCCTCTGTCGCCCATTTTGTTTAAAATTGCAACCTATTCCCACACCTTAAGCTAAATCTCCCTTACCCTAGTTTGTTTCCCATAGTAATGATCACTTTCTAACATACTGTATCATTTGTCATTTATTACGTTTATTGTCTGCCTCCCACCACTAGAATGTAAACTACAGGGAAGGATTTCTATCTGTTTTATTCACATTGTATCCCAAGTGCCTACAGCAGTGCTTGGTGCATAGTAAGGCTTTGATAAATATTTATTAAATGAATGCACTGACATCCTAGTGAAAAGACAGATACTGTAGTGTAGTGATGAAAAGCTTGGGCTTTGGAGTAAAACAAGCCTGGGTTTGAATCCCAGCTTTGCTGCTTACCAGCTGTGTGTCTTTAGAAAGTGATTTAACCTCTCTGAGACTCATTTTTCTCATCTATAAAATGAATATTATAGCACCTTGAAAGTGTGTTGTGAAGATAAAAAAAAAAGATAAATAGGCAATACAGCATGGTAGGTAAGAAACAAGGCTTTATCGTCCAATGGATATGGGTTCTGGGCTTTAGCTTCCAGTTATGGCTCTCCCATTACCTTATACAATTTTTAGAAGCCCTCTAAGCTCATTTTCTTTACCTGTCAAATGGGTATAAAATACTATGGCCTGCCTCACAGGAGAGTGGCCAGGATTAAAGGAGGTAATCTCTGCGTAGTGCTTAGCAGACTGATCAACTCGTAACAAGGGACTAATTAATTGAAGATGACGATGATGATAATGTTTGAAAGGTGCTTAGCTTTATTGCTCACACATCATAGTAATTGCTCAATAAATGGTGGCCTTGACAATAAATGAAGGACAACTTTATTAGAACTCTGGGAGCCTCCCAAATTTGCCATTTTCTTTTTGTTCTCCTTTCTCCAGGGGGAAGTAAGGCAAATGCATGAAGTTATCTTTGTGAGATACTTGTTTCAACTCGAAAATGAAACAGCAAGCAATTTTTGTGTGCCACACTTTTTGCCCTGTCACCAACAGTTCTGTTATGATTTCAGAACTTAATTTCTAATTTTTGGATGCAGTTGCACAGAGGCATTTCTTCACCACGTGATCACTGTGGGGGCTTAATATAACTCAGGCATTTGCTCAGCTGGTTTGGAGCTAATGGAATTGGCTGTAGTGGCTGTACTTAGGGGAGATTATAATGTCTCAAGGGTTTCATTGGCTTCCACTTCCTTCTGCAGACTTATAGTAAAAGACAAGAGATGCCTCTTCCTGGCTCTATTTCTCATTTGCTGTGTGACTCTCAGCAAGACACTTCGCTGCCGCTGAGAACCACACCCACTAAGTGGACGACCCAGTTATGAATCCTTGCTCCATTCTGCTGTATGACCCTGACCAAATTATTCAATGTTGCCATATCTTATTTTCCATCTTTGTAAATAAATAAATGTATATGACAAATAGAATGATCCTATACCTTAGGGCTTTGTGAAGATTAAATGAGATACTACATGTAAAGAGCACTTTGGAAGTACTCAATAATACTTATTATTATGTTTTCTGTATAAAAAATTGAAATGTTCTATTACCATGGTATTTTGTTTATAAACACTTTATATATATATATATATATATATATATATATTTTTTTTTTTTTTTTTTTTTTTTTTTTTTTTTTTTTTGAGATGGAGTCTCTCTCTGTCACCCAGGCTATAGTGCAGTGGCGTGATCTCGGCTCACTGCAGGCTCTGCCCCCGGGTTCACACCATTCTCCTGCCTCAGCCTCCCCAGTAGCTGGGACTACAGGTGCCCACCACCTTGCCTGGCTAATTTTTTGTATTTTTAGTAGAGATGGGGTTTCACCGTGTTAGCCAGGATGGTCTCGATCTCTTGACCTGGTGATCCGCCTGCCTCGGCCTCCCAAAGTGCTGGGATTACAGGCGTGAGCCACTGCGCCTGGCCCAACACTTTCTATATTTTAAAAGTTCTAGAACTTCGGCTTCTGCCCATGATGTCCTGTGGGGTCCTGAAAGCAACTGTTGAAGAATATCTTTGCTTGAAAAGAGCCACGAGTGACCACTGTGTCTTCCTACAAGTGGTCAGACACAATTGTCTCTTGATTATTTAGTGTAATGTAGGGGAATAACTGAGATTAACTGGTGGTTATGATTTTGCTTAAGGCAGTGTGATGAGGACACTAAGGTTAGGGCAGCTCCTGAGCAGGAGGAGGCTGCTATCCAGAGTCAGGAAGTCTCCCAAGGTGTTTTTTGCCTGGTGATCAGCTTTTGGCCAAAAGCCTATTACTCTCAGGTGAACCTGGCCCTGTTCTTGGTCCCAAAGCTCCCGGACCAGGCTGAGCTATAAAAATAGAATGCCAAATTATTGATCCTACAGTGTAAAATTAAGCTGTTCTATCCACTGGATAGGCTTGCCTAAGTTCCCCTTTAAGGCAAATTAAGTGACAAATCAAATTATTGGACAGTTGCTTGGTAAGTACAGAATTGATGTGAGGGGAGTTAAGTGATTCAAATGCTTATATTATCAGGCCCCGTTAGCCTGCTGTTCCACCTCTACAGTGCAGATCTATCTGTCAGGTGACCACTTGAGTGGGCACACAGGGCTTCCTGGCAACCCTGATTAGGTTCGGAACAAGCACTTCCATCATTTTTCTTTTTTTTCTTAGAGATGTGCTCTCACTCTGTCATACAGAGCTGGAGTATAGTGGTGCAATTATAGCTCACTGCAGCCTCGAACTCCTGGGCTCAAGCGATCCTCTCCCATCAGCATCCTGAGTAGTTGGGATTACAGGTGTGAGCCTCCATGCCAGGCTATACTTTATATAAAATTTTTTAGCTGACAGACTTCCTCCCCATATCCTGTTCTACATATTATTTTTTATTTAAATTCTATTTTTCATCAGAGTAAAACATGTATAATGTTTTACAAATCTAGTAATAGTATAGATTTGTACTGAAAACCAGTTTCTTGCCCCAATTTCCCCACTCTCCTTTGCTTCTTATGCTTCGGGAGCAGCCACTTTCAAATCTCTTGTTGATTCTACTAGTGACCCCCACATTTCTAACTGATATGCTTGAATTGCTGTTTCTTAATTTTTCTATTTTAGACATTATCTCATGTTTTCTATGGACGATGACCATAGGGTACTTACACCATTCTCTCCTTCCATTTCACTCTTCCCCTTCTTTTTTCCGGTATGATTATATCATAATATTCAGTTAATATTTACATTACTGTGACAATGTAAGCATTCATGGCAGAGCTACAAAATGTACCATGATTACATTTACTTTCTTCCTTCCTTTCTTGTTTGCATTTTAAAATTTATCTCTGGAACACACATTTCTCTACCCACATCTCCTATCTTTAAATCGATAAGGGCATATGAAACCATAATGCCTTGCCTTTACTACACCTAACAAAATTAACAATTCATTAATATCATCCAATACCCAGCCCAAAATCAGATTTCCCTGATTGTCTCAAAGATATCCTTTTACAGTTGATTAGTTTAAATAAGGACCTAAATAAGGTCCATAAATTGCATTTGGTTGTTATATCCTTTTACTTTCTTTTATTCTGGAGTACTTCCCAGAATAAAATAATAAATGTCACAAATAATGTCACAAATAATTAATAATTATGTCAGAAATAATTACTTCCTTACTCTCCTTTTATTTGTGACATTAATTATTTGGAGAAATTGGATATCAAATGCCCTATATTCTAGATTTGGCTGATGGCTTCTTCACCACGTCCTTTTAACTTGTTCTGCTAGATCTTATATTTCCCATAAACTGGTGGTTGCTGCTAAGGTTTGATTAGATTAGGGTTTAGAGGGTTTTGTTTTGTTTTTTCTTTTTAGGCAAAAACACTCTATAGGTGGTGCTAGTACTTCCTATTTTATCATGTCACAAGGCAATAATGTCTGACTATATCACCTTTAATGGTGATTAAGTTGATCAGTGGTTCGGGATAGTGGCAGCCTGATCTTCTTCCCATGACCAAGATTTCTGTCAACTTTTCACCTACTGGTTTTAGCACCCATTGATGATCATTGCCTAGATCCATTGTTTAATGAGACATATATTCTGTCCTTTCATTCTGCAGTTCTGTCCTGTGCCAGTGAGTGCTGATTATTATGCAGTTTAACTCCAGAAGGCCATCTTATTTTCCTCATTTCCAAGTCTGTGTTAGAGTCAGGGAGTTTCTCTGTGACCCTCATGTGCTACCTGAGAACTGACTAAATTTATATGAAAGTAACATTCTTATAGTTGTATTGATTAAAATTTTTATTTGAACCTCTAGTTGAGCTTTGCTGTTGGCTTTGAAAACATAATGGAAAAGTGGAAAGCATTCTTGTCAGTCATGTTGAAAAGTAACTGGCAGAAAAAGTGGACTTAAAAAAAAAAAGTAGTGGAACAAATAAGGGGACTCTGCTTTGGTTTATAATGCCTCCTTTCTCTAGGGTAGGAAAATTTTGAAGTCCAGTGGGGTCTCTCCTGCCTGCGAGGGAATTGGCGAGAAGCTATCAGGATACGCATGGATGACACACAGTCACACAGTCATTTGAGGACTTTTTGGTTGCTGTTTTGTTTTAGTTTTTACCCCCTTAGAGAAGTCTTTCATAAAAATTTTTCCTAAACCCTGTTGCATGCAAATTAGGGCTTTTCCTTTCCTCTGTAATGGGGCCTGATATTCTTTGATGTGTTGTAGCAGAATTTAGCTTCTAAATACAGTTTGAAACTAGCTCTCCACACACACACACACACACACACACACACACACACACACACACACACCCTTGAATTCTCAGCTGACATGTTATTTCTATTTTTTTGTCCTTACTGCAAGAACCTGTCCTGTAGGAACCAAGTTCAGTGGTAGGAGGAGATTATGTAGACATCTTGCTTCTACTTCCTGTAAAGTTGGATCATGCAGACATGAGATGCAGGTGAACAGGAGAAGGAAGTCCTCTCCAGTGTCTCCCAGCTGGGAGCCTGTTTTCATGCTTTTCAAAGAGCTCCTTTTTTGAGACAGATGAATCCCTGGTATAAATACCTGTGCTGTTATTATAGAAAGAGACAGATTGGTCACCTTGTTAATGACTTCCAGTATTCCAGAGTTCCTCCTCTGAAATACTCTGCAGATCCAAATTATCATAATATAGGGGCCTCTTCTGCCATTTAGAATGACCTTCCACATAACTCTCAATGTCCAAATTGGGCCCTTCCTTCAAGGCCCAGATCAAATGACTCCTCCCCTGAGTCTCCCATTGAGAAGTCATACCTTCCCATCTCCTAGCTTCCCATCCATCCTCTTTTCATGGATTACTTGCTACATTTCATTTTAGCTCATTTGCGTACTCATTTTACTTTTTTTTTAAACAGAAAAATATCAGTCTTATCTTTGTTTTAACCACGATTTGTATTTAATAAGTATTTTCATAACATTTTTAATTTTAATAATTAATTACTTGAGTAATTTTGTTTTCTGAGATATTCAGCTTTTATTTCAACTATGCTTCCAGTATCTACAGGGGAGTCTGTCAGTCACATGTTGAGCCAGGTTTTCTATTTCAGAAGAGGAAGGAAAAGAATGTGTAGGGGAATTAGTATGGAACTGGAGTGAGAAGAACTAGATTCAAAACCCGTCCCCACCACTTCAGAGCAACTGCTTTAGTGCAATTGGTATGTCAGCAGGGGCCTTCCCTCAAAAATACACAGCTCTGTAGCAAAAGTCATCTGTAAGACATATTTAAGACTTAGTTCATCAGAAAGAGGGTAGGGAAGAAAGGACTGTGTAGATTTATGAGCAGTGGTGGATGGCACAGGGATGGGGTCTTGGGCCCTCAAAGCCCTCCGAGGTAGTACTGGCTACTGGGAAAAGGATGTCGGGGAGCAGGTCCCACTTTTAGCTGCACTTGAAAAGATGAGTGTACAAAGCTTATGGAGTACTCAGGACGGAGAGAACATGGTGAGTGTTAGGGAAGGAAGCCTTAAATATAAACTTTACTCTTTAACCTCCTTGCAATCTCACTCTGAACCTCCTTAGTCCCAGGTATGGGTTTCTCTCACTTCTTACTTCCATAGTCCTCTCTTGGAAGCTCTTTGGCTGAATTAATGAAGGGGACCACTACTCATAAACCATAACCAGCACTTACGAGGAGCCTCACATTAGTAATGGACGACAACCCTCAGAGACAGCCATAGGTCCTAATGCTATTATTAATAGTCAAACCTGTGTAGAGAAAAAGGAGAAGCCAAGATCCAGTTCCACGGGACATAACAATTCACAAGCAGCTCATCCTTATTTCAGAAAGCCAGTAAGACCTAGCTTTCTCATGGAGGTTATTCTTTCACCGTCAGTCTGCCTCTTTTTCTGGGAGGTGCCCTCCCCTTCAGGATCAAGGAATGTAAAGACCATGAGATATGGAGTCAGACTTGGGTTTAGGCCCATTTATATGCTGTAAACTTTAGGCAAGTCACTTTTTCTCTCTGATACGGAAAGAGATATAATATATACCTTATTGATGTTGATAAAGATGTTCAGATGAAATTTTATATTCATATAAATGTGTATATTATATATATGGCCCGTTCATTATTTTAAAGCAATGTAAATAATTCTTATCTATTACCATAGTATTTCAAAGGCTACATCTTGCCACAGGTGAGAATCAGAGGTATGTTCTGGGGGTTTTTTTTGTTTGTTTTTGAGACAGAGTCTCGCTTTGTCATCCAGGCTGGAGTGTAGTGGCATAATCTTGGCTCACTGCAACCTCCGTCTCCCAGGTTCAAGCAATTCTCTCATGTGCCTCAGCCTACCAAATAGCTGGGACTATAGGCGCGTGCCACCATGCCTGGCTAATTTTTGTATTTTTGGTAGAGACAGGGTTTTGCCATGTTGGCCAGGCTGGTCTTGAACTCCTGGACTAAAATGATCTGCCCGTCTTGGCCTCCCAAAATGTTGGGATTACAGGCGTGAGCCACTGCGACCAGCCAGAGGCGTGCTGTGTTCTATTGGCTCTTTTGCCTACCAGTGCCAGAAATTTCCTACACTTCTTGGCATCTTGCTTTTCTCTCCTATGAAATAGGCAATACTAGTTGCCCTAGAGAAGAAATTTATCTAGAGAAAAAAATGTACAAGGTAGACACAGCTGGTGAGTTACCCTTATACTATTTCCAGTACTACCAATTTCATTTCTTCCAGAAGGATTTAGAATGCCACATAGTAGTTTTCCTGGTGCCATGCTTGAAATGGTGAATCTATTTGAAAGAAGGGATTTTGTAGTCACATTGATGTTGCTGCTTGCTGCAAGCCAGGCAAGTCACTTAATATCTTTATCCTTAAAAGAGGAATAATGTCACCTACCTCATGGTGTTACGATGAGGATGAAAGGAGGTCTGTAACTAAGGCACTGAACATGGTGTTTGATACTCACTGGGTACCCAGTAAATGTTAGTTTTCTTTGTCTAGACTATGTAGTGCTCTTCAGTTTTCACCCTGATCAAATTGCATTTGTTAAAAATTCCAAGTAAGACATGGCACTGGGTACTTTAAATAAAGGGGTGCTAAGGGAAGGTCAGCATGCGGTAGAGGGCTGAAAGAGCCAGTTACATTTGTTTGTTTGTTTGTTTTGTTTTGTAATAAACAACAGTGGCTTCTCATCTCCTTTCCCTGGTCCTGAGCCTGCTGAGTCACTGTTCCAGCCCTTGGGCCACATGATCTCAGGCTGTGTCTATGGAATACAGCAAAACCCACAAGAAACCAGCACTAATAGATGGCAGGTCATTTTGAGGGATTTTTCTTTGCGTTCCTGTGCTTGCTCTCCTGGTGAGATAGGAAACCTTTAATAAGACTTTTCCTAAATGATGTTGCATGTGAAATGCAGATTTTTTTTTTTCTGTTCTCCTAACAAATGACCATTTCATGAGGTTTCTTTTCATTTTTTCTTCTTTCCTGCTTCTCAGTACATTCCACAAAGAGCTTATTCCTCTGCTGGTTACTGATTGATGGTTCTACTCTGTATGCCCTTTAATTTTGCAATAAACCAACAAGGAGTTGAGACCACAAACTTAAAGAGAATTGACTTATTTGACTGGATTCACTGGAGCCAACAGGCAGATTTAGTCATTTCAGTGTGGTGCTAGGGAGGGCAGGAGGAGTCCATGAGAAGGAACACCGTGTTGTCAATAACCAGACAGAAAAAAGCTTGCTTGTCCTCTCATTCCAAAGCATGTGGGCATCTGTTCTCGGCAGTGATGCCTTTCCAGGCCTTGATGAAGGCAGGACGGCTTCCATGAGATTTGCTCAGAACTCCAGGATTCTGAATTCAGTGGGACTTTAGGTATGTAGGATTGGTAGTCAGTGTTTCCAGCTTCTGTGTCCCTTTTTTCAAAGGGATCATGGTATACCTTGAAGGACTGCAGGAACAGCCATAAACCCTCCTCAGTTACCAGTCGTTAAACAGCCTGGCCTCTTGGCTAGATGACTTCAAAGACCAAAGACAAACCCCTGGCCCTATCACCTCTATCCTAGCTGAGTCTTTAACATAAGGCCAGGACCTCTGTCAGGTTATAGAGGTACTAATATACTTCATGCGCTGGTTCCCAAATATATTAAGAATTAATTATTTTTTTTCTTATTTAGCACTACCATTGTACAGAGCAACCCATCCGAAAAATAAATACAAATATCATTTCAAATAGGAAAAACAAGAAAATATTTCTTAAACTAAAGACCTTTAGTTTTAGAGGTATGCATTTGAAAACACAGATACTATCATCACGTATATTTAAGACTGGTTCCAGACCCATGCTGCTCTCTGTGCGTTGAAATGAAACTGAGAAGACAAATGCCCAAATGGAATTTTTCCCACCTGTGAACTCCTATTCCAGATCCCAGTGTTGTTTGTGGCTCTTCCACATTTAACCAGCTAACTGCCTGCTCTTATTCTGTTCTTATGTGACAACCAATCTTCTGAAACTCTCGTCATCACATTTCAGCAGAAGTGAAAATATTAGCAGAGTGGTTGGTGGCCAAGACAGAAATAGAACCCAGGAGTCTGTGTCCTTTCCCTTGCCGGACCTACTGGAGCATGGTTCCTCCTGCCTGAAGACTCAGTGTTTCCAACTCTAACAAACAGAATTCTAACAGTTGACTGGTTTCTTCTTGCTACTCAAAATTTGTTTTATACTTAAACATTTTGTACAGTTTTTTCTTTATGAATGATTTTGCATTAAACAAATGGGACTTGGTTAATCTGATATCAGTGAATGCCTTATTCTGAGGAAATTAATCCACAAATATCCGTGGGACCATGAGTTTTCATATTGAGAACCTTTTTATGTGATAGACTAGAGAGCCAGGTAGACCAGGTCTGCGTCTGGTGCTCCCATGTGCCAGCTATTTGATCTCAAAAAATACCTCAACTTCTTGAACCTCAGTTTCCTCATCTTTACAACCAGGATGATAACGTTTACCTCACTGAGTTGTGAGGATAAAATAAGCCAACACAACTCAAGCAATTGGTAGGGGTCTGACACATAGGAAATGCTTAGTGAACGTGAGTTTCCTCTCTTCCTCCTTCACTCCTTTAGAATAGGGTTAGAGATGTAGAAACACATAAAATCTCATGAAATGTGCACCATAGAGAGAGAAGGATAACACAAATGACATAAAAAGTCTTGTACTAAGTTACTTGGTATTGATTCTAAAGTCAGGGTATTATCTAGGGCAAGGTGGCTCACACCTGTAAACCCAGCACTTTGGGAGGCCAAGGCAGGAGGATCACTTGACCCTTGGAGTTTGAGACCAGCCTGGGCTGGGAACATAGGGAAACTCCGTCTCTACAAAAAATAAAACATTGGCCGGGTGTGGTGGTGCATGCCTCTGTTCCCAGCTCCTCTTGTGTCTGAGGTGGGAGGAACGCTTGAGCTCAGGAGTTCAAGGCTGCAGTGAGCCGTGATTGCACTACTGCAGTTTAGTCTGGATGGCAGAGCAAGAGCCTGTCTCAAAAAAAAATGAAAAAAAAAATAGAAGAAAAAGAAGTAAAGTATGAGTATTAAGAAGTGAGAGAAAAGTTAGGGCTAGAATAGTTAGCAAAGATATCATGGAAAAGGTAGGATTTGAACTGGCCCCTCAAAGATGGAAACTTACAGAGTAAAGGAGGCTATTTCAGACTGGGGCATTTGGGGTGGGTAAACCATGAGAAATAGAGAAATTAGAACGAGAATGTTATAAGCCTTGGTTTTCCTATTGGAATAATTGAACGCAATAGAATAATAAGTAAAAGGATAATATTAATATGTGTTAGGCACTGTCTTAAGTGCTTTATATGCTAACTCATTTATCCTTAAATAGGTAAGATTGCTATGCCAATTATACAGTTGAAGAAAGTGAGGCACAGAGACATTAACTAATCTACCTGAGTAGGTGTGGAATAAATAATCTACAACTAGTAGGCAGTGGAGCTGAGCTGGAAGCCCAGGGGATCTGACTCCAGAGTCCACCCTCCTAACCCAGGACAGCTGCTTCAGTCACTTCCCAGCTCCCCTCACTCTGCATTGAGGATCAGCTAAGACCATTCTGTGAACATACCCTGAAAAGTATAAAGTACCATATACGTGTAAAATGACATGGTTATTCTTATTAATGATGTCATATGAGAGGCGACAAATAGCTACCTGAAAATGAGGGAGAAAAACTATGGTCTAGCACCCACATGCAGTTGTACTGGGCAGGTTTAGCCAGTGCACAGCATATATGCCTCACCTTCCTCTCTAGCGACTCTTGAGTCCTGAAAGCCTCACGTTTCCCATTTGGACAGTGTTCCAGGAGGCCATTTCCAAGCCAGTATCAGAGACTAAAAACCTGTTTGGCATCTGGCAGTAGGGCTTGTGCCTCAAGTGTGATCTGCCTTTGGCCAGGACATCCTTTTTTTTTTTTTTTTCTTTTGAGATGGAGTTTTGCTCTTGTTGCCTAGGCTGGAGTGCAATGGCGTGACCTTAGCTCACTGTAACCTCCACCTCCTGGGTTCAAGCGATTCTCCTGCCTCAGCCTCCCCAGTAGCTGGGATTACAGGCACGCACCACAACGCCTGACTAATTTTTTGTAGTTTTAGTAGAGACAGGGTTTCACCATGTTGGCCAGGCTGGTCTTGAACTCCTGATCTCAGGTGGTCCACCTGCCTCGGCCTCCCAAAATGCTGGGATTACAGGCATGAGCCACCATGCCCAGCCTCAGGACATCCTTTTTAACGGGCTTGTACCACATGATTGGGAGTTTGAATGTTAGTAACCATGATAGAAGATCTCCACTCCAAGGGCATCACCGTGGGAGGAAGCCTGCCCCTACTTACCATGTAAATATTTAGCCATTTCAATATATTTGTTCTGGACTTGTTCTTCTTATGTGTGTCTCCTGTGTTGAGTCTGTTTAATTGTAGGTTATTATTGTGTGTCTATATTGATGTCATTTCTTTAAGTACAGACACAGACAGCATTGCTTCAGCTGCCCCCACCCCTCCTTTTAAAAATAACACCTTACACAATATCCCTTCCTTGAGGACATCAAATAAATAACTTTTGTTCAAGAGCATATCTGATGAGGTGGCTAACTTGGAAATTTGTTCCTAGGCAGACCTTGTGACCTCTGTTTCAATACATAGTGAGTGGCCTTTGCTCCCATTTTATGCTACAGATTCACTCTGGAGATAGAATTGGTTGCACCTCTCCAGGCAGTGAGTTTGGAGAGCCCTTGGTGGTTAGGATGCCATTTGTGCTGGTGGCACAGAAATACAAGCAGTAAGCCCAGAGTTGCTTACTCTCCACTGGAGGTTTCTCAGAGGCTGGGGGGGACCCGAGACTCCTCTGCTTCAACTCCGCTCTACTATATGCCACTGGAAGTGTAGCTGAGGCTGAAGGGTATCAATGTTGGTATTTATCAGGTTGGACTCCCCCAAGTGCCCTATTTTCATACCTCCAAGGAGCAAGTGATTCAACAGAACTGTTTTCTTGGCCTCAAATGAGTCTAAGAAGGGGAAATCACTTAATACCAGCCGTCTGTGAGGGACCGATCACAAAGCTGTGTCTTTCTAATCCTCCTTGTAAATCAAAGGGAGGGGAATCCCCAGAGCCCAGGAGTACACATGAATAGAAAGCACCACAGGTAATAAAAACACCTAAAAAGGTCAGCAGAAACTCGGGGAGCTGCTGGAAATTCACCTCCTCTGCCTTTCTATGGGACTCAGTGGGCAGTGATCAGGTAGCAGGCAAGGATACCCAACTACACACCAAAGCAACTTGGCCACAGGACACGTACAGTGCAGCAGAAGGCTGGTAGGATAGTTTCTTCCACATCCATGTGAACCTCAGAGTCATCTGACCATTGGCCTTGTTCTCTTCCAGGTTCTAGCTGGCCAGAGACTTTTTTGGCCTCATACTAACTGCAAAATTGCACACAGTTGGCGAATACACCACTGGAAGCCACTGTGGCTGCATTGTCACAGTTCACCAATTGTGCATGTTATTTCCTGCAGTGGGCCCAAGATCACTGACAGGATGCCGTCGGGGTTGGGCTGAAGGTGGAAACAGCACACTAGCTTGCTGTTTGTGGCCTCTTTACAACTGCCGGCCCCATCTGAGATCCGGAACCAACACGTGCTAACCTCAGCCCATTGGGGCCAGTGGGGCAGCCAGCAGTGGAACCATAGCTCTCCACACCTATGTCTATGGCACGGTAGCTGCCGGCCCACAGTTTCCACTGCATCCCCTTGCATGTGCACCCCAAGAGAAGTAGGCCAAAGAGAAAGCTGCCTTAGGGAGCCACATGGTTATCTTGTGTGTTTACTTTTGCCAAATGGCAGACACAATTCTACTTCAATGCATTTTTCTGAACTCAGTGGTCAAAAGTAGCACGGAAGCACTACTTGCGTCAGCCCCCTCTGTGATTGAGCGAGTGTGTGCTTGTGCAAAGCTGAGGAGATTTTTTTTCACCTCCTCCTTCTGCATTCCCTCAGACTGAGCCACTCTCTTCTTTAGGGGCTCCCCTACTAGGCAGAGTGTTTCTCTAGCTTTGCCTGTGGATTTCACAGTGAAATCTACAGAAGACAGTTTTCCTCAGGGCTGATAATAAGAGGTATGAACTTATTAAGATTGGAAGCATTCTCACCATAAACACAAATTATTTCAAGTTGCTCCTTCATCCCCTTTTCCTTGGCCACTGCCATTGGTTCTGTGTAGGATGGATTTCTTAAGGTTGAAGATAAGCAATGCAAAGGTGGAATTTTGAGTACAGCACTCATCCTAATGTGGGTGAAATATATGAAACATTTATTCTAAGCAGACTGCTACATTAACAGTTGTTATACATTCATTCTCTGCATATCTTTTGTGGACTCAACACTTTTAGGTACAGAGAGGTTAGGAGAATTTCCCAGAATTGCACAGCAGGTTAGTGACAGTGCCAGAAATAAAAGTCTGCCTGACTCCCACACCCATGTTTTCTTCAAGCCAAATTGAAGTTTGGCCTCTTCTCCACAAATATTTCACAAGAAAAATTCCCCACAGCCTTTCAGAATTTCCCAGAAAACAATTGTTGTGCAGTCCTTCAAGATGGAAATGGCAGGCTGGAATATTGAAACCTTATCAGCTTTTATTCTAGAACTGACAGTTGATATTTTCTGAGCTGAAGCTAAGATAAAAGTTTATTTTTGTGTTTTTTTTTTTTAATCGTGGAATGATTTTTGATTTTCCAGAGCATGGCAAAACTAAGCCAGCAAATACTAAAACCACATTTGTTTTTGTGACGCTCAAACTCCGTAACAAATATTGGGTATCTCTATACAAAGCTGGATGTGGACAGGAAGGGTTTGGGATGGGGAGAGGCATGCGTCTGGGAGCGTGGCCTTTCTGGACCTACCCTGTTCTCACTCTCTTCCTTCTGCCTCTTGCCCTCATTGCTTTCCTTATTCTCTTTCTTCCTCTTGTCTCCTTCTCACCTCCAGCTCCTACCACAGCAGACAGGTTGGGGCAGACACCGTCATGGTTGGGGAGCAGGAGGACAGCATGGGGAAAACCACTCCAGGCCTTTCTCTCAAACCTTAGTGATGAAAGGACTCAATGGACCTGAACAATTTCTCACAGGAAAGTTCCGGTCTCTGTCTCCTTAAAAGCAAGGCATTCAGTAACCCTTAACAGAGCCAGGATTAAAACTTGAATTTCTGACTTATCCCAGGCCTCTGTTTGGATAGAAAGGCTAGGTCACTGTCATATATGGCAATTAGGATCACTTCAGATACAAAAGTAACATTTTTAAAGCTGTGCCTTAAGCAGAGAGACCATTTTTAGTACAAAAAGGAAAAAAAGATTAACTGTGCCTTCAGAGCTGATGAAAGGCAGAGCCTCGTCACTTTGAAAGCATTGGATTTAGTGCCAGGCGGGTTGGTGAGTAGACTCAGCACCCACATTCTCTTCTTGCGTCTCTCTCTGGCCACCCAGATTATCCAGGGGCTGCTGTTTACTTGAGAGCTAGAAGTATCAGGACGGACTATCACTGCACCTCGCCATCCTGGCCCAGTTAAAGTGATTTTGAAACTTCCTGATGTGTGTTAGATTGTGGCAGGTTTCTGCCAGGGAGTGGGCGGGAGGAGGAAGCAGGTGTTTTTATGGGCTAGAAATGCCCCTGAGATGCCTGAGGTTGCTTCGTGAATCCTCTAGCCCAGCCTACCCCTTCAACTCTGTTGCACAGAGACATGAGTTCCATGAAAAATTTAGTTTCAAAACTTCCCGTGGGCGCCGGAAATGATAACCACATGTTATCAAGAGCCACTGAAAACCACCAAAAATTTGTCAAAATTCATATAAGATTGCCTCACATACTTGACTTTCATAGAAGCGGAAGCCATTGACCTACTTGATTTATGGTATTTATTAGCAGAGTCTGAAAAGACTTTTATCACAAGATTGATCTTGTTACAGTGTAGCATCTTGACCATCTTTCAGTGTATTTCTGGATATTAGATTTATTTGTTTATTACTTTTATAGGTGGAATTCTCTAGACCATGACATTAAGGCCTGGAGAAGTCACCTGTCAGTAGATCTGAGCTGAGAGTTTCTCTCTCTTCTCCTGTGTCCCATGTTGCCTTAGGAAGGAGAGCAGGCAGGGAAGCCTGCATGCCCTTATCTCATCTGTACTATTGGTCTTAGGTGACTCCAGTTCACTTGGTGGAAAATGGGGATTACAAAATTTGCCTCTCAGCTGCCCCCACAGAAATCTCAGTGATGGCGTTTGTCAGATTCTTGGGTCCTTAAAAAATCTGACTTTTAAATATCGAATAATTATTTTGCTGATCATGAATATCTCTTCTGCTGACCAAACAGGACCAGATATCACATTCCAACCTATTCTATCCCTGGCTGACCACAAACTCCCTCTTCTTTGTCCCCCACCAAAAGTCAGGTAAAATGAGCTGTTTCTATCAAAGGCTGTGTCTTCAGGCCTGGCCATTTCCCACTCAGGTCTCCAGTGCTATCCAATTTTCTCTTCACCTGTACATTCTAGTACTCATGGAAGGCTCCAGTATACAAAATGGCTACTCATGGGGCCCCCTCCCCTTCCACCCCACCAAAGATATTTCTAACCTTCAATGTAGAGTAAGTTAGAATTGACATATACATTGTCCCTTAAAGGCCAGGAACATTAAGCTTGAGCAGAGGGTAGGTGTAGCCTGGGTATAGTCTAGTCATAGCCTAGCTAAAGAAAGATGAGTCAGCTGAAGGCAGAGGGTCTGCATTGGGCACATAGACTGGCAGAGAGTTGGGCTCAGTTGGCTCAATCCTCTGACTAATGACCAGTTAATTCTGCTTATTCTCTCTTAACTCAAGGTATTTGCTGCCTTAAGCTACTTTTTAAATACTTAGTGGAAATAAGTCATCTATTTTCATTAGTGTGTGTGTTGTGTGTGTGTTGGTTGGATTTTCCTGGCCAGGAGCCTCTGCCTTCTGACCAAAATGACATTGATTCCCAGCCTTCTGCCTTAGCAGTTCATCCCATCTTTAACTGGTTCCCCTCTATCTCTTTTCTCTAGCTTATATGCCTTGCTGGCTGTGAAAGGAGGACCTACTGGGTGGTCTATGAATCTATACCCCGTATTTCTTTTTTAAAGATCTTAATTTTTCTCCCTATTTTTCCTTGTGGGAAGGCATTAAAAATGGGACTCAAGGTCTATGTGACACTATATGAGGTGCCATTTCCTATACAGGTGCACCTCTGTAAGCAGCATACAGTTAAGAGGGCAATGCAAAGAAGCTTTGGGAGTAAGCATTCTCTCATATATAAAGTTGAGTTGAGACAGAAGTTACTTTATACAAATATAGGGTTTCTTGTTCCTTCTAATAGGTGGATGGTATTCTTCTTCCTCGAGAGAAGCTGATTAAGTTGGATTCTGTCTATTCCTGGCTTCAGACCTAATCATGACCATTAAAAATATCTATCTTTTCCTTTGTCCAAGAATCCCACTCTGGTCTTGCATTGTAATTGGTGGTGTTGGGGGTGTGTTGCGTGTTTTCAATAAGCCTTATTTTAGGGAAATAGCAAAAATAGCATATGTACTTTCAATTAAATTGTTATTGCTTTTGAACATATTGACAGCAAATATTTGTTATTTGTCAGTAGTGGCCTATATGCTGTATAAAAGGGAATCAGGCATGGGTTTTATAGCTAAACAAGCAAGGTATAAATCAGCAAAGGATAACTAATGACAGTGGTGGGGTAACATTTTCCATAGGCCGGGTACTGTGCTAAGGACTACCTGTGCGTTATCCAGCTGAATCCTCAGAACCATGTGAGCTAAGTATTATCATACCCAGAGAGACTATGAAGCTTGCTCCATGTCACACAGCGAGTAAATGGTAGAGCCCAGGATCTAAGTTCAGGTCTGATTCCAAAGCCCTTGTCCTAAACACTGTGCAAATTGCTCTTACACAAATTTAGTACTGAGCATCAGAAGACTCAGTCTTTCCCATGGAGCAAAGCAGCAGGAAAACCCCATGAAGCGTCAGTTAGAAACCAGACTGTGTTGAGTCTGTTTATAAATTATAATAGTATTTCATGTGTTATTTTAAGAGTATAGTTTTCAAGTCTCTTGATTGCCTCAGAGGAAAATATACCTATAGTCTTCTTCCCAAGTTGTGATGATTGTAATCAATGCTTTGGGAAATGTTTTCATTCTATCCTTTTTGCTGAAAACAGATTTAGAAAACCACAACAATTCAGTAAGATGGCATGATTAGCAAAGCCCTGAGTTTGGTTGCTATGTATCCCTTTGGTGATTTGGCTTTAAGACATGTAATTAAAAGGGAGAGGATTATTAGCAAAATAAGTTAGGAGCTTGTTCTTTTGCCATTGGGGAGTGAATATTTTCTTCCCCATCTACTCTTTCACCAGAAGTGGAAATGATGCTGGGTATCTTTTGAGGTATATCTGTAGTTCAGTTTTAGGTTCTGTAAGGTAGCATTTCATTAGTTCTGTACAATAAAACCGTCATCTCAGTACAGGTTTCCATTACAGAACCAGTGAAGTGAGAATAAAACTGAGGAAAAGTGGTCTAAATATTTTAGTCAGTGCCTTGTCATTGAATTTGTAAGTTTCTGGAGCATACAGTACCTTTATATCTTGATTTCCCCCATGTATATGGTGACATGCTTTGCATGGTAGGTATTAAGTAAGAATTTTTTTCTCATTACTATTAACCATATCATTGGAGTCCCAATCATTTTCACCAAGCCATCATTTAAAAGAATCACAAAAATATTAGAGCTGACACATTTAGATCTCTCAGAAGTTCCACATTTTTTTTAACTAAGATAGACAAATACATTATTCAGTTTATTGGTAGATAAAGCACATAGTATTTTCAGAGCAATGTCAGTATCTTATTGGCCTTGATTTAAATGACTATATTTTTCTTACTAAGATTTTTACACAAATTCTTTGCAATTAAATAAAACTTAGGAAGGACTAAAATAGGTAGAAATGATCAGGTACCAAAGTATATCCTGATATAGAAAATTGTGATTTAGTGTTCTATTGTTAGAACCAACTGCCTGGAGCCTATGGCATATACTAATTTATTAACCTGTATATGCTCATTCTGAAGGAAATAATAACAATAACAACAATTGCTTCTATTTATTGAATATTTACTATGTGTCAGATACTTTAAGTATCTTACATTGATTGTCTCATTTAATTCTCATAAAAATTCTATGAGATAGATATTATTTTACCTATGAACAAATGAAGCTCAAAGGTACACAGGATCAAAATTGGAATTTGAACCCAGTTTTACTGAACTTCAAAGCTCATACCCTATATTATAAAAGAGAAATGGCCGGGCATGGTGGCTCATGCCTGTAATCCCAGCACTCTGGGAGGCCGAGGTGGGTGGATCATTTTAGGTCAGGAGTTCTAGACCAGCCTGGCCAGCATGGTGAAACCCCATCTCTACTAAAAATACAAAATTAGCCGGGCATGGTGGCACAAGCCTGTAGTCCCAGCTACTTGGGAAGCTGAGGCAGGAGAAATGCTTGAACCTGGGAGGCAGAGGTTGCAGTGAGCTGAGATCACGCTATTGCACTCCAGACTGGGCAACAGAGTGAGATCCTGTCTCAAAAAAAAAAAAAAGAGCAATGAACACAGTTCCTTATTTATACTCATAGAGCTGAACAGTTATTTCAAGGAGGCTACTTGACCATTTCCAGCCACTTTAATTGAAGACATATCTTAGGTGATTCTCACCAGTCTATGGAAAGTAGCAATACGAAAGAATATGAGAGATAAGATTAGCAAATACTGAGTGGAATCCTGCAATATCTGATTATTGCTGCAGAGTGACTGGAGACTCACAAGCCCAGTGGGCACACAGAACTTAAAAGATTGTCTTTGCTACTCGAGTAATTCATTTCTTTACCTGACCTTGCCGTCCCGGTCCCTCTCAGCCCTCAATTAAGCTGCCATTGATATAGGATTTATAATGTGTCACTGGTCCATTCAGGATACAGTGACAGAGGTGTGGCTGAAAAGCTGGATAATAAAAAATGGAGGCAACTTCCATTTCTGTTCAAATCAGGGTAGCAACAAAACCATAGCTGACCCTTGTTTCAGACCAGCACAGTCCAGCTAGACAAATATTCCAAGCACTGAATTGTGCACTAAATGCCTAGTGCCCCTTTCAGAAGGGACATTGCCTCTGAGTGACCAAGATGCTCATAGTTTCTTCCCACGATGAGAACATCTAAACCTTGGAAAATGATTGTGGTATTCATTATGTTATAATTTTCCAGAAAAGAATCTGTATTTATTCTTCCTCTAGGCTTCTAAACAATAAGGTAGGTTTTACAAATGAGAATTTTTTAGGAATAGTTTCTTGACTATACCAAATTTGAAAATTTGTGTGGCATTCGACCACATGAATTAGGTAGTATTAGAGTCCTTTCCAGGGATCTTAAATGTTATGAACTTTATTTTGTATAAGTAGGATTATGCTCATTTGTGTCTTAAATACACAGTGAGACTTTGGACTTTTTTTTGTTAGAATTTTATGTTAGAATTTAACTATTTAAAAGAGGAGTGTTATTTCTTTAGAGTCAAACTCATTCATTCCTATATCACAAATTTGGAAATAAAACTCTGACTTTTAACGATAACAAGCAAAGAAGCCACAGGCATCCAAATTTTATTTTATTTATTTATTTTTATTTATTTATTTATTTATTTATTTGAGACAGAGTTTCTCTCTTGTTGCCCAGGCTGGAGTGCAATGGCACGATCTAAGCTCACTGCAACCTCGGCCTGCCGGGTTCAAGCAATTCTCCTGTCTCAGCCTCCTGAGTAGCTAGGACTACAGGCGCCTGCTACTATGCCCGGCTAATTTTTGGTATTTTTAGTAGAGACAGGGTTTCTCCACATTGGCAAGGCTGGTCTCAAACTCCTGACCTCAGGCGATTCGCCCGCCTCAGCCTCCCAAAGTGCTGGGATTACAGGCATGAGCCACTGTGCCTGTCCCCAAATTTTAAATTATTAATTGTATTCAACACCAGTAATATCTTAGGTTGTGGTTGCAATTTTATTTTATTTTGTTTTTAATTTATTTTTATTTATTTATTTATTTTTGAGATGGAATTTCGCTCTTGTTGTCCAGGCTAGAGTGCAATGGTGCAATCTCGGCTCACCACAACCTCCGCCTCTCGGATTCAAGCGATTCTCCTGCCTCAGCCTCCCGAGTAGAGTAGCTGGGATTACAGACATGTGCCACCATGCCTGACTAATTTTGTATTTTTAGTAGAGACTGGCCTTCTCCATTTGGTCAGGCTGGTCTCAAACTCCTGACCTTAGGTGATCCGCCTGCCTCAGCCTCCCAAAGTGCTGGGATTACAGGCATGAGCCACTGTGCCTGGTGGATATAACTTTAAAAATTAAAGTCTGATAAAATGTGTACATGTGCATTTAATTGTGGTTAGCTGCCTATTATTTAACCAATATGATAACACCCCTCAGTCCCAACTTACTCAGCATTTAGAATGAATTGATAGAGGTTTTACTCTGAAAAAAGTCAGTCTATTTCCTCAGTTTTCTGGGTTTTGAATAACTGCTAGGCCTTGCCAGATAATTCTGGCCTAAAGATAAAGCTGGTGAAAGTCAGGGCTGGGGTTTTGCTACCTGTGTATTTATCAGTCTTCTCCTAAACCATAGTCTGCCTTTTGATAGCTCTAATAATTAATTTGGTCTTCCCTGTCTTTCTTCTCCCTTGCCCCCTACCCCTTCTCCCTGTCTGTTCACAGGTTATCTTGACGAATCAGATTACAACCCATCTGAGTGGAGCCCTGGCTTCTCAGGCAGACCTGGTGTCTCCAGCTGATGATTTGTCCCTGTCTGAAGGTAAGGAATCTGTCCTGGAGAGGCTGAAACTTGACACTGACATAGAGCCCCACTGCCTCTCCACCTCCTGTTGAGAGCTGGGAGATATGGCTAATAGGCCCTGGCCAGTGAACCCAGCCGGAGCCTGTTGATTTAGGTTTGGCCACCTTTCCTGGCATCTGATCTCTTATATTGGGGAGTCTTTTGCCCTGCCTCTATAAGGGAGCTCCATTTGGAGGCCAGTCACTCCTCTGTGTGTTATTTCAAGTCCTTAGTATGAGGGCTGATGAATTGTTAAATGACTTTGTTTTTGAGACTGATACTCAAAGGTTGGCTTTCCCAGTGGTCCCCTAGCAATTTAGCCTTTTGCTTGTGCTGAGTTCTTTTGGACTAAAAAGCGTACATCAGTTTCATGTGCCAGAGATATGACATTCCTGATCAGCTTTACAGAAGATTAAGAAAAAAATCTCCACGCTGGTAAATCTGCAAAATTTTCTCCACCCTCCCCTGCTAGCAAAGGTCAGGCTGGCTATGGTTTCGATGGCAATAAGCTTTACGTAGCTGGGGAAATAACACCAATAAACCAGAGGGTGGTTTCTAGTTTTATTGAAAGTGCTTACTTGACATTTCTGAGTTGTTATCCTTGTAGTCTAGTATCTTTCATGCAGAATGCTGTGGGTCTGGGTAGACATGCATAGCTCTTCCAGGCCCCTCCTCCCTTTCCACTTTCTGAGAATTGCTCATGAAGGAATACAGGAGACTTTTAGGCCTAGCAAGGCTCCTGGATGGCTGCCCAGGTGATCTTCTGCAGATCAGCTTTGCTTTATGGTCTTAGAAATTGCAAGAACCACACCTCTGCTTCTTAGTGGTGGCTTTAGGAGGGAAAACTAGTGGCTAATTTATGAAAACTGTACAATGCTTTGTGTACGCTCCTTCCAAGTTCAGGGATACATCATCATAACCCCTATCAGCGAGGCTGAAAACCTGAATCATCGAGCATTCCTCCCTCCTGAAACTTTTGTCATCAAGTCTGCTTAGTACTTCTTTCCGCATGTATCTTTCCTTTGTCCCCTCTTTTTTGTAATGTGTGTTGTGATCAGCAGATTTACTAAACTCCCAATTGAATTATTTTAATAACATCCAGATTGGCCTTCCCAGCTCTAGCCTCTACAGTTTCCATTCTGCCACTACCAAATTGAACTTCCCCGTCTGGCCTTGTTCTGCTCTGTTGCTCTCCTACTCAGAAATCTTAGAATAGTTTTTTTTGTTTGTTTCTTTTTTGTTGTTTGTTTTGTTTTTGTTTTTGTTTTTTCTGAGAATGAGCTAAAATCAGTAAGCTGATTTTAACATATTTAGGGATTTGGGATTTGTTAGCTTGAAATCAGCCATGGTGAAAGTATTTATACCATGGAAATCAGCAAATGCTGAAAATCAGGTGGCTTGTTTTTTTATTTCCTCCCTTTGCGTAGACTGGTTTTCAAAACACCACTAGATAAAGTGAATGATTTCAACCCTTCATAATCTGTCATTTCCTTTCTATTCAAATTTAGTTCCTGCCGATATCTTAGGTGAAGCTCCTATGCCAAGTGTGCCACTCTTGGCCTGCCCCTCCCCACTCCCAGCTCCAGGCCTGTGCAGAGACAGCTCACCTAGAACAGTGCTTCCCCCTTTCACTTCTTCTGCTTCTCGTCCCACATCCACTCCTTCGAGGCTTATTTAAAGACTGCCTCTTTCACAGAACCTGCTTGCCTATGGTCTCAGTCTCTTTTTCCTCTGTGGCCGCTCTATCTGCTCAACTGTATAAAGAAAAAGTCTAGAAAATTAATTTAACTTTTCATGTTTTTCTGCCTAAATTGGCAGATTTTAAAGACACGACCATGTCATATTCTTTTTGTATCCATGTTGTTATCCAGTGACTAGCAAAGTTCTAGACACATACTAGGCAGTAAATAAATGCTGAATGAATATCACAGTAAATACTTCAGAAGAACAGTGACCATGAGAATCATATAAAGCACCTATGAACATTGTTAAAAATTGTTATAATTATTACACACACACATACACACATATACACACACACTTAATTCAGCTCTGAGGAGACCAGAATAGAGTAAACTGCTTCCTTATTTGAAAATCAGTAAGTACTTTTATTTGTGTTGCCTTCCTGGTTTATCTTAAGCAAAGAAGAAGAGCAAAACACATAGAAAAGAAATTGCTTCAGGGTTGCAGTATAACTGCCACAAGAAACCCCTGACTTGTGTTCATAGCAAAGGAAGAGTTACCAGGTTATCCTCCCAGAAATCCAACAAAGAATGGAAATAATTGATTTTTCTAGATTTTTTTTTTGTATAGCTGAGCAGATAAAGAGGCTATATAAATATATTCCTATAGTCTATAATGAAGGTTTTTATTAGTGGATTAAAATGAACAATGTCTTAGAACATTTATAGCCATTCAAATATATTACAATGGATGTTAAGTTCCTGTGATTTACACACACACAGACATGCACACGCATGTATAAATTGCTCTGTTTTGCTTCAAGCATTCATTGTATCAGCTTTGCCATTGTGTTATTAACTGTGGTGTTAGGCAGGCCCTTTTGATGACTTTGGGTCTCAGTTTCTTCTGTTACATGACAGGTTGGAAGAATACAAGATTGCTAAAGTGTTTTCCAGCTCTAGCATATAAGATCATGAGGTAGGTCTGAAGGTCAGGAGCATTCACCCACTGATGGGGTTTTAATTCTGACTTACAGAGTAGGAAGAATGGCCGTGTTGCTGATGTTGCCCTAGATTAAACACAATAAAAAGGATCTTTAATAAATCTTAGCACTGATACTTCGGCATACCTGCAGGAGCCTTTCCTCCCTGTATGTTTTCTCTTTGTCACTCTGGGGACACTTCTGGTCTTGTCTGTCTGTCTCTTGCTCTCTCTGCCTCTCTCCACACAAAGGTGTACAAAATCAGAAGTGTGTGCAAACCAGTGAGAATGAGAAACACACTGGGATGGGGTGACTGGTCAATTTGCATAAGTTCCAAAAGTTCCATTCTCCCAATAGTTTGTGAATGGGATAGTTTGTGAAAGGCAGGCTGCAAATTGACAAGCACACTGCAAATATGAGGAGATATTTTAAGTAAATAGAGAAAATTCAGTTTGCCCTCTCATTCCTTCTCAAGGCACAAAGCTCAGGGGCAGGAGCAATGCCGGGAAAGTCCTTGGCCCTTGGGGTGTACTTCTCCCTTCTTTGGCTCTCCCACCTGGGAGCTGGATAACTCAACAGTGGAATGAAACCTCAATGAAGGGAATTATACCATGATGTCAAGCAGTGAACATGAGTCTACTTAATCCAAGCCAACAACTCAGCCACAAATTTAATAAGGGTGGTGGGGCGGGGAGACCCAGCAACACAAAAACAAAGAACTCTCAACTTTACAAACACTGGGAGGGCAACAGCTGGTCAGCCGAGATTAAAGGAGCGTGAGAGAGCACCTCCCATCTCCTGACTTCTCCTCCCCCATAGACGTCCCTGCAGCCAGCCAGGGCTCGCTTTTTACAGCCCTGTGCAGATGACCTTGTTCCAGCTAAGATAGGAGCTCTTTTGATCTCAGCAGGGGGATGCTCTGGGCCTGCAGCTGGCAGATATTAATAGTACAGGATCTGTTGGGGTGGAAGAGATCTCTCGGTTGGGCCAGGTCACTTGTATTCCCTCCTCTGCATCAGAGCAGAAGGGACTTCATTTCCCTGAGTCAGCCCCTGCTGCGTACTACTCCTCTTAGGTCAACTCAGATCATTTTATCGCTGGCTGCTCTTGGCTGCTTGTTCTCACCTCACAACTGTTTTCAAGGGAGCACTGTTTAAGCAGTGTACTGTGCACTGCAGCTGAAATCTATTACAGGACAGGGTAGACCTTGCCCCCCGCCCCCAAATCCCAGTGTGTGTCTCATACTCACTGGTTTGCACACACTTCTGATTTTGTATACCTTTGTGTGGAGACAGGCAGAGAGAGCAAGAGACAAGATCTGAAGTGTACACAGAGTGAGAAAGAGACAGCAATACAGGAAGGGGAGACTGTTGCAGGTATGCCAGAGTACCAATGCTAAGATTTCTGAAGGTCCTTTTTGTTGTGTTTAGGGCAACATCAACAACACAGTCATTTTTCCCACTCTGTAAATCAGAATTAAACCCTATCATTGGGTGAATGTTTCTGATCTTCAGGCCCTCCTTATGATCTTAACTGTTAGAGCTGGAAAAGACTGTAGCAATCTTCTAGTATCCACTCTGTCATTCAACAGAAGAGATAGGGACAGAAATAAGGATTTTTTCTACATTGTTCTAGACTAGGTACTTTGAGTCACAGTATTTTCTTCTTCAGATTTCATTTCATTGACAGAAGTTCAGACATATAGGTTATTATAGAGTTCCCTGCTCAGTTATTGTGACTGTTGTGTGGCCAAGGACACATTTCTTAGCCCTTGCCAATTCTTCCTTATGGTCATTGGAGATACTAAGAACTGTTGGACCTCAGTCATAGGTAACATCTCTTTCCCCCAGAGTGATTAATAGAGAAGGGATCTAACAGTCCAAATGGCCTAAGATGCCATATCCTATTCCAAAGTCACCTGGGATTTGAGCAGAACCAGATGAGTGCCCACCTACAGTTGGTAGGTGAGATTTGACAAATGGTAACAGTGAGCCCTGTGCAAGATTGAAGCTATAGACCATTGGCTTGCTTTCTTCTGACGATTTAACAGAGTAGCAGTTACTTCATTATGGTGACATGGCCCACTTCAGGAGTTCCACATGGCTTTATGGAAAAGAAGACATTATTAGGCTGCCATCTTGGTATTCCCAGCATCTGGCATGTTGTATCCTGTTTTCTGCATTACTTGTTTTCCGATAGACCATAGCACATGAAAACTAAAAATGTAAAATGTGTGGATAGGTCAAGGAAAGAACACAAGAGAAATAGCAGCACTTCCTAGAACCAAGAGTGGTTTCTAGTTTTATTGTTGGAAGGCTTTCTATTCTGGTTGGAGTCAGGGGAATTGATGGCTGATTTCATGTGCAAGAGAAAGTATTTGGGGATTCATATTCCCTACCAAACCATCCCTGCGAAAAGCTGGAGTCCATTTGAAAGATTATATGCAAGTTTGTGGCTTGTGTTCTCTTTTAAAATAAGTTCAACAAGCAAGACAGCTCAGAATGGTTGGGACAAATCAGAGACTCATGGTTGTGAAAGAAGCAAACTTCAAAGCGCGGTATGAATTTTCAAGTCTTATTTCCACTCTTGCTTTCCAGCTGGATCTGCTCTGGATTTACTGCAGGATGTTTGAAAATGTGGCTCCCTGCTAATCTCAGACAGTTGCTATGATCAATGGTTTCTTTCATTTCCGATAAAAAACACTGGTGTTTCTACTTAAATTGTGTGTATTTTCAGCTTTATTATTATAGTTATGATTTATTGTCCTGCATTACCCAAATTTGTAATCCATTAACCACAGACTTTGGGGTGGGTTGGTCAAGTTAGCAGAAATCTCTACATGCTTTAGCTCCAAGGCCCTTCACAGCCCAATCTCAGACTAAATGTTCATTGGTTTGTGTAGGGCCATGTACCAACGGGTATGAGTGGAGTAGTTTTAAAAATCCACTCCTTGGGGGTATGGTGCAAGTTGGCTGTAATTAGTACTTTGAAAGCCTAAGGTGTCACCATGTGACTACAAAGTTAATATTAACAACTATGATCAACATTATTAACATTAGCTTTTCCATAGTATTTTTAATTGTCTTAAAATGATGAATTTCTTAATCTACCTCAAGCAACTGAAGCATGAAGGAGAGAAGAGAATTGCTGAAAGGCCACACAGTGAGAGCTGGTGTGCTGGGAACAGAAGTCAGAGCCCCTCCCGTGAAGTTTTAAATTTGGTTACTGCTGCCTCTTAGGAGTGAGTTTTGGATAAAAATGTTTAAGTGTCCTGGTGACCTTTCAGTTTTTGTTTCCAAAGCCATAGACTATATCAACACACACGATTTTACATGGTTCTATTCACAAGGGCACACGCCGGCCAGTGCTCTACTTCCCTGGTATTCAGGAGTCCATAGCACTTGACTGGGCATATGTCTTCCAGCAGCTGTTCAGATGCCATGAAAGGCCTGATTTATAGAAAAAGATTAAAAGCACCAAAAAATGTGTGGTATTCGGCTAAAGAAAGCTTAAATATTATGTGAGTAGGGGAGGCTAGAGTTGAGAGGAGATGGGCACAGCCTGCAAATGTCAGAAAAGCTGTAAATCCCAAAAGGGAGAGGAATGTGTTGAGGATTTTCAGCCTGGAGGCCAGGGGGCAATGTAACCTCAGCTGGGAGAACAAAAGGAGAAAGGGAACATTAAAGTCAACCACCAGGAAGTGCTTCTTGGTCAGGAGCTCTGTTTTGCTGGTGCTAGTTTGTCAAAAGGAGGCACATTTGAAGCACAAGATGCATTACAATCAAGTTAGATGAGAGCCAGAGAGGTTTCTTTGGGGAGCAGTCCTTGAGGTAGTTTGTGTGGGAGTTGGGCTAGCTTTAAAAGTAGTTTCCCCTCACCCTCAAATCTTTTTACCGTCTAGAATTTACTGTCTAATTTCTCAAATCTGCACTGTTTCTGTTAAGGTCTCAATGTCAAGAAAGCTGGAGGGACAAAAACACCAAGGCATCTTTGTCAGTTGCCTCAGCTAGAGAGGTGACGACAGGGCCAAAAGCCGAGAGAATGGGATGCCAAGAGGTGGTGTGATCCCAGAGGCCTTCAAGTTAGAAGGACTCTCTGAGAAGAGATCCTTGTTTTCCATCACTGCAGAGAATGCTATACCAAGGGCGAGAGGCCTCTAGGTCAGAGATCATAAAGAAGAAAAGAATGGCTGGATTTTAGGGGTGGTGCCCAACGATTAGTTTGTGTTGTAATGTGGCATGAAGCGTCTTCAGAATGCATTTGCGATGTTTACTGGGATTTGGAAAAGGATCGTAACAAGGTCTAGCAAGGCAGTCTAGCCCAAGGAGGGTCCAGTTGAGTTCCGAACTAGTTTCTGATATCTATCCCTTCCAAAACTGCATGTTTAATTAAAGAACAGCCCTCCTCTATCTTCCCCAGATAGAGGAGGGCTGTTCTTCAGTCGAAGATATGGAGTGGTTGTGTTTCTCTACCAAAACCTTTATTCCATTTTCTCAAATTTTAGCATACATCAGAATCACCTGGGGGGCACATTAATACACACATTATGGACCATATACTGTATGCCTGGCATCGTATGTTTATTATCTCATTTAGTCCTCACAACCACCCTCTGAGGATAGTGCAGTTGGCCCTCCTTATCCATGAGTTCTGCATCCATAGATTCAACCAACCATGAATCAAAAAATAGTAGGGGAAAAATGGATGATTGCATCTGTACTGAACACAGACCTTTTTCCTTGTCATTATTCCCTAAACAGTACAGTATAACAACTATCTACATAGCATTTACACTGTATTAGGTATTATAAATAATCTAGAGATTATTTAAAGTATCCAGGAGGATGTGTGTAGGTTACATGCAAATACAGTGCCATTTTATATAAAGGACTTGAGCATCCATGGATTTTGGTGTCTGCAGCGGGCCCTGGAATTATTCCCCTGCAGATACTGAGGGACAACTGTATTAATTATCCCATTTTGTAGATGAAGGAACTGGGGCTTAGAAGGCTACACAATTAGTGGCAGAGTCAGGATTTCCACCTAGGGAGACTGGCTCCAGAGGTACATTTTTATCCACTAAGCTCTTTTGTAAGGATACAATTGAGATTATCATGACTATGTATAAATAGGAACTAAAAGACAGCCAGATCACATGGGTATTGGGAAGGTTGAAACTTAGGTTATTCTCTTCATTTATCTCATCTCTGTCTTGCCTTTCCATGACACTGACACTTGACTTTATGATCTAATTGACCCATTTTATCTTTCACACCTAGTAATTGTGTTCATGGGTTGCCTTTTCATCCATTCAGCCATAACAGTAAAGAAGATGGCCAGTACACCTATCCTTTCAGCAGGGTCCATTGATGGGGGGCATTTTCTTATAAGGGGCTATATATGAAGGACAGATTCCTTTTGAAGGGAGGTAAATACCCAAACATAACATCTAATAGAAGGACTTTGTCCAGCTGAGCAGATATTATAAGTTTGTTAAGTAGGACTGTGTAGCTCTGTTGACCCCTTTAGTCATTTTCATTCTCAGCATCTTCTCCTTCTTCCATTTATTATTTATTTATTTATTTAGAGACAGGGTCTCACTCCATTGCCCTCACTGTAGCCTTGGCCTCCCAGGCTCCAGTGATCCTCCCACCTCAGCCTCCCAAGTAGCTGGTACTACAGGCATGCACCACCATGCCTGGCTAATTTTTTCAGTTTTGTTTTGTAGAGACAGGGTCTTGCTATCCTGCCCAGGCTGGTCTCAAACTCCTGGCTTCAAGCAATCCTCCTGCCTCTACCTCCCAACATGCTGGGATTACAGGTGTAAGCCACCACGCCCAGCGCTCTCCTTTCAAATAAAAATTTTGATAGAAGTTACCTATCACTAGTCCATGCCATCAAGCCAATATACTGTTTTAAAAATGAAATGTAAAAATATTTTCTTTTAGCCCCAGGTAACCTGGCTCCTCCTTGATCTAATTTTCTTTATACCAATAATCAGCCTTTGAATTTGTCTTCAGGAGGGGAGAGACGTCTCTTCTGTTTATCCAGAATCCACTCGCTACTCTAAACTATTATTATCTGGTGAGATATGAGGCCTAAATTTAACCATGTATAAGTTACCTCATATTCAGGGACATATAACAGAGGCACATTAGCTAGCGCAGGCTGTCCCCATGGTCAGCCATGATCTATCCACTGCTTGAGCAAGGGAAGCCAGAGAAGACAAGAGGGCAGCTGGATAACTAAAATATGTGCAGTGGAGAACTCTGTGTCTGTTAGTTACATCCTTTTCATGATTTACGGTATACAAGAGCAAAATTACTCTCTACCCTCAGGGGAGTGTCTGAGTTTTGTGGGTTAAAAGCAAATGTATATGTGTATATGTGCAGTGTATGTGTGTGTGTTGAAGGTGGAGGTTCCCGTCTTTAATAGAAGGCCTTTTTAGGTTATGATGTTGATTTTTTTTAACCATACTTCCATCTAATAGGCTCATCAAAGCAGCTAAGGTAATCACATTTCCTGGCACTGTCATCTCCAGCTATAGAGGATGAAAGAAATCCAGTGGACAGGTTTAAGGAGACAAATGTTTTTTTGTTTTAAAATATGATGTTTAGGTAAATGAAGCTAGAAAAGCCTCAAAATAAATTCCTTCTGAGTAGGACTCTAGGCCAGAGATAGAATAAGCAATTGAAATCTTTCAATGTAGACCCCAGAAAACAAACAACAGTCGATAAGTGGCTGCCAGAGACCAAGGGGTGGATCCAAGGCCAGCCAGGAAGAAGTTTCTTCCTCCTTCAGGGACAAAACTAGAACTGAGGGAAACAGCTCTTGCCCTTTGACTGGATACTACAAAACTAAGGTAAACCAGCAGAAAGTCCTGTCTTAGGGTCATTAGAATGTGAGGTTTTTTTTTTGTTTGTGTGTTTTTTTTTTTTTTTTTTTTTTGAGACATACTTTTACTCCATCGCCCAGGCTGGAGTGCAGTGGCATGATCTCCACTCACTGCAACCTCCACCTCCCACACTCAAGCAATTCCCATGCCTCAGCCTCCTGAGTAGCTGGGATTACAGGCATGCACCACCACGCCTGGCTAATTTTTTTGTATTTTTAGTGGAGATGGGGTTTTGCCATGTTAGCCAGGCTAGTCAAACTCCTGACCTCAAGTGATCCACCTGCCTTGGCCTCCCAAATTGGTGGGATTACAGGAGTGAACCACTGCGCTTGGCCAGAATGTAAGTTCTTGTGGGCAGGAATTTTTGTCACTTTTGTTCAGTGCTGGATCTCCACATCTTAGAAAAGTGCTTGACAATAATAGTTAATAAATAATTGATGTTAATAAATACTGTATGATGAATGGCAATAGGCAATTCAGGGAACCATGTGAGAAAGGAAAGAACAGAAGTGGAACAGCTCAGCTTTTGAAGGAGAAATCTCCCACCTTCACACAAGGGTGGTGACTGAGTAGCTTAGTGTGATACACTATAATGATATTTATTAGCCACCTACCATCTGCTAGGTCATGTGTTAGACAGGTGCTTGGGACACATAGACAAATGCTACAGTCCCTGCTCTATGGGAAGCTCACAATCAGGGGAGGGGAAGGGCTGTGGCTATGACGGACAAGTAAGCAGGTTACATTTGGTGTCATGATGGCATTAGGTTTGGGATGTTTTTGGGGAACAGATAGGAGTCCTGGCTTGGGGATGGAGGCTCTCTAGGAACTTTACAACAAGGAGGCATGTGAAGAATTAACAGCAGTTCTTAATAGGAGAGAGAGAAGGGGAAAGTGCACCTGACAGAGGGAAAAGCCCCCGTCATGGAATCCAGGCAGGGGCCGGATTGCCGAGACCAGCTCGGTTGGGGAGACCCTAACCCAGTGGCGCTAGAGGAATTAAAGACTCACACAGAAATATAGAGGTGTGAAGTAGGAAATCAGGGGTCTCACAGCCTGCAGAGATGAGAGCCCCAAACAGAGATTTATCCACATATTTATTAACAGCAAGCCAGTCATTAGCATTGTTTCTATAGATATTAAATTAACTAAAAGTATCCCTTATGGGAAACGAAGGGATGGGCCAAATTAAAGGAATAGGTTGGGCTAGTTAACTGCAGCAGGAGCATATCCTTAAGGCACAGATCACTCATGCTATTGTTTGTGGCTTAAGAATGCCTTTAAGCAGTTTTCCACCCTGGGCAGGCCAGGTGTTCTTGCCCTCATTCCCATAAACCCACAACCTTCCAGCGTGGGCATTATGGCCATCATGAACATGTCACAGTGCTGCAGAGATTTTATTTATGGCCAGTTTTGGGGCCAGTTTATGGCAAGATTTTGGGGGGCTTGCTCCCAACAGAAAGGTCTTATTCCTCATGCTGATCAGTTTGAATTTTTTCCTGAGGGTAATAGGGAGCCATTGAAATAGGGAAGTATAAAGAAAATGTGGCACATACACACTGTGGAATACCATGCAGCCATAAAAAAGGATGAGCTCATGTCCTTTGCAGGGACATGGATGAAGCTGGAAACCATCATTCTCAGCAAACTAATCCAAGAACAGAAAACCAAACACCGCATGTTCTCACTCATAAGTGGGAGCTGAACAATGAGAACACATGGACACGGGGAGAGAAACATCACACACCAGGTTGGGGGCTAGGGGAGGTATAGCATTAGGAGAAATACCTAATGTAGATGACAGGTTGACGGGTGCAGCAAACCACCATGGCACATGTATACCCATGCAACAAACCTGCACGTTCTGCACATGTATCCCAGAATATAAAGTATAATAAAAAAAAAAAAAAAAAAAGAAAAGAAAAAGAAATACGGAAGTGACGGAGTCATTTTGTAGTTGGAAGCATTTTCTCAGGCAGCCATTTACAGGTTAGGGGGATGGAGATGAAACTATAGAACTTGGATTTTGATCTCTTTGAGGCAAGTCACTTTGGGGTGGGGTTAGCCCTAAACTTCTTAAAGCAATGAGAACTTTAGAATAAGTTTTAACCTTTCTGAGATGTTGGGTGGCCAGGTCTGGTTCTAGCTTCCTACCTTACCAACCCAGGAGAGATTTCTTTGGTATACCAGCCTTCTGAATAACATCAGGCGAGCCCTCCATTTATCAAGGCGCCTAACAGTTAGAAATGGTGTCAGGCTATCTATAACTCTGCTAGGATGTGAGAGAAAATAGCAAATGACTTAAAGTACTAAATGGAACTATGAGGGCTCTGTGTGGTGGCTCATACCTATAATCCCAGCACTTTGGGAGGCTGAGGTGGGCAGATCACTTGAGGCCAGGAGTTCAAGACCAGCCTGGACAACATGGCGAAACACCATCTCTATGAAAAATACAAAAATTAGCTGGATGTGATGGTGCATGCCTGTAATCCCAGCTACCCAGGAGGCTGAGGCACAAGAATCACTTGAGCCTGTGAGGCGGAGGTTGCAGTGAGCAGAGATGGCGCCACTGCACTCCAGCCTGGGCGAGAGAGCAAGACTCTGTCTCAAAAAAAAAAAAAGGCACTATGGAAATTAATACAAGTGTTATGTTCCTTTTGCTAATGATTGCAATAATAATATTGAGTGCCTATTATGCGTCAGGCACTATACTAAGCACATAAAAATGCAACAACTTAGTGGGGTTCAATTATCACCCTCAATTTAGAAACAAAGAAACTGAAGTACGAAGTATTTCCATAACTTGCTGATGATCGCATAACTAGTAATTAGTTGGCATTCAAACCTAGAGTCTTGCTCTAGAGTCTGTGCTCTTGACCAGTATACCATACTCAGCTCTTCAAGATGATCATACAACTACCTCAGCTAGAGCTTATGATCACATATTTCTGTCATTGTTAGATTTGAGAGGTTTCCATGCATCACTATAAGTGCAGCTGTTTCTTTATGTGTGCCCTGAAATCTCTATGCTGATAGTCAGTAGAAAAGCAGTGTGTTTTAACAGAAGCTGAAGCACTGCATTTAGAATTGGGAGACTTGTATTCAAGGACCAGCTTTGCCACAAACCATCTGTACTATTTTGAGCAAGGCACTTAACTTCCCTGGACCTCAATTCCCTCAGCTATACACATAAGAGCTTGCATTAGGTGAAGCTGGCAGGCCTTTCAGTTTGCTTCTTCTGTCACATTCTGTCTTCGGTGAGCAAATTGGTATGTTCAAGCCTCAGACAGGCTTCTCTGTTCACCTCTTGAAGAAGGCTGGACCAACCCATCTATGAGCATTTTGTCACATTTCTTTTGTCACTGTTATTATATTGGATATCTAGAGCAGCAATCTTTTGAATCTATAACCCATCATTTTTTAGCATATTGCCCCAAAGTATGGAAAATTGCTGCCAAAAACTATAGTGCTACTATATAAAGTTATATAAAACACACCAGAAATAGAATTTTTAAAATATGAAGTGGGTTCTAGTATTTTTTCCCTACATCCCGTTGAGTCATTGTGATGTATTCCCACCACTTGGTATAGTTCAAATTTCTCCCTTCCTTGTTTTTACTGCAGAACTCTTTACTGTCCCAAGTAGAGTGAGACTGAAACCAAAATTTGAGCACTGGGTCCATTCATTCAATTGTTCATTCATTTACACGTTAAGTATGAAGCATCTATAATGTGAAATGCTTGCTGAATTTTCAGGAGGCCATAAGAACGGTATCAGGCTTGGCCTCTCCCCTCTCAAACATAAAGGCTAATTCTAGTGTTTTTCAGTTTTATCTGGTTGGAACCCTAGAATTCCTGCATACTGTAATGAAGCTAAACTTTACATCTAAACTGGCTATATGTATTGCACTACAGTGCATAAGACAAGAAAAGTTACAAAAAGAAGGAAAATCCAGAACGTGAGGCCCACAGACATGAAACAGTTGAAGTCACACTGTAGTACAGCATCTAATGAATTGCCAGGATGAGAGAAGCAGATTTTTAATATCAGAGGCATTCACAGAAAGGAGAGATCATCATGATCTTTGTGATGGAGGCTTGGACCACTGCCTTAGGATGTCAGGGCAGAACTAAGATGGGCCCCTTGGTTGGTCTGTCCTGACTCACTGTGTCTGCAGTGCCTGGATATCAGCCAGCAGACCACCTCCATCATTGAGTTAGACCCACTTACAAGGTGGCAGGCTATTAACCAGTCCCCTGTTCCACTGAGAACTTGCCAGGCTGGCCATCATAGCATGGTATAGGTTGAAGTAGCTTAGTACCTGTGGTGGATGACTGTTTTTCTCGGCCAGCTGTTTAATGAGCACCAAATGAAGTAAAATGCTGCTTGGTTCCTCTCCTCTCTTCAGACACAAACAATCGAGCACATCCTAGTGGAAGGGCCGTGTTGGGGAACTGGCTTTCTTGTGCTGATCATCTTGGTTCCCACATCCGTCCCTCCCCTCTGGGCTAGAGTTTGGAGGAGCTATTGAAGAACCTTGAGAAAACTGTTAACCTTGAAAGTTTAGTTATTCATCATCAAATATATTAACAAACGTTTGTAGCCAAAGCTTTACTGTCTATGGCAGTTTTAAATAATTATCAAAATCATGATTTAATTAATTTCTCTCTCCATTTTGGGTTGGCTTAGAGGAGTAGGAGATTGCAATTCACAAGTACTTTCTGGTCCTGTAACCAACTTGCACTTTCAAGTTCAGGTAATCACCTTGTCCTTTTCAGTTTATTTACCCATGACTTAGGTTAAAGTTGCCCATGCCTCTGGTGAAATTCACAAATGAAACTTCACCTAGCTGGGTTTCATATTTGTAAGAAATCATTTTTTTTCTCCATGAGAATGTGCAGGTCAGCTGAGACAAGCATGATTAATTCTAGACATGAATTAGAACAAGCCCAAGCTGAACAGCTCTCTCAGAGGAAGTCATCTGAAATTGGTATGTGTGACCCAGTATATCTTTTGACCAATTTGCATTGGAAACCACAGTGAGCATGGAAGAAATATAACCTTGATCCTCTGGCCTAATAAACATTCTTGCAATTCTAAATGTACCTAGAGTTTGTGACAAGTGTGTATTGGAAAACTCGTTGAAAACACATGAGTTAGTAATGTTCTCTTTCAGAAGATGAACTTGCATGGCCGAAGTGAGATTCCAGTGGGAAAGACCTGGTAGAGAAAGAGTGGGAGAATGCGTTGACCTCTGGAGGGCAGATTATGGCATGCCAGGCAATGGGTTGTGCCATCAGGGAAGGAATCTAGAAAGACGAGGAGACTCAGGAGAAAGGAGATGACTTCTGTTGACAGGTCATTGTTGCTCAGACTTAGTGCAGATGAGAAAGGAAATCCAGAAACCTACATGACAGCTCCTCTTGGATTGGATGAAAATATTGATTTTTTTTTTTTTTCCCTATCTGGAATTTGACAGGGTCAGTTCATGTCTGGGTTTTCAGCACTTAATACAGGGCGCTTTTGTCTTGGGAGGCGGCTGGACTGGTTTTTCCTCCAGGCAGGTGCACAGAGGGCGTTTATTGTAGCCTGAAACACAAACACCAAGCCCCTAGGCCCTGATCCACACACTCTCCAGTGTGGCTCAAGGAAATAAAGTGAACAATGTCTCTTGCAACAGGCGAGCACTGTAAATGCCACTCCTGAATGATATATTTCTTAAAACTTTGTATCCGTAACCTGATCATCTCTTAAAACTTAATTATATGTCAGAGAAAAGGAAGCTATTGGCTCCTCCAGCTGTCCAGGTTGAACGAGAGCACACAATGGAGCATATCCGATTCACAGCCTTACTTAGGTAATCAGATTAATATCTCCTGAATTGAATTTACCCTTTTGATATGGAGTCTTTCAGCTGCCTTGTTTCACATCTCAAATTCTGACAAAGCTGTGCGGCCTTTGAGTAATTTCCCTGAAATCTATATGTGGGAAGCCTGTACTTCAAGCAGTTTTTGGGACTTGCACCAATTAAATCTGTCTCTGGCACACTTTTAATGGCATGCTTTCCCCTGAGTCAACAACTGCTCCAAAATCTGAAGTCATTTGTTTAATTTAAAAGCAAAGGTTATGGAACAACCATTTCAAGCTTCACCAGCCAAACTCCAGTGGCTTTGAAAAGGGAGATGAGGCAGAGGAAAGGCTAATAAACTGGATTTCTTATACACAAAATAAATTAATTACTGTGTTTCTGTAAGCTAGTATCAAATCAAGTTTGTTCACACCCTCCTTGCCAACCTAGCTCTCCCTTTCTCTTCAAACTCACCCTCTCTGGGCTTTCATATTCACGATTGAGGCTCACCCTCTTACTGTTGTTCTTGCAACACAAACATCTGGACTGGATTTTTGTCAGCTGGAGTTGAGAGAGAACTGTAAATGATGCAGTGATTTTTTTTTCGTCCTTATTAAATTTATTTATAGCCAGTCTGAAGCCAGGAAACATGCTAGAGCCTTTGATTGGAGGTTCTCGAGGAATGTACGGTGGATGGTATTTTCTCCTGTTGTTTTCTAAATAATATCAAGGATAGAATTACATAACTCCCAACTTGAGTATTTTTTGCCCTGAAGGACCCTTTATTAGGACATTTTGCACATCAGAATTCTTCCATTATATTTGCTTATCCAATATGCCTTCTTTTCTGTCAGTGAGAGAAAAGGAAATGTACATGACAGGTTATTTCTGAAAAATTAGAAAGATGGAGAGTGAGTTTCTGGTTGTTTGGGACATGAACCAGTGGCATGAGTATTTTCTTTTGCCAAAGGGACACAACATGGATCCTATTTCTACCTCTTAACAACCTCTGCAATCTTAAAGCTGCCAAATCTCAAAGAATTTCATTCATTTAGTCATTATTTAAGATAATAAAAGGCCCTACAAGCAGCTTACGAAAATAATTTATAAAATATTTTTCTCTGCCCTTAGACCTTGTTAAATAACAATGCCTTGGTGTTTATAAAATTATTTAAGAAACAAAACTTTCTAGAGGAGGCTGAATCAGATGATGATTTCTTGAGGTCCCTTCCCAGTTCTATGATTTGAGATGATTCTTTAATTTTCCTTCACTGTCATTTATATCTGTGTCATTAAAAAAAAAAAAAAAAAAAGGGCTGTTTGGGAATGAGATTTGCTACACCCGTAGGCATTTTCTTCTTCAGAAAAGAGACTGTTTAGCTTTCTGCCACCCAAGTCAGTCATCCTCAGCCTGAACAATGGAGCTTAATGTTCTCCATCTTCCTAAGAGTTAGTGTCTGTTGTTATGAAAGTGAATTGAAACCAAATGTACTTTCTATTGGAAAAGCTGCCCTTGCTCTCAGCTCATGGACAAAACTGAGAGAGAAGGCTCTTACAAAACAGAGGGAAAAATCCTCGCTGTCATGTCATAACACCAGTTATTTCACTGTTAGACCTATGAACATATCTTTGATGCAACACTACACTATTTGATGATGTTTCTGTGTCACTTAAGATGGGCGTTTCATATTTATCTCTTAGAAATGTTAGCAGATTTTTTTCACGAGTTATCTTGCTTATGGACTGGAAAAGCTATTCTTACAGTAAGACCCTTCATTAACTGAGAAGGCATAAAAGATAGCTCATGTTCTCCACCAAGAAAGGAAGCTCTGTTTCTCTCTGTCTGATGGGAAGCATTTGAGACAGAGCAGCTTCATGAAGTGTGGATGTCTGTTACCCACTTCCCAGTTTTTAAAGTAAAAGCCAAGTCAATGGCACTGGTACTTGTAGTGAAATGAGCCACAGAGGCATCATTACTCATCACCATCACGACTCAAGGATCAGCAAATGAGAGTCCTGAAGGTAAAGAATGTTTATTTTCAGGTAGAGAAGAAAGAAAAATCACGGAGAGGTAGAGAAAAGTGAAGGGCAAAGGAAGAATCCAGCAGACATTAAGCAACACTGTATCTTCCAAGATCATAAAGCCAAATAGTTCCTGCTAGATTTAACTTTTATTATTTTGGGAGATGAAAATCACTGGGGCATGGAGTTCTCATTCTGCATTTAGGAACTTCCATAATATTTTAATAATAACAATAATGATAATAATGCCAATCACTTTAATTAAATCTCCCTAAATAAGCATCTTTTAATGCAGTGTTGTTTGCTGTAAAACATCCCAACTAATGGTAGAGGCTGGATGTCTGCCAAAGACATGGTGAGGGAACCGCCACAGAGCCGCTGGTATTGGACCCTGGCAGAGCTGGTTCCTCTAGCCAAAGGAAGTGAATAATCATGGGGAAGTGGTTATTCCAGCTGTGACACTCAGGAAATTTCAGTAGAATGTGATGGCCTTATATATGGAATATTCTTAGACATACTAGGATGGCACATGTAAATTATCATGGGAAACATAATTTGAGGAATACAGAAGATTATAAGGTATTATTTGATTCAGGTTTTTTTATGTTAGTTTGGAGCCATTGTCAGGCATGGAAATACTTTCATTGATATTCCTGTCTTCTATAATTCAAGGCCTTAATAATAAACTGGTTTTGAATCAATCAGTTGTCTGATAGACGGCTCCTGGGAAGACTGGAGAGCCTTATGAGGGTGCCCACCTCTCTCCTGTGTAAAAGGCCCTTCACTCTGGCAGCTTCACTCTTGGGTGGTGTTGGGTAGAAGTAAGATCAGATACCCTGCTCACTGTAGGATGGAAGGGATCACATCAAAGCTCTGAGGGCTGTTTTCCCCTTAGGCATCCAAACCTGATTTCCTCTTATCACCTGATATGAATTTTCGACTGTTTCACTTTTTCCTTCTCTGTGCTTGTGTTTTTTACAAAACCATGAAGCCTGTAAACCACACGGTAGATATGATCACAACAATATTAGTGGAGAACCCCATGCTGTTGTCAGTATCACCATCATAGGTATGAGTGCTTGATGCAGGGTGTGAGGGGGAAGGGGGCAGTCTTTTTAAAAAGCAGGTCACGGCTGGACGTGGTGGCTCACGCCTGTAATCCCAGCACTTTGGGAGGCCGAGGTGGGCAGATCACTTTAGGTCAGGAGTTCAAGACCAGCCTGACCAACATGGTGAAACCCGTCTCTATTAAAAATACAAAAATTAGCTGGGTGTGGTGGTGCACATCTGTAATCCCGGCTACTCGGGAGGCTGAGGCAGGAGAATCACTTGAACCTGGGAGGCAGAGGTTTCAGTAAGCAGAGATCACGCCACTGCACTCTAGCCTGGGCCACAGAGCAAGACTCCATCTCAAAAAATTAATTAATTAATTAAAAATTAAGAAGCAGATTACCTTTGAACCTGTTTAGATAGTGGTCTTCCATCCATCACCTCTTAACTCCTCATCTCCCATTTTCCCAACCCCACACACCTCATCTTTGCATGGATGAAGTGCAGTCTCTCCAGAACGTTTTTGTGAGTGGAGGGATGCAGAGTAGATTGTCGGTGCCATGTCTACGTTGTTAACTGCAGTCCAACATGTAATCTAGTTAAAAAAAGAAAGAAAAGAAAAACCCATAAAATAAATTTTAATAGACTACCCCTAGGCAACTTTGAAGAGGAAATCATTGCAAGAAAATGAGACTTACTAAATAGGCCATTTGAGAAGCAGGCAATGGCTATTTTAAAGGCTTGAGGTTTTAATATATGTATATGCCTTTTTTCCCTCATCTCTTGCAAATAAATAATGGTTTACATCAGGAGACAATTCAGGAAAAAAGCCTTTTAAAAAATTTTCAGGAAATCTGGCCACCGTGTTTCTGCAGCCACTGATAAATGACAATGCCACCAGCAGTGACCTAGGACATCCTGAATTCTTGCTCTTCTGAAGAGCTTGCATTCTCTTTTCAAAGGGTATCCTGTTCCTATTGCAATCTTTAAGCTATCTCAGCTCAAGATCACCTTTTTTCCTTTTATTATCATACTTAAAACAGCACTAGTGCTGTTAAGAAGACTCCACCCATAGATGTTGATGTCATTTGTGAGGAGGACAAGATTTAAAGAGAAGGTAACTGGGCCAGGTGTGGTGGCTTAAGCCTGTAATCCCAGCACTTTGGGAGGCCGAGGCGGGTGGATCACTAGGTCAGAAGTTCAAGACCAGCCTGGCCAACATGGTGAAACCCTGTCTCTACTAAAAATACAAAAATTAGCTGGGCATGGTGGCATGTGCCTGTAATCCCAGCTACTCGGGAGGCTGAGGCAGGAGAATTGCTTGAACTGGGACCTGGGAGGTGGAGGTTGCAGTGAGCCAAGATCGTGCCACTGCACTCCAGCCTGGGCTGCAGAGCAAGACTCCCTCTCAAAAATAAATAAATAAATAAATAGAAGGTAACTGGATATTGGCCCCAAACATATTCTAATTCAGCAAACAGACCCATTGAAACTCAGCATTGTTATTTCAATTCATGTTGTACAAATCAACTAAATACAATTTTGTCTATTTTCAGGGATAACTGAGTGTTCTTCATCCACAAAGGCCCAAGTCCGTATAGGACAGTAGCACAACGGGGAAGAAATGTGTGTTTTTTTTTGTTTTGTTTTGTTTTTTAGTGCTGATGAAAGGTGTTATATCCAAGGGTAAGTTATAAACAGAGAAGCTGTTTCTGATTGTGAAGATTGGCTCAGCCTGCACTGACACTTCTGAAAAGGTGGAAAGAGCAAAATCGCAGTTCCCTAGAGTCTCTCAGTTGTGTGATATCCATGCATGTTCGGAGCAGAATGTATAACGGATCCACCGTTCTGCTTCTCTGCTGTCTTCTAGTTTAAAACATGTTGCAGGCTAAAATGCAGAGGGAGAAGATTCTATTGGTTTACTCATCCAGTTATTAAGACAAGGATGGGATGAAGGATCAGTCTTCACAGACCTGCAAATTCCCTCCAGTATTGACCCTGTTGTTGCCTGAGGGCAGCTGGGTCAACAGGTATAACCTCCCTTTTTTTCCCTGAACAAAGGTAGCTGGACTTTCAAGGAAAAAAAAATAATCCAGCCCTGGTAATCACACAAACAGTTCTCAAAGCTCAATTAAACTAAAATGCCTTGTTTCAGTTTCTTTCCACAGTTTATAGATTTTACCAGCATAATTATCAAACTTTAAATGTTTCTCTCTTCCATTGTCTTGTTCTGTTTGGTTCACCTGGTGATGTTTGTTATAGCCTTTCTATTTGAGGAATTAGTGGAAGATAAAATGTTGCTAAGAGCAATTTCGTTAGTATTGAAAATAGCAGGAAAGAAATAGAGGGAGCAGCCATTGTTAGCAAAGTAGCCTGGTTATGTGTATTAAGCTTGGGAAAGAATTAAGGCCATTTGGTCTATTGATGCAAAATACCTTCGTTTTACTAACCACAGAAAAAGCCCTTGGTTGGGTTGTCTTGAGTAGTTAGAACTGGGGGTGGCCAAGATGACTGGTTGCTGATTTCCAGCACTGTGCATCAACCACCAAATGATTTTAACTTTCAAAGTTTATGGGGAAAGGGTACGATATGAATTTTGAGGTTTTTGCTGCTTCTTATGCAAAACATTATTTCGGTTTCAAGCAGCTGATCACAATTGCAACTGCTTATACCTGGTGAATTATAATATTCTCTATGGGAACTGCACTGCATGTCTGTGGGGGCCGTCCCATCTGCCTCCTTTGTGAATCTCTTCTCCTTTCAGTGCCTCCTAACTTGGGCCCCAAAGAGGGGTACAGCAGCTGAATGTCATTCTCTTGGGCTGTGGCCCAGGCATGCATCTTTCTGGAAGGATGACTGAATCCCATTCTTAAATCTGAAGTTCCTCTTGATTAGCGGCTCCTTTTGTTTGTTGTTTTTAACGGCATTTCTGTCTTTCATGGGTAGCTTACAGGGATGTGTTTTAGAGCCCCTTCCAGCTGGGAAGCCGCCCAACTCCCACCAGCTGAGTCGGGGGATGGCTTCCCTTTAGTTCCGCTGCTGTCTGTGGACTACAAGGACTCCACTTCCAGCCCCAGCAACAGTGGCCCTTGTCTGCTGTGCAAACTTGGCTCTCTTCTCTGGGTTTTCATTCTCCAGCCATCTGGGCATTTTGGGCACCCCTCTTATCTTAGTACCTTGGCACTCAGGACCACATGTCATCCTATCATAGAGATGCAAACAAAGGAATCCTTCACCTCTAGCTTGCAGTTCCCCTGGAACCATCATAGATTGAGTGACAATCAGGGAGATGGGGGCTTGGGCATTGGTCTTGAGTGATATAAATGGTTTTTCTAATAGAAGGCATTTGGAATGGGCTGACAATAGCTAGGATTGTTCACTACCAGGATTCTTAGTGCCTAGCTTCCTCCTTTTTCTCTGGCTATCTTGAAATCTAGGAGGAAGGAGCTAAAGACCCCGTGGCCTCTGATTGCCATAGCCTCTCTAGGCCTGGAAGCTTCAGCTTAGGGACTAGAATACTGCTGTGTGCCAGAGCAGTTCATCTAGCTTCCTATTAAGAATTCTATGTGCATTACCCACTTTTAAAATTCCTCCTCCTACTTCCTCAACTTCTGGCTTGGGGAGGGTTTGATCAGAGTCATTCTCTCTTCAGAGAAGCATCTGGAAAGATTGATCCAAGAGTGCTGATAGCAAGTTCGCTATCATCGCCCTGCCTCGAGGAAAATAAGCATTCGATAAAAGGACACTTCCACTGCCCAGTTCACTCCTACTCCACTGTGTCTTCTCCTGTCCCTCCCCCTACCCCTCTGACCCCTGCACTCATTCTGATCCCTCTTCCTGCCCGAATGTCTCTCAGTGGTCAACAAGGCATGAGCTAGCCAAAGAAAATGCAACCAAATAGTGTTAATCACTTCCATTTAGACCTCAGTAGTCAGGTGGGGCTGCAGGTCTTTGAAAGGCAGACTTAAAATGCTTGCCTCTTTTCAGCGAATCTGATTTTACATTTGGCTGCTGATCATTCAGCCCCTGGCATTTGTTCATACATTGGAAGCCCAAAGCTTCCACACAGTTGAGTCTACAGAGCAGAGTAATATTAACAAGACTTATCTTGGTTATGATGCCAAAACCATGGTGCCACTTCATTTCACACCAAAGTGGATGGATCTTATTTATTTATTTTTTAAGAGTTGAGGCAGCACAGAGAAGCTCAGAGATTCATTCAGGATCATCCACTGTGTCCAAGCTTTGATCCTCTGGCCCTTATGACAGGCAATGATGGTTCAGAGTACAGACAGAGCTCCTGTAGAGCGTGCGACCAATTTAACTGGAACCATGGGTTCTTAATTACGACTTCCCCTCCCCACCCACTGCCACCACCATCCAGTTGCCAGAACCCAGTTGGTTTTCTGTGAAACGGCAGCTAGTGACACTTTGCATGGGTTCACCAGAAGGCCTTTCAGTCTTTGTCTCATTTTAATTGTGTATCTCAACCAAGAAGATCAACTCTCCACATGTAAAGTTAACTCCCTTTAGTTTTCAAAGTTTCTTTCCAAGAACCACCTATTGTCAGTCCCTCATCCTGTGTCTGGCAAACTTAGAAGAAACAATGAAGTTCACAGTACAGACTGAGCTCCCGAAGCACTGATCTTTTATGTATCTAAATGAGGGAAGAAGGAATGCATATTCTCTGGCACAAGCTGGCTCTACCATGTGATTTGAAGTAAATGGCCATTTTATTTCACATTAGGAGGAGAGACTTGGAGCAGTTTGGCAGCAGATCTGTAGCGGGTTATTAATCTAAGAACTATAGTTTTCTTCCACATAGGAGATTAAATACCCATCTTTCGTCAGATCAAAGCAGGCCTCTTGGACTATCTGATCTTTGCAAAAGGCCCCATGTTGGGCCAGCACAACAGTCTTTGCATGTATTGCTCCCTATGTTAAAAACAACAACATCATCATCATTTTAGTATGTGTAAATAATAAGGTCTGCCAGCATTAGCAGCTCTCTAGGCCCAAAGTAAAACTTTAGGTTTTTTTTCTTTTTTTCTTTTTTTGAGACAGAGTCTCACTCTATCACCCAGGCTGGAGTGCAGTGGCGTGATCTCTGCTCACTGCAAGCTCCACCTCCCGGGTTCACACCATTCTCCTGCCTCAGCCTCCCGAGTAGCTGGGACTACAGGTGCCCGCCACCACGCCCGGCTAATTTTTTTGTATTTTTAGTAGAGACAGGGTTTCACCATGTTAGCCAGGATAGTCTCCATCTCCTGACCTCATGATCTGCCCGCCTTGGCCTCCCAAAGTGCTGGGATTACAGGCGTGAACCACTGCACCCAGCCCCTAAAACTTTAGTTTTACTTGAACTGACTTTATATTAATTTTCTACTACTAGAACAAGTCACTGCCCCCCAGAGTTTGAAGAAATGTGAATATTAACTAGGGCTTATCTGAATGAGAACAACAGCATTGCTCTTTTCGTAGTGTTGTAATAAATATCATCTTAGACTTATACGGCATTTTCTTTAGGGCATTAATAGAGTTTATATAACCTATTGTTCATTTACTTGATAGCTCATTGAGACAGTTTAGGTATTGATGCTATATTCACCATCTATAAAATGGGAAGAATAAAAATATTAAGTTCAACTTAAATGGGTTACAAGAAAGAATACAGACATTTGTATGATCTATGTCTCCAAGATACTGCCTAGAGCTTTTAAACTTTGTAAGTTCTGCATTTCACCTACCCAAGGGAGTCTGAGAGTGTGTAATTTGGGCCAGGGCACAACAGCCCTTGGCCAGGTTGAAGTGGACAAACAAATGGAATTGGTTCCAGTTTACCAACCTGGCACGAATTATGTGCTGGTCAAGGAAGTGTTTTTCAAATCATGGGGAGCCACTAGTGAAAATCTACTGGTGCTTTGATGGTGGCCTTTGGAGATACTTTTATAATTTGAAACCATTCCCATGGCAGGCCAGGGAGAGGTCTTACTTTAGCCAACATGCAACATTAGGTAGAAGAAATGGGGCCTTTCTGACTGGTTTGACCTGTGGGTGGGCCCTCTTCCACATGTTTCTAATTAGGATGCAAGAAAGAGTAGATATTCTGTGGCGACTCTCCTTTCCTTCTCGGCTGTGAGACAGAACAACAGCGCCTTTGTGATGACCTTTACAGGGCTGTTTACATTTGGTGACCTGCCTGAACACTCCCGCCAGAGTGGACGCACCTCTTGGCTAATGAGGAACAGCCATGCTGTCTTTTACTATGGTAGACCTTGGAGGTTAAAATGAAAAATAAGAGGATCCTCTGTTGATGACTAGTCGAAGTTAATTTTCTTTACAGATTTATTGAGGTATAATTTACATACTATAAAATTCACCCATTGTAAGTATACAATTCAATGATTTTTAGTATAATAAATTTATAAAGTCTTGTCATCATATAATCCAGTCTTAGAACTTCGTTGGAGTTATTTTGAAAACACCAAATAATGATCATAATTGGAATGTAGATCATGCTGAAGTGAAACAGAAATTTATGAGGCTATCTTGGGTTAAGGAAGAGGGCCACCCAGGAAACTATTTGAGACAATTAAGTCTCAAGCTTCTCAAAATACATGAAACCTTGAGATTAGCACTTATATTTCAGAACATTTTCCATATTTTTGCTTACCAAATGGTATGACCTACTTGAAAAAAAATGAGAAGCTGCTGCAGAACCTGCCTCAGGTGTCAGCATCAATTAATGTTTCATGGTTATAATGAGAAGGAGCAGAAGATGAGAGTCTAAGCTCCCCTTAAAGGGCTTATAGTTCACTTTGAACATATTTATTTACGTGCCCTCTCATTTTCAAGTACTGTGTTAGGTACTGCAGACACATGGATAGTGAGACAATGTCTCTACCCTTAAGAACTAGTAGTCCAGTGGTTTCTGTTAAATTTCAGTATGATGTCATAAATTCTGTGGTAAAGTGCCGTGTGATGTCAGGAAGGTCATCAGTAAAGACTTTCTAGAGTTGATGTTACTAAGAAATCAATGACATGGTTAATAAGCTCACTAGTCCTGCTGACACTGAGTCCCTACCCTCGGCTCCATTTGGATGAGGCTCTGTGAGATCCAGTCCCTGCCTTGGGGGCTTTGTCATTCATGAGAGAAACAAGTCCATCACTCCTTCCAGTTAGATATCTGTGAAAAGGTGGAAAAAGCAAAGAACACTTGGAATTTGGGAGAGAAAGAGAGACCATTTAAGGGAAGAATTGCATTTGAGTTGAATTTTGAAAAAATTGAGATAGGCTTTTGCCCGGCATGGGTAAAAGTGGGAAACAGTCCAGAAGAAAGATGTGAGCAAAGGCTCAGGGACAGGAGAACTTGGGATGTGTTCTGAGAACAGTGAGTAATCCAAAATGGATTGATACATATATCACATAGTATAGCTATTTCTATATACTTATGTCAGAAACAAGGGAATTAAGGGAATCACAAGGCTCTGCTTTGCCTGTATCAAGGAAGGCTTCCTAGAGAAGCCATTAATTTCACTCTGTCTGTTATGCATGCTTTACACCAAGGTGATGTGATTAGTTTTCTTCTTTGGTTTCTTCTTTCTGAATTCATCAGGTGGTCACACCCACTGGGCCACAGAAAGCACCAGTGGATTTTCACTAGTGATTCCTGTGATTAAAAAACGTTTTTGACCAGCACGTAATTTGTGCCAGATTTGTAAGCTAGAGTGAATTCTATTTTTGTCCAGTTCAACCTGGCCATAGGCTGCTGTAACCTGGCCCAAGAGCTTAATGTAATACTTTCAAGAAGATTAAAAATCCAACAATCCCTTGAAACATTGGTTGCTAACCTTTGAAAGAGTAGTCACTGCACCTGAGTAGCCTTAGGAAATGAATAGGAGGTCTGAGAAAAAGAAAAAAAAGAAGAGTGGTACCATTTGCTTAAAATCCCTAGGGCCTTATAGGGTAAACCTATTTCTAAATTTAAGTTGCTAAGACCTTGAACCTGGGGTTGTTTGGGGATATTTTGGAAAGTAAGGAATATTATTGACTTTCCATCAGGAAGGAAAGAACTCAGTTGTTTTTGATATTACTAAGAAAGAGAGAGTTTTGCATTTATTTGTTTGCATGGACGGTCTACCTACCGTGTGGCCTTGTTCATGACATGGCGGACCTCCCTCTCTGGGGTCAGTGTGAATAGCCAGGCTGCAGCTGTAGCTAGAGACAATGGCCAGCACTGTTGGGCCTTGCCCCTTAAGCCCCGAAGGTTAATTTCCTAGTATTTAGTGGCATTGAACCCGCCAAAGAAAATGCTGTTTCATCTGGGGGAAGATAATTTCTGCATGTGTATTTTTTTCATGAAGAATAAAGAAGAGATATTTTTGGAAGAACATAACTTAACCTGTTGGCCTTGGCTAGGAAAGCTAAAAAAGCAAGGGGTCAGTACTCTTACAAGTATCATGTCTTAAACGTCAGCCAACCAGTAATTATTTAGATGCCATCAGAGGGGAAGTCCCATCCCATTGTTATTTTTTCTCTAGACTGTGAGATGCTTTAAAAAAACCTCTCTGTAGGGAAATGATCTTTAAAAAACAAACAAACAAAAAGCCTGAGAATTTAGTGCTGCATTTGTTGAGAAGTAAGGGCCCTGGAAACGGAGGAGTTTTTGTTGTTGTTGTTTTGGTGACTGCTTTGCCACTCTGCATGTTACAAAGGGCAAATTCTTGGCCACTGTTTAGGGTTCCCAAAAAATTCCAAGATGTCCAGTTAAATTAGAATTTTAGATAAACAACAATTTTTGTATGAGTACATCTAAAATATTGTACTGGGACCTACTCATACTTCAAAATTATTCATTGTTTACCTGAAATTTAAATTTAACTGAGCCTTGTATTTCTTTTTGCCAAATCTGCAGTGCTTTGTTACTTCAATAAAAAAACTGTCCAAGGAGCCTGGGAGCTTTTATGATTATTGAAAATCACTGTCAATTTTAAACCTAAACAAAACAATAGATAAAGCTTTGAAAATAGAATCAAGTCCAGTCATACCAAGTGAAAGGAGTCCTTTCTCATTTTTTTATCTTCTTGTAGCCAGCTCTGGAGATCCAATTCTATTGGGAATGGCTCACCTAGGTCTACTGTAGCTCAGAGTTATACCTTGTAGATCACCTGGATGCTTCTGTGTTCCAGCTTTAACTCAGAGGATCAGGTCAGAATGGAGGCTCCCTTTGAAATCTAAAGTGCTTAGCTTCTTTAGGGTAGCTCCACACCCTTTTTAATTCTTCTGTAAAATGTCTATCTAGCCTAGAGAAGTGGAGTCTCACTAGACATGGTTCTGAGAATAATAGCTATCATTTACTGAGTGCCTAATATGTGCCAGTGCCTTACCTGCATTACCTGCCTGAGTTCATACTGCCTTCTAACAACCCTATGAGACAGATACTGTTATCTCCATTTTACAGATGAGGAAATAAAGACCCAGAGAGGTTTAGTAACTTTCTGCAGGTCACAGAGCCATTGAAAGGCAGAAGTGGGATAAGCATTCAAATCAATCTGACTCCAAAACCCCTTCAGTAACCATTGTACTACTGCATGTGATGCCCTTAGATTCTCCACTTTTCCTCTCCCTCCCCAAGCCCCCAGTTTGGCTTGATATTGGAATCATCCCTTTCTCTCCTTGTTCTTTACTGGCTGGAATTAATAGAGTACTTTCGGTCTGAAACTGGCCTTAAAGAATCTTTGTCCGTGTGTATCACACTGCAATGCAATAGACGCAGAAATCTGGGCACTAGAAGATGTTAACTTTGGATGCCTCCTGTTTTATATGCATATGATTAAACCAATGGGGAAAGAAAGCCCTGAAACTTTATTACAACATTTTTGTAGTATTAAATTTGACATATTAAAATGTGTTATCATTTTAATATCTTTAAAGAGCCTGAGGAGACTCTCAAGCCTTAGACTGTAAATAGCTAACAGCTTTGAGATGAGCTTACATAGGAGTCAAATGATTGTTCCAAGATGGCTGTTCTAATTCTGCAGAGCTACCGTAGTATTCAGCCTACTGCCTGCCAAAGGCAAGGGGCCTTGCCCCTCTCTTCCTCCTCCCTGCTTTCCTCTTTGTTAAGAAGTAACAAAAATATACTGCCCAACACCCACTTTCTTTTAGAACCAACACATATTCCTTCTGGCTCACTCCCTCTATAAAATGATTTGTCAGCATTTTGATCTCATTAAATAAAAAGTTTTACTTGGTCAAACTGGGAAAGTTTATGAAGTTAGCCCTTCCATCCCATCATCTGCTGTGGCCACAGTTGTTGACTGTGAAATAGCTCTGTGGGTGTGGTCTACCAAGTATCCCAATAGCATTTCTTACACTGTGGGCTATGGACCCAAAGGTCTGGAAGAGTTGTTTTCATAGGGTCACACTAGAACACTGGCTCTTTCTGGTTAAAAGCTTCCCTAGCCTTTCTCCTCCAACTCTTAACACATCTCTCATGTTTCTTTCCCCCCTGCAGAAGTATAGAAACCTCCTCTTTTCTTTTCCTCTGCACTCTCCTCATCTGTCTCCAAGTCCCCATTGTGCCATGTTTCTCCTACTTCCTGTTTCCTTTAACCACTAACTTCTCACGATTTTTAAAATCAAGCCTATCCAATTCTAAAAGGAAATTGAAACCCTGCCCACCAAAAAAGTAAAACTAGGGGGAAAAAGCCATAGTAGGAGGTATAATGTTATGATCTTCTCTCTTAGCCCTACACATCTGTAAAAAGTAATCTTGCTCCGTACTGCAAGACTAGGGCAGCCCAGTCGCCCACTCCCCTTTTATTCTCCCTCCTCACATTCCCCTGTCCTTTTCTAACCCACCTTCCCACTTAGGGTCTAATTTAGCCAATTTATACACTCGCCAAGCTTGCAAAGGTTTTGGTTCTCTCCTTTTGGGTGTGGAATGCTGGTGCCACAGGGGCTTTCAGAAACAATTTAGTAAGTGATAGACTTGGAAGAGTTCAAAAGCAGCTCTGGGAAGACATCACTGATGAGTCTCTGCTCTTAGCATTTTGTTGCCTCTTAGAGGCTTAGCAAATAGCAGCATTTGATCCATAATCTGCTCTTTCTTGGTACCCAGAGAGGCAGCACAAGGGTAGACCTTGAGCAAGTTACTTAAACTCTGAGCTTCTGTTGCCCTTTCTGTAAAAAAAGGCAAAATAATCATTCTGACCTCACATTGTTGCTATGAGGATTCAGTTAGTTAATTTTTAAATTTTTTAAAATTAATGTGTTTATTTTTTTGAGACAGGGTCTTGCTCTGTCATCCCTGCTGGAGTACAGTGCTGCGATCATGGCTCACTGCAGCCTCAATTTCCCAGGCCCCAATTATCCTCCCACTTCAGCCTCCTGAGTAGCTGGGACCACAGCTACTCCCACTTCAGCCTCCTGAGTAGCTGGGACCACACCTGGCTAATTTTTGTATTTTTGGTAGAGGTGGAGTTTCACCATGTTGCCCAGGCTGGTCTCAAACTCCTGAGCTCAGGGGATCTACCTGCCTCAGCCTCCAAAAGTGCTGGGATTACAGCCATAGCCACTGCGCCCAACACAATGACTTAATATTTATAATACACTTAGAACAGTGCTTAGCATGTAGTAAGCACTAGATTAAATAAATGTATAAAATGAAGGAAGAAATAATAATAGTGTTTTTCTTTTAATTCATGCATGAAGAACTATGTTCGACTTCTGTATGGTATCTTGAAGGGGTCCAAAATAAATCTGACTGGCAGTTTGAAGGCCTATAAGAGAGCATATTACATAATTTCACTCAAGGATTTTGACAATTAGTCCAGCTTGATGGATCTCTTCTCACCTGTATTTTGGCCAAACTGACCAATTATTTCCCATTCCAACTGCCATCCAAATTTCCTTCCCCATCCCTTCCACATGTTTCAGTTGCTTTTGCTGCCTTTGCTTCATATTGACTGTCAGGATGTATGGCCCTGTAATACTAGGTTTTTATTTAAAAAGCCTTTCTCTCATTCATAAGCTTCTTTTGAGGAGTGAGGCCTGCATTTCTGATGGTTGTGTATCATTCCCATGCCTTGTGCATAAGTGGTACTCTATCCATGTGTTTTGATTGGCTGATTTGAGCTTTTGCAGATTAGGAAATAGTTGGCCTAGAGCTAAGTGGCACCTGAGAGAATCTTCCCCTCCAGGCCTCACAGATGCACTCTGTGGAAAGGCCATTGTCTCCTTGCTTTGTGTTGGACTATTAGGAACCTAAAAGCTAGGACAGGCCTGGGTAGAGATAGCCACCTTTAAGTTAGGGGAATGTTGGGGAGTCTACTGGGATTTGACTGTGAGGTGAAAGGAGGGCTGCCTACAAGCAGAAAGCTTAAGGCATTGGCTTTGTGTAATTACCAGGAATGCTTTTAGCTAGCACCTTGAACGGTTGGTTAAAAAGGGACAGTTAGATGTTTGTTAGATGTGTGGTGTTAATAACCTTGACCAGTAGATTCGTGACTATGAGAATTTCAAAAGGCGAAGCAAGAACACACACAGAGGGAAAACATCTCTTGTTTCTAGGGGCAGCCTTCCCAGCAGCACTCAGCCCAGAGCTGTTTTTCCCCCAAGGAGAACACAGGGACAAAATAAATATGCCTTCCTGACCCAAAGACAGGAGCGCCCAGGGAGACCATGGGATCTGGGAGTGAGAGCAGATTGTAGGGAGGAAGTATCCAGGATGAGACTGGTATTAGCTACAGGCTGGACAGTTAGTCGGTGGCAGCTAGGTACTGCTGCTAGTGGCTGAGGGCAGGGTTTCTTAGAGACCTGAAGATGTGAGCATTCATTTATTTGTTCCTTCATCATTCAGCAAACCTTTACTCAGTGCTTATTATGTACTGGATACTGGGCTGAGCCCCCACTTGTGACCTCACTGGGCATTGAGTCTGAGGCCTTGGCAGCTAAGGGTGGTGTTCCTTAGGGAACTGGGAGGCCATCCAGACAGGAGGCACAGTACAAACAAGAAAGAACTAGGGGCCAGGTATGGTGTCTCAGGCCTGTAATCCTAACACTTTGAGAGGCCAAGGCAGGTGGATCACTTGAGGCCAGGAGTTCAAAACCAGCCTGATCAAAATGGTGAAACCCCATCTCTACTAGAAATAGAAAAACAGTTAGCTGGGTGTGGTGGCAGGCACCTGTAATCCCAACTACTCCGGAAGCTGAGGCAGGAGAATCGCATGAACCTGGGAGGCGGAGGTTACAGTGAGCTGAGATCGTGCCACTGCACTCCAGCCTGAATGACAGAGTGAGACTCCTGGGGAAGCCCAGCCCTGCATCAGAGAAAGTGATGCACTGATGCTTCACACACAGAGAATGGAAGCGGGAGTGGAGGCATTTTTCTGGAGTTCAAGCTTCACCTTCAAGCATGATATTCAGATTCCATGAGAGCATGCAGAAAGAGCCCAGCGGACCTGTTGAACAGGGCATACCATTGTGAGTCCTTAGAAGCTAAAAGACAGCCAAGAACAGTAGGAAAGAAGCTGAGAATAAAAGCTAAGACAGGTACCTCCAATCTCTAAAAAGTTAAACCTCTTAGAGGATTATAAATAAAGCCACACTCACAGGTGTACATGCTATAATTTATTTTATAAGTGCCTGGCATATTAATAAATGGTATGTAGTTTACTTACAGTGCTGTTTGGGTGGTTCTCAAGTAATCTCTTGTTTTACATTCTAAAGTCCACTCAGTGTTAGAATGGACCATTTGAGCCCAAGTAGATTCAACAAACCATCTATACCCAACCCGCACATCTGGGCAGGGATGACACTTGATGAGCCATCCAGGCCTCATCTCATAGACTCTATTCATCCCCTGCTGTCATGGGCACCAAAACATTTTATAGTAAATTGCACAGTAGTTTGTCTTTCCCAATAAACTGTATGCTTCTTGAGGGTAGGTACCCTATCTCTTTATCTCTGACACCTGGCACACAGCCCAGCACATGACAAGATCAAGAACCAGGACTGGCCGGGGCTCAGTCTGCACGTGCTCTGGCTTTCAAGTGGCATCTTCTAATGATCTGAAAGACCTCTCTAGAACTTTTTTCCTTTTATGTTATGTAAATAATATACTTAAGATAGAAACTTTTGTGTTTCATGTTGTATATTAATGTTGAATATAAAGTTTTTTTCTAGAGTGTGACTATTTTTTCACCTAGTTCCTTCAAATTTTCATCCCTACCATTAGTTTTTCAAAGTCTCTGGATTCCTGTTGAAGTATCCTTTTCTCTGGAGGTTTATATCACCTCCTAGGCTGCTTTTGACTTATCTACTCATGCTTTACTTCGGTAGTGCTGATGCTCACCCCCAGTTATTCCTCACCTGTACCATGTGGTATTATTAATGCAAATGAGGCTTTACCCGGCTATCCCCTCCCCTAGCATTTATGCATTCTTCAGGGAAAACTCTGTTGTATATGTCTCTGAGTCTCCCACAGCAACTAACACAGTGCCTTACACTCCATTAGCTCCTCAACGAGTATGTTTTAATAAATTCCATTAGTGGAGTGAGGTAGTTAGGAGCAGGTATGAGCTCAGGCCTTTGAGTGGGACAACCTGGGTCTAATGCTGCCTCCTTCACTAACTACTTTTATGATCTTGAGCAGTCTGCTAATCCTCCTTGTGTCCAACTTCTTAATGTTTAAAATGAGGATAATAGTAGTACCTACCTAATAAGGATTAAGTGAGTTAAGATATGTTTTTGAGGGTTAAATGCATTAAAATATGTAAAACACTTAGCACAATGCCTGGCCTGTAGTGAGAGCTATCATTATCAACAACCACCATCATAGGTACCCATTATCAGAAGTTGGGGGTTTGGATAAAGAAATTAAGTTTCTCTAGGTTATATTTTTGTGAAGTCTGAACTGGAATGAACTTCTTCAGATTCCTCATAGAGTACTTCATGCCCCGCCCTTTTATTGCACAGGGACTATATCTGCTTCAGTATGATGTAGAACATCTTGATTAAGAGTATTTTTTTATCTTTCGTCCTTGACTTATCTTTTGGTGTGTAGGTATATTGTTTCATCACATTCTCATTTTTTTTTTTTTTAAAAAGAGTTGTTCCATTTCCCCTTTTTCTGTCTACTGCTTTCTCCTTCTACGCTTAGGCCAAGAGTATATTACACTTGGAGGCATCTAGTTAGCGTGGTGCTTCCCAAACCTTTCCAGGACCCAAAATAGGCTAAATACCACACCAAGGGAGACATCGATGATGTTCTATTAAGAACAGTGAAAGGGAACCCAGGCATAAATATACACTCAGTATACACAACTGTCACCACCCATAGCACTGACCATCCTATTGTACCTTAGAACTTAACACTGTAATTTATCTGAGTGTTTTTTAATGGCTCTCTACTAAGTGTCAAGCTCTGTGCTAGGTCTGGGGAATGGAAAAATGGTAAGACATGGTTCTTGCTGTTGAGGTGCTTAGTTGTAACAATTTATTTTCATCTTTTATTAAATACTAATTGAATAATGTTGTTATTCTTTTTCTTTTCTTTTTTTTTTTTTTTTTTTGAGACGGAGTTTCACGCTTGTTTCCCAGGCTGGAGTGCAATGGTGCAATCTCGGCTCACTGCAACCTTCGCCTCCCAGGTTCAAGCAATTCTCCTGTCTCAGCCTCCCGAGTAGCTGGTATTACAGGCATGCACCACCACACCCGGCTAATGTTGTATTTTTAATAGAGACGGAGTTTCTCCATGTTGGTCAGGCTGGTCTTGAACTCCTGACCTCAGGTGATCCACCTGCCTCGGCCTCCCAGAGTGCTAGGATTACAGGCATGAGCCACCAAGCCCGGCCAATGTTATTATTCTTTAAGTAAAACATGTTTCCCCAAGTAAACTTACTGTGTGTTTAGTACCATCCTGGACCCTCTTACTCACAGTGCTATTTGCCCCACTACTACCCAGTAAAAAGAAAGGGTGACAGGTTGTAAGGACATGTAGGGGTTTGAGGAAAGTTGGGCTTGTGTCAATGTAATAAAAGCCAAGTAGTTCTTCTTCCAGCCCAGTCTGTATCTATGACTAGATCATGAACAGAGAACTAAAGGCTTTTGATTATAAACCTCCTTATGCCTAGGCTTGGCCCACACTCAACTCTAATACAAATAGTAGTAAATGTTAGGAGTAGACATAAAATGAGCACAGGTTGCCACTAGAACTTTTTCTATAACCTAATTACATTTTTTTCAACCTAAAATATTACATATTGTGTCAGCCAGGATGCCATCAGGAAAGAGATGGTGCACTTTAGTATTCCGAGGCTAATTACAGTGGGGCTCCATTAGTGCCCCTAGATTGAGAAGGTGAGGGAACAGGCTGGTTTCTGGAAGCAAGGAGATAGAGGGGGCTGTGTGGAAAAGACTGCCTAGCAGGATCTGAGACCTTCCATCAAGAGGCACAGCCAGTCCATAGCCCAACATCACTCTGCTCCTTCAAATCTCCTACCGGTGCACCCCAGTGGCCCAACCCAGGAGAGTCCTGTTGATGTGACACACACAGGCCAGGTCCCAGGGCAGAGAGCAGGTGAAGAATGATTGTGAGTAAATCTAGAGGGGCACACAGGAAGATATCCAGCAAACATGTTTCACACTTGATTTTAGAGGTAAGGGTGTGTATCTTAATTTTATCTGTTTTAGAAAACTAAAATTTTAATAGATTTAAAGTATTTCTGCCATAGTTCTTAAACTATCAATCTGATGATGTCAGATATTTTTCTCAGTGTCATTAGTTTGACCTCCCGCCACATTTTTTTGGTGGAGAGGGGTGAGGGATTGTGTATAAATTTCCTCCAGAGCACACAGAGAATAAAAATGCTATTCTTCAGTTTGTTTTTTTTTGTTGTTTTTTTTTTTTTAACAAAGAGTTGTTCCATTTCCCCTTTTTCTGTCTACTGCTTTCTCCTTCTACGCTTAGGCCAAGAGTATATTACGCTTGGAGGCATCTAGCTAGTGTGGTGCTTCCCAAACCTTTCTCAGCCAAAGACTCCTCTGGGAATCCAACTAAATTTCCTGGTTCCCTTTTGCTTTTAATATCAATGACCATATTACCCAATGAGGTTATTTTTATTTCTTACAAATATTTTTATAATTAACTTAAGATTCAACAAGGAGCCAAAGGTAAACAGACTGTAATTATTTCAAGTTCTAACCATTATGAGTAGATATTAATCTTCGAGAAGGTATTATTAAAAAAAAGTATATAATATTCATAAATTAAAGTCAACTTATAAGTACAAAGGAATATCTGTGACTATAAAAGGAAAAATAAACTGGAATTTAAAATTTAATCACTGTGCCTTAGTAAACACGATCCTGGTACATTTCAGCACAGTATTTGTGTTTCAGAATAGGATTTTGTCTTCTAGTTATTCACTAATACGTATTTATTTTACTATCATTCAGCAAGAAACCCTTTAAATCACTGTCAAAAGGTAGGTGATTTACTGGAACAGCTAACCTACCTCTGCCTAGAGTCCCATAGGCACTCACTTCCCTATGGAACCCTCTGTCCCTTCTTCCCTTCCTATATACCTCAGGTACCTTTATGCAGCCTTGTTCTATTGCCACTCTGCCTGTTTTACTAAGCTGCCCTAAAGTCACTGCAAAATTTTGATCAGAACATTACTGAACCAGGACACAAAGAAATGCTCATTACAGGCTTTAAATATATGCTTTTTCTTAGATCTATGGGAACAATTTCTCTAATTCTTAGGTTTTGCTCCCTGAAATTACACAGAAAGTACTGTATCTTCTTAACCCTTTCTCCACCCCTCCTTTCATTTCAACCCAACAAACTTTTCTCCTGTGCATTGCTAGGCAGTGCTTCCATTGTCCTTAAGTGTTTAAGGTCTTGTGCTGGTAATGAGCCAGTAGTCACAAAGCTAGCCAGTGGATTTGTTCTTCAAGCCTTTAGTGATTCCATACTCCATATAATGGACTATACCATTTGTGGATTCCTTGACAGCCATGAGGAGACACTGAGGGAGCTATGAATAGAAGAACCCTGTGTTCTCCCCTGTCCAGCTCCCCTGGCTTTTGGAAACAGAACTTCAATTTTTCTTCTCCATCTATGTGGTTCACATGGAACTGACCCCATCCTCCAACTCTAGAGGTTGTCTCTGAACTTGGGTCAGACCAAACGAGTTTCAGTGCTTGGTTTAGAAATGAATATGTAACCGAAGCTGAGCATGTGAGAATCCAACCATAAGAATTTGGCCGAGCCTTCTGGGGAAGAGGAGCCTCTGTAAGCTAGGGTCACTAAATTGGTACAGTGAAAGCCTGTAGCCACCACTTTGGAGAAGCCTGCCTAAGACTAACAACACACTGCAAGGAAGAGCTGAAAGATGGAGAGAGACTGGTTCTCATCATCATTTGACCACTCAAGTTCAGCTACCTTGGTCATACAACCCGTTAAATCTATCCCCAGCCCTACCAGTTATTTTGTATATTATGTCACTTTTTATTTTTATTTATGTATATATTTTTTGAGACAGGGTCTTTTGCTGTTGCCCAGGCTGGAGTGCAGTGGCATGATCATAGCACACTATAACTTCACACTCCTAGGCTCAAGTGATCCTCCCACCTTAGCTTCCCAAGTAGCTAAGACAAGAGGTGTATGCCACCACATCCAGCTAATTTTTTATTTTTTGTAGAGATGGGGTCTCACTATGTTGCCCAATCTGGTCTCAAACTCCTGGCCTCAAGCCATCCTCCTGCCTTAGCCTCCCAAAGTGCTGGAATTACAGGCATGAGCTACCACACCCAGGCTTATTATGTCAATTTGAATGTGCACTCTGTCACTTATAACCCAAACTCCTGAGTCAAATACCAGCACATCTGAGAATTCAACAACTTCTGGGATCCACAGCCCCATGGAGGCTACAAGCTACTAAAAAGATAGGAATGTCAGCTTCAGCTAAGAATTCCAGAAATCTACAGAAGGTACCTTTCCTTTTCTTTGGTTCCAGAGAGCATGATAATATACATACAGAATTCTGGAAACTTGGGACCAATAATAGGGTGTATTACCAACTGTGTGTGGTATCTGTAATTAAATATTGCTAAAACCCTGTAGAGGCTGGTTTTTACCTTTAAAAAGATCATCTTAAATAATCTGAGGATTTTTATTTTAAATAAGTTAATGTTAAAAATATTTTTTGGGCCGGGCCCGGTGGCTCACGCCTATAATCCCAGCACTTTGGGAGGCCGAGGCAGGTGGATCACGAGGTCAGGAGATCGAGACCATCCTGACCAACATGGTGAAACCCCGTCTCTACTAAAAGTACGAAAAAATGGGCTGGGCATGGCGCTGCACACCTGTAGTCCCAGCTACTCGGGAGGCTGAGGCAGGAGAAAGGCATGAACCCAGGAGGTGGAGTGTGCAGTGAGCCGAGATCGTGCCACAGCACTCCAGCCTGGGCAACAGACCGAGACTCTGTCTCAAAAAAAAAAAAAAAAAAATTGATAGCATGAAAATTTGAAGTAAAGAGTCAATTATGTTAAAGAAAAAAACACTCCAAAATCTAACATGATGCTAGGCTACGTTAACAAGAGCCTGGCATTAAAAACTGAGTCACCATATTCAGCATTAATAAGATACTAGCAAAGCTCTCATTCAGCTGCCATGCCTAGGTTGTGCTTCTGCATGTTCAGAGGATGTGGAAAGCAATTGAAATGATTAAAAGCATGGAAAATCACATCTCTGAAGAGCGATGAAAGTAGGCTATTTAACTAAAAGAAAAGAAGATTGAAGGAAGAAAATAAATGGTGTTTAAGTATAGAAAGAGTTCTTATAAAGAAAAAGGTGTCCAGATGTTTCCCCCTTCCACTGAGTATATTAAGAGAAAATTGCCTTAGACATTTCATTTTTACAAAGGAAGGATTTTTTCAAGCAAATAGGATTCTTGTACTGGGTGTGACATTGGACTAGATGACCTTTAAGATTTTTCTTCACTAAGATTCTATGATTACCAGATTGAGGATGTACTTATCAAAAGAGTGTGGAACCACTTGCTGTATGTCTTAAAAGGTAAGATGAGGAAACACTGGCTGGTTTGCCTTAGGTGTCATTCTGCCCAGGAGTTACTTCCAACATTCATAACATGCCTTTGAAGAAGCAAATATTGTATATAGACAAACAGCATATCAGAAAAAAATCAAAACAAAAACAAAGGAATACTAGCATTAAAGTAATAATAAAATATAGGATTTTTATTTTCTACTCTTTCAGTATAGCCATTAGCAATTCACAGTTAGTTTCTTCATTAACTAGATAAGATAAGTGAGGCAAATCATGGGACAGTTTAGTATTGGTGACAGTGTGTTTGGAGGGGTAGAATTAAGTGTTCCATATGGAATCAGGAGCATTTAATGTCAGCTCTAGTATGTATGTGGCATATTTCCTACTGCAACTTAATTGGCATAATTTTGGATCCAGAGAATACAAACCAAGACTCAGAAAACTATATTTTACTTTTAAAATATAGTTTTAAAAACAATTCTAGGTTTATACATGGAAAAGCTATTCTAAAGAACAATAGCTGGCCGGGCGCGGTGGCTCACGCCTGTAATCCCAGCACTTTGGAAGGCCAAGGCGGGTAGATCATGAGGTCAGGAGTTCAAGACCAGCCTGGCTAACAGGGTGAAACCCCGTCTCTACTAAAAATACAAAAATTAGCTGGGCATGGTGGCGCGTGCCTATAATCCTAGCTACTCGGGAGGCTGAGGCAGGAGAATTGCTTGAACCAGGACCTGGGAGGCAGAGGTTGCAATGAGCCAAGATCATGCCACTGCACTCCAGCCTGGGCTACAGAACGAGACTCTGTCTCAAAAAAAAAAAAAAAAAAGCAATGGTGTTGGCATTATTGTGGTTTCAATGGATCTATACTTATTTAAAACTTAAAGTTTAAAAAAAAAAAAGTCCATATGTTGCTCCACATCTTTCTGTACTAGTTGGGCCATTTTGTTGAGTTCTACTATGTGGCAAGTCAGGATGTTTTGTGTAAGTACAAGCTCCTGTGACTATAGTTTTCATGCATCCACATATCTACTAATTAGCTCCACAACTGGGTTCTGCAATTTCCTGGGCCACATCGCTGAGACAGATTCCGCATGTTCTGCACCAGCAGTCATTTCCCCTTCATGGAGCCCACATAGTCACTTAAAAGTAATTTATCCAGGAGGGTTTCCAGCTTTTAAGTGAGTCTGCTAATAACAGAGGTTGTCTGACTTCACAATCAATTATCCTGCATAGATTCAAGTGATAATTTCTATATTTGTAGTTTTCAAGTTGCAGGGAAAAACTGGGAAGGGAGAAGAATATCAATTCTGCAAACTGGTTATTGAAAGTATTGGGGGGGTTTGCTGAATATGGTGATTTTGATGGAAAGGAATCTTAACAATACCCCATTCATATGCATTTTCCAATTGAATTATGGAAGAAAAATTAACTTAGAAAACCAAGCAAGCAAGCAAACAAAAAGCCCCAAACAACAGCAGCAAAACCCGACTTCCAAAAAGAGTTCACATTATAGGCTTACTTTTAAAAACTGATCTAGAAACAAGAAGCTGGTTTCTAAGTTTATTTCCACACTTGCCCTCTGAACCCTGTCTTGTTGAAAGATTCAGGATATCAGATTCTCTCCCATAATTTCCTTTCAACAGAACTTACTGTATTACCCACCCATCCCCCAAATATAAATGGCTAAAACAGCTGGCTCTTTCAGTCTTGGTGTATACACACAAACACAAATGAGATACACACACACACACATGTATATTATACATCTCTGCATATATAAACACATACTTTGGTCATTTATTTTTTTAACAGAATAAAGGTAATTAATCAAAATACAATTCATTTTAATAGTTGAGGCTTGACAGAGATCATTATTTCAAGAAAAGCCAAGGAGAATAAGCTCCCTTTCATAGTATTGTTTTCTTTCTAAACCTCTATAGGGTGCATGGCTCTTAACTACTGAGAAAGTTTGGGACAGCACCATGGAGCAGCCTCCTGGCCTACATGTTAAAAGATCTAAATTCTCTTGGGGAAGGAGCTTATAACTATGTATTCACTCACCCCACAGAAGAGAAGATTTTGCATCTGTTTTATTTCTAATTCTAGGCTGTCTCTAGTTAGCCATAGGGCAAAAAAACCAAAACTATTTCCCCCTCTTTCCCTGAAGAAAAAAACTGAAGTGCAGAGAGAGAAATAAATATCTTTTTCTTATTCCAGTTCAATTTAGTTTCATTTGTTCTTTTCTTTAATATTTTGTGAGCGGAGAAGAAACATCTTTAAATCATCTCATCTATGTGAAACCTGTTTTTAGAGAGTCCAGACTTTTTCTCCTTCATTCTGTGATTCCATCAGTGATGCTGAAATGACTGATTTATAATTCTCCTTCCTACTGACTGGGAAATAGAGGTGTATCATAGTGGAGGGACCAGGAAAATGGATAGGTAGATGAAAGAGAACCAGAGGACCCTGTCCACAACCCACCCACCCAGCTGAGGACTGTTAGCTGGTCCATGAATAGAATGCTCTCACCCTTTCTGCCTCTGCATATACTGCTCTGCTACAGAGCCACTCAGCAGAGTGGTGTCCCCTTGACCCAGTTGGGGCCATCCCGGGACTCCTGTAACCTAGGACCTTCTAGCCTTAATCATATCATCATATGTAAAGAATGCCTACAAATCAATAAAGAAAAATAGAAAAATAGACGAGGGATATAAACTGGTGATTTTTAGAAGAAACCTGGGCATTCAACTTTACAAGTCATTAAGGAAATAAAAATTAATACAAAAATGAGATCCCACTCTTGCCATCAGTTTGGCAAAACAAAACAAAAACCCTAAATGTTGGTGAGCATATAAGAAAACAGGAACTCAAACTGCTAATGGAAGACGAAACTGGTAAAGCCACTTTGAAGAACTATCTGGCAGCCTCTAGTCTGATGTGAACAGGCACAAGCACTGCAGCCCAGCAGCTACACTTCTAGCTGTGAGCCTTAGAGATACCTTTGCTTCACAGGTAAAATTATGTACAACAAAGGCTATATTTATTTTTATGTTTTAAAAAGGCCAGAAGGATGAACACCAATTTTTTCTTTTTAAAATTAATAGATAACATTGTACGTTATAATCATATACAACATGATGTTTTAAAGTACACATACATTGTAGAATGGTTAAATCTAGCTAATTAAACAAATGTATTGATCACATAGTTACCATTTTGTGGTAAGAGCATATAACATCCACTCTCTACATTTTTCAAGAATGTAATATATTTTTAACCATAGACACCTTGCTCTTTCATAGGTGTCTTGAAATTTATTCCTCTTGTCTCATTGCAATTGTGTATCCTTTGACCAACATCTTCCCATCCCCCTCTCCACCACACCCCAGCCTCTGGTAACCACCATTCTACTGTCTACTTCTATGTAATCAACTTTTTTGGATTCCACAAAGAAGTGAAATCATGTGGTATTTTGTTTTCTGTGCCCGGCTTATTTCATTTAACATAATGTCTTCCAGGTTCATCTATATTGTCACAAATGGTGGAATCTCATTCTTTTTTATGGCTGAATAGTAGAGTCAACCCTAGAAAAATGCAGGGATGAGGGGTGCTAACCCTCACACAGTCAGAAATCCACAAATACCTTTTGGCTTCTCCAAAACTTTATTAGCCTACTGTTGATTGGAAGCCTTACTGATAACATAAACAGTCAACACATACTTTGTATATTATATATAATATATACTGTATTCTTACAGTAAGTAAGCTAGAGAAAAGAAAATGTTATTAAGAAAATCATAAGGAAGAGAAAACATATTTACCATTCATTAAATGAAAGTGGATCTTTGTAAAATTCTTCACCCATATCGTCTACACATTGAGTAGGCTGAAGAACAGGAGGAGCTGGTCTTGCTGTCTCAGAGGTGGCAGAGGTAGAAGAGGTGGAGGAATGTAGTGGGAGATAGGAGAGACAGGTTGGAGTAGCTTTATTGAAAAAATCCATATGTAAGTGGACCTTGCAGTTCAAACCTGTGTTGTTCAAGCATCAGCTGTGTTCCATTATGCATATAGGCCACATTTTTTTTATCCATTCATCTGTTGATGGACCTTTAAGTTGATTCCATATCTTGGCCATTGTGAATAGTGCTTCCATAACATGGTAGCACAGATAACCTCTCCAAATTCTTGGTAGTGGTTGTCACTGGAGGAAGAAATGTGATTGGCATACTTTACTTGATATATCATGTGATATATAGGATAGATATATATTTTATGATATATAGGATAGATATATCATATATTTTATGATATATAGGATAGATATATATTTTATGATATATAGGATAGATATATTTTATGATATATATACACACACATATATAAGTATTATATATGTTTTATATATATATATATAAAAAAACAAACAAGAACTGAAGAAAATATAGAAAATATGTTGGCTGGGCGCAGTGGCTCATGCCTGTAATCTCAGCACTTTGTGGGGCCGAGGCAGGCAGATCACTTGAGATCAGGAGTTTGAGACCAGCCTGGCCAACATAGTCAAACCACATCTCTACTAAAAATACAAAAATTAGCTGGGCATGGTGGCGGGTGCTTGTAATTCCAGCTACTCCGGAAGCTGAAGCAGGAGTATCGCTTGAACCCAGGAGGTGGAGGTTGTAGTGAGCCGAGATCGCACCACTGCACTCCAGCCTGGGTGACAGAGTGAGACCCTGTGTCAAAAAAAAAAAAAAAAAGAAAAGAAAAAAGAAACAGAAAATATGTTATATTTTTCTCTGTACTTTTCTGCATTTACATTTTTCTCAAAATTAAAAAAGCAGATAGCCACTCTTTCAGTTGATTAGTACAATCAGCATACTTTAGTCTCTTAGTAATTTTCTGATTTGCATCTTTGCAGTCCCTAAACAGTCTTTCCTCTATGATACTAACAGGTTTCACTGCAACCAGCTCACCTTCCTGGATCTGGTTTTAAGCTTGGTGAAGGCAGTGCTGATAAGGTCTGACAATGTGGGGAGTGGTAGAAGAGGCTTGGAATCTTTTACTGTTTTTCATAGCATTTCAGAGAGTTGGAAAATAGCTTCAGGGATCATCTAATAGAATTTATTTATTTAAATGAAGAAATTGTGGTCTTGAGAGCCTTGTTCAGATGCACCTGGCTAATTAAAGGTAGAGTTAGAATCTGTAACTACTGATTTTCTAGTAACAAGAGCAGAAAGTTCTACAGAGCCTTCCCCATGGACAATCAGGCACCCACCATGGGTTTGGTATTTTGGAAATAGCCATTAGGTTAGCAATACTTTAAGGGACTAGAAGGAGAGGTTAAAAGTCTCTGTGGTCACTACATTCAAGAAGCAGTATAGCATAAAGGCTGAGAGAAGGTTTATCAGAAGCCATACTTGCATTGGTGTATATCTTGGCTCTGCCACTTCCAGCTGTTTTATCTTGGATAAGTTACTTAACCTGTCTGTGCCACAGTTTCTTTAATTGTAAAAGTAACAATAATAATAGTACCTATTTCAGAGGTTATTCGGAGAGTTAAAAGAGTTAATAATATGTGAGAATGATGTCTGATATATAATGTATTCAACAAATGTTAGCTATTATTATTTCATTTGGAGAACAAGCTATTAAGGAAACTGAATGTTTAATTATGGTTCTGCCATCTTTTGCTTTAAACCACTTATCTCTCAAAACTGTCCTATCTTCCTTTGTATTTAACTTGGATGAGTCTTGGTTTTACAATAAAGAAAGCAGAATTCAAAAAGGTAAGATCATTTACTTTCCTAGAATGATGTCATACATCTGTGGTAATGATTATATTTCCTTTTCATTATATTTCACTCAACACTTATTCATCCCTATTGGTATACATGGGGGCTACCCATGGGAGATGTGAAGCAATCTAGTTGACAAAAGAAATAAAGGACTGAGTCCCTGGGGGTGTTACTGTCCAATACATAGATTGCTATTTTGATGCGCTCTGATCAATTACAAGCAAATTCTTCAAGTTTTTAAACAAATTACACTCCAAATTCCTACATTTTGACAAAAGTGCTTTGAACCTTAATATAAAATGATGATAGAATTCTACTTGCCACCAATGCATCTATTAAACAGTGTAGGTTTCTAGGACCCAAATCAGATTTTCTTTCTTTGTATCAGTTTCTTGAAACTAATGCTATAATCCTGATGTGGCTTTTAGACACCAACCCATTCAATGGTGGAGAATTCATTCCCAGGGTTTGAAAGACAGCTAACCATTTCTTTGTTTGTCCCCAGTGCTTTTAACCAAATAATGTAGTTCTTAAAAGATGCATTTATATAAGGTAGAATACTCTACATTTCCTTTTTATGGTTGTTTAAAAATGTTTTTAACAAACATTACAGTAATTTTTCTCATCTACCTCAGAAAAGTTCCATGTTCTAACTGAGATGAATTCCTTTGTCAAACTAGTAAGAGGGTGATTTCATTTGTAGTTTACTTACTAATTTATTCCATAATTTGAGTGTTAATCTTGCTGTCAGATGAATATAATCAACTTTTGGACTCAATTTCTTCCTGTGGAGGGGAGAATTTCTGTGTACCAAATTCCCACATAATTGCCTCTTTTGCACACACCCACATCTTATTTTTGTTGGTGCCTATCCTAGCCCATCGCAACCTGTAATTGTCCAGCTAAATAATTTTTAAAAGATTTGATGCTTTCAGGTACCAAAATGATTCAGATTTAAAGCTGCAGTGGATAGTTTATTGATACATGAATTAAACCTGAAATACCCCCTCAGAACCTTAAATCTCTTTTCAGGACAGATGTCTAAAGTTGACCACAGTTTTTCTGTGTGAAAGTAGATGCTAAAATTAGCCATTGTAGCATGCAGCTTTGTGGAAGTGGCTGTACTCTTGCATCCTGTGGTTCTTTCTTCCCTATTGGCATGGTTATTTTGATCTGAAATGTCCTTTTTCCTTTGCTGTCTAGCTTTCTGCTGTCTACCTATTGCCATTCCATGGGCCATAATTCTCAGGTGGAGGTTTTTAAAATTTTCCCTTGCCTAGGCTATATCCCAGACCAGCTGAATCAGAATCCCTGGGGACAGAGCAGGGGTATTTGAGTTTTTAAAACCTCTTCAGGACATTCTGATGCTCAACCTGAATTAAGAACCACTTGCTTATTGCCTAGGTTAGAAATTTTTATTTGTTTTGTTTTGTTTTGTTTGACAGGATCTCACTCTGTCCCCCAGGCTGGAGTGCAGTGACATGATCACAGCTCACTGCAGCCTCGACCTCCTTGGCTCAGGCAATCCTCCCACCTCAGCCTCCTTAGTAGCTGGGACTACAGGCCTGTGCCACCACACTCAGCAAATTTTTTAGTTTTTGTGTTTTGTTTTGTTTTGTTTTAAGAGATGGGGTCTCACTATATTGCCCAGGCTGGTCTTGAACTCCTGGGTTCAAGCAATCCTCCTGCCTCACACTCCGAAAGTGCTGGGATTATAGTCATGAGCCACCGTGCCAGGCCCAAAAATCTTTTATTTGTAAATAACTGAAACCCAAACTATCTTAACAGCAACAAAACAATTTGTCATAAGGAATCACGAGACTCTCACATAACCCAACAGCATGAAATACAACTGGACTTCATAAGAGACCAGAGCCTGGAACAGGAGCATTTACAAGGACCCAGGCAACTAGTCCCTGTTGCCCAGGTGTAGCTCTCTGTCTGCCTGGCTCCCTTCAGGGGCTTGTGGATTCAGATCTCTGCTTCTCTCTGTACATCTGCTTTCTTTCTTTTCTCTTTCTCAGCTAGCCACTTTCGCTGCTGCTGAGCACATGGCCAAACATGGTGCATCCTCATTACCCACATTTGTACGTCCTTAGTTCGACTTCCCAGCCCAGGGAGACTAGCATCAATGAATCTAAATTCCTGAGAGAGGATCTGATCAGTCTGGCACAGGTGATATGTCTGCCCTTAATCCAACCAGACAACATGGCTTAAACATGGCTGCCAAGGGCCCACCCATGTGTAGGTTAAGTTTGGAGGCTATTTAGCTATCTCAAAGTGTATCTTTATGCTTGCCATATTTTTTTTCTTTTTTGAAGGAAATTTTGTATTATTTTAATTATTTTTATGGACAGAAAACTCAACAGTGTACATTTAACCCAGTTCAGTGGCAAAGTTCTTTAACCTTTGCCTTTTCGAGCTTGATAATGTGAGCTACAGACTTGAGACCCAGGACATTGCCTCCCCAGTGACAGTGGATCTCATCGTATCTGTCGTAGTTGGTCCTGATAGCTTCCACCAGCTTAGCCAAAGCTCCTTTGTCTTCCGAGTTAACCTTTGTGAAGACAACAGTGGTGCAGGTCTTCCTGTGGACTAGATGTCCCAGTCTTGCCTTCCCCTTGATAATGCAGTAAGGGACCCCCTTTTTACAACATGGGGCAGGCAGGCAGAAGACAGCCAGCTCGATGGGATCGACATCGTGTGCAGTCATCACCAGCTGAGCTTTCTTGTTCTCCACCAAGGTGGTGACCATGTTAACTCCTGCTCGAAGGACAGGTGGTCTCTTAGTGGGGATGTCCCCTTTGCTGGTAGCTTTCTTCTTGGCCTGGGCCAACAGCCTCTGCTTCTTCTCTTGCTTTGTCTCTGGCCTGTACTTGTGGGCCAGCTTAAGCAGCTGAGTAGCTGTTTGGTGGTCCAGGGCCTGGGTGAACTGGTTAATGGCAGGAGGCACTTACATCCACTTACAGAGGATGGCTCTCTGCCGCTGCAACCTGATATAGTGGGGCCATTTCACAAAGCGGGTGAGGTCTCTTTGGGGCTGGATATCCTGTCCAATGCCAAAATTCTTAAGCCTTTTCTCAAACAGGGGATTCACCACTTCCTTGGCCTCCTGCTTCTTTATGACAGCAGGAGCTGGAGCCATTTTTTCTCCTTGGCTTTCTTTCCTTTCAGCATCTTGGGTGGCGGGAGGAGAGACTTATGGTTGCCATATTTTTCATCTAGCATTATACCAAATAACTTTGTTTCTAATTTCAGTTTTATTGATGATATTTTCGCCTTTAAAGAAGGTGAAAAGCAACAATTTTCATATATCAGGGGTGATTTAACGTTACAGATGCCACTAAGATGAACATTGAATGTACTGTTCTCTCTCTAAGCCTAGTTCTTCCTCTTATAAATAGGGATCAGTCTAAATGTTGAGAAAATTAGAGAATTGGGAAATCTGCCTCTCCTAAGTAGTAAAAGTTGAAAAGTAGTACAGTAAGATAGCAATCTAATAGCACAGTCATTTTCTACAATGTATATAATTTTAATCATCACAATAAAGAATGTTTAAAGAAATTGAGGTAGTTTAATCATAGGCAGTGCTGAGATGTGACCATATAATGATCTTTTAGAGAGAAGGCTGCTACTTTTTCTTTGTCTACACAAGGGTTAAAAAAAGAAGAAATGTTTTTAGGAGGAATGTAACATAGTGCCTGGCACATGGTTAGTATTCAATAGTATTTTACTAATAGTGTTTACTTAGAAATATTTATCAGAAATAACTTCAAGGTGTCTTTGGACCGATACAATGAGTTACCAAGGAAAGTAAATACATCTTTCCTTCTTCCTTTTTTTACCATTAAAGGAAACCAAAATACTTCACCCTCAAATATACTTCTTTGACATATTTGAGATGGCTATTCAGAGAACCTGCAGACAGGAATAGCCCTGTAAAACTACCTTTTGTGGGGGAGATTTACATCTGTAGAGAAAATCTACATTGCTGAAATAAACAGCCAGCCTTTCTGTGCTGTGACTTGTCTGGATCTAGGACAGATGGGCTCCTGGGAGAGAGAGACTGAGAGTTTGACACCTCTGGGGATCTAATAGAAACTTACTCTTTTGGAGGGCTGCTACCTGTGAGGTTTCATCTGCATTACAAGACTGCCTTTGCTAGCCATGCTTTTCTTCTCTTCCACCCATAACTGGTCTTGCCAGACTCTAAGCCTCTATTCCTTCTGTAACCTCAGGATGAAAACTTCAACTATCTGACCCTTTCTTTGAGTTTTTCTTATTTTTTATAACTCCTGTGCACATGCGTGCATATTACTATTTTTGTATGCCTTTTTTCCTATTAACCTGCCTTTTGTCAGTTGATTTTCAGTAAACACTCAGAGGTTGAAGGGGAGGTTTTCCCTAGGCTCCTATACCATCTTGCATATTTGGGATATCCCAAGACATCCATGACGCTTGGCTCTCTAGGACATTGAAATCTGGTTAGGGAAGTAAAATATGAAAGCAATGGAGAACAGTCTGCCTTTGGCACTCAGAGATCTCTAGATGTTTTCACTTGTCCCATTTCATCCTTATAGGTTAAGAAGCAGGGAAATAGAGTTCATTACAATTTCAAATTATAATTTTGCTGATATTTTCCCCTTCAGGGAAGGTGAGAAGCAAGAATTTTCACATATCAAAGGTGATTTTACCTTGAAGATGCCACTAAGATGAGCTGGGCAGAGAGAATGTTAAGGCAAAGCACAATGTTAATGACTAAATTAGAACTGAAAATGAATTTAATCTCTTTAAAGAACAAGAATCAAGGTAACTGTATTTCAGTAATGTGTAATGCAAAAAATGCATGATGAATAAAATACATCATAGAAATATGAAGGGTTGAGTTATATGCAAGTATATTATAGGAAAAATTAGTTGATCTGATACTGTATCAGAGTAGCTTCATCATTAAATGACACTGTGTCATTTATGGAATCATTGGCAATTCCTAGAACATCTATTACAGCACTAAAGTGGTCAGGGTTTTCATAAAGTTTTGTGGAAGTCTGAACCTTATTTTCTTAGGTCAAAGACATGGTAGAAGCAATTTATAAGTAATGTTTTATTAATAAAGTGATTTCTAAGTTTATGATAAATACAAGTGACAGATCCAGTGGAATTTATTGGCTAATGTAATTGCGAAGGCTAAGAAGTGGATCTAATGGGTTTCCAACAATGTCATCATCGTTTCTGCTGTAATTCCATCTCTCTGCTCTGCTTTCCTCCTGTTGGTTTCATTCGCAGCAGGTTTTGCCATATGGGAGGAGCAATGCAGCAGTCTCTGGTCTGTATCACTTAGGATCTCATAAGGCATAAGGTCTTTTTTCTCTCCAACTTTGTCAGTACGTTCAAAAAGAGTCCTATTGGCCCATTAGATCTTTTGTCTACCCCAGTGGCAGGAAGACAGGGCCCCAGAGGTAGGGGTGGAGCAGTTCTCCAAAGGAAAGGAAGGTTTCAGTTATTAGAAAAGGGGTGGAAAGAATATATGTCCACCAATATATCACACAACTGCATATAGTGCACTTTCACATCCTGTGGCAAACAAAAATCTTTCACTAATGGAAAGGAAATGATGGCTTGACATATTGTGTATAGTGTAAGAAAAAAAAAATCCAGATGCTTTTTTCATATTCACTCTAATTCCCTAGGTTACAACTAATTAGTACTTCCTGTTTGCTCCCCATATAATTTGCTTACCCCTTGACTCTATCACATGTTTATCTTCCTTCTAGAGGCCTATCTTACAGAAATAGGATGTGAACACTTGAAGACAGAACTTTGTCTTTTATCTCTTTATTTCCAGTGCCTAGTCCAATCCTTGGAACACAGAAGCCACTTGATGCTTACTGAGTGGAATTAAATTCTATCCTATCTACTGCTTATATTAGGAAAGAAAAAAAATTTACTAGTCAAGGGCTTCAGGGGGAAAGTCTTTGTTCTCTAGGAGGAAGGATTTTCCCTAAGTCACTCTTGGCCTTTCTGCTTCTTCACTGTTCCTCCTTAGGGAAAGTGGAATGGCTTATCTAACTGGTGAGTCTGAGATAAGGAAGCACTTCGCACATTCAGATATTGTCCTCCACCAGCCATAGAGGGACGGGACAGGGGGCCCTGCCTAACCCAGTTTTGGGGAAGCTCACTGTTGCTATGTACCCATGCCTTCTCTCTCTCTCTTTCTCTCTCTCTCCCTCTCTCTCTCTGTCTCTCTCTTTCTAATGAAGAGTTTAGCTTTGGAGTTAATGAGCAAAAGATTTCCTTACCATAAAGTGAAGCCCATCAAGTGAAAGCAAGTAGAAAGGCGCAGAAAGGTTTATCCTTGTCACCATGTGGAAGGACACTTGGGGAGCAGATCATTTGGTAACTGTTGGTACTTGTGGCCTCTACATCTTGTAAATTCATACATGTCCACGTTTGACCTAATTGTAGACTTTTTTGAAATTTTCAGTTTTAGGTGAATACCAATGAGTACCCAGAGTTTTCTGTCTTTGTTGTCCTCTGGATGTTGGTCCCAAATCCACTCAGGCAACAAATCCTGGAGTTACCTGCTCCTTATCTTTAAAGTATATGTAGCCCTTGGTCTCCATTTCTGCTGCCTTTTTTTTTTTGCTTATTTTTAAATTTAAAATTGACAAATACAGTTGTATGTATTTATGGGCACAATGTAATGTTATAATTAATAAATATAATATGGGATAATTAAATAAAACTAATTAAGATATCCATCGCTCCAAATACTTACCAGTTTTGTGGTAAGCACATTTGAAATTTACTCTCTTAACAATTTTCAAATGTACAGTACATAATTATTCACTATACTCGCCACACAATTTGAGCTCCTTATATATTTTGGATATTAAACCCTAATCAGATGTATGCCTTGAAAATATTTTCTCTCAATCCAAAGGTTGTCGCTTCATGCAGTTGTTTTCCTTGCGGTACAGGGGCTTTTTATTTTGATATAATCCCATTTTTCTATTTTTGCTTTTGTTGCATGAACTTTTAGGGTCAGGTCTAAAATATCATTGCCCAGAATAATGTTGTGTAATTTTCCCCCTATCTCTTTTGACAGCCTACAATCAGATATATGAGCAAAGAAATGATTTAAAGTTGGAACTTACATTTAAAAGGGAAGCAGAGTGTAAAATTTTGGATAATTTGCAGCCTGGCTATGTGGCCAGAGAAATAAAAAGCATTTTTAGGAGAGGAATACAAGCAGGCTGAGGAACAACCACTTGCTTAGAAAGATTAGCGTGACTAAAAGGGAGCCAAGTGCTAATTTCCAAGACAATGGGGAAAAGGCATATCAGAGATCTTGGAGACAGACTCTGCTATCAGACCCAGAGCATTATGAGGAAATAATGGTTTCAGGGACCAGGCCTGGGCCATTGCCCTGCTCAGGCTTGAGACACTGCTGTCTGCATGTGGGCTGCTTCAGCTCCATCTCCAGCTCCAGCTCAAAGGGCCCCAAGTACAGCTTGGGCTGCTGGCTCTGGAGGGCACAAGCTGTAAGCTTTAGTGGCTTTCATGTGGTATTAAGTCTGCAGGTGCACAGAGTGCAAAAGTGAAGGAAACTTCGCAGATTCCCCTAGATTTCAGAGGATGTATTGGAAATCCTGGGTGCCCAGGCAGTAGCCTGCTGCAGAGGTGGAGCCCTTACAGAGAACCTCTACTAGAGCAGTGTGGAGAGGAAATGTGGAGTTGAAGCCCCCCACATAGAGTCCTCACCAGGGCACTGCCTTGTGGAGTGATGGGAAGAGGGCCACCACCCGCCACGTCCCAGAATGGTAGAGCCATGGGCAGCTTGTATCCTGAGCTTGGAAAAGCTGCAGACACTCAACTCCAACCCATGAGAGCAGTCATGGGGTCTGCATCCTGCAAAGCCACAGGGACAGCGCTGCCCATGCACCAGTGTGCCCTGGATGTGGGACATGGAGTCAAAGATGATTATTTTGGAGCTTTAAGATTTAATGACTGCCGCCGAGCGTAGTGGCTCACGCCTGTAATCCCAGCACTTTGGGAGGCTGAGGTGGGTGGATCACGAGGTCAGGAGATCAAGACCATCCTGGCTAACACAGTGAAACCCCGTCTCTACTAAAAGTACAAAAAATTAGCACGGCGTGGTGGTGGGCGCCTGTAGTCCCAGCTACTCGGGAAGCTGAGGCAGGAGAATGGCGTGAACCTGGGAGGCGGAGCTTGCAGTGAGCAAAGATCACGCCACTGCACTCCAGCCTGGGCGACAGAGCGAGACTCCGTCTCAAAAATAAATAAATAAATAGCCTGGGTGCGGTGGCTCACGCCTGTAATCCCAGCACTTTAGGAGGCCAAGGCAGGCAGATCACGAGGTCAGGAGTTCGAGACCAGTCTGGCCAACATGATGAAACCCAGTCTCTACTAAAAATACAAAAAACTAGCCAGGCATGGTGGCGGGTGCCTGTAGTCCCAGCTACTCGGGAGGCTGAGGCAGGAGAATGGCGTGAACCCAGGAGGCGGAGCTTGCAGTGAGCCGAGATCATGCCACTGCACTCCAGCCTGGGCAACAGTGTAAGACTCAATCTCAAAAAAAAAAAAAAAAAAAAACAACATTTAATGACTGCCCTTCTGGGTTTCAGACCTGCATGGGAACTGTAGCCCCTTTCTTTTGGCCAGTTTTTCCCTTTGGAATGGGAATATTTACCCAATGCCCATATTACCATTGTATCTCGGAAATAAATAACTTGTTTTTGATCTTACAGGCTCATAGGTGGAAGGAACTCATCTCCAGATGAAACTTTGGACTTCAGACTTGGGACTTTTGATTGAGTTGGAATTGGAACAAATTAAGACTTGGGAGAACTATTGAGAAAGGATGATTATATTTTGCAATGTGAGAAGGACATGAGATTTGGGGAGCTAGAGGCATAATGATATAGTTTAGATATTTGTCCCCTCCAAATCTCATGTTAAAATCCCCAGTGTTGGAGGTGGGGCTTGGTGGAAGGTGTTCTGATTATGGGGGCAGATCCTTCATGAATGGCTTAGTCCATCCATTTGGTGATGAATGAGTTCTTGCTCTGGTGGTTAACATGAAATGTGGTTATTTAAAGAGTGTGGCACCTCCCCCCACTCTTGTTCCTACTCTCAACTTGTGACATGCTAGCTTCCCTTCACCTGCCACCATGACTATAAGCTTCCTGAGGCCTTACCAGAAGCTGAGCAGATGCCAGCACCATGATTTCTGTAGAGCCTGCAGAGCTGTGAGCCAATTAAGCTCAGCGTCAGGTGTTTCTTTCTTTTTTTTTTTTTTTGAGACAGAGTATTGCTCTGTTGCCCAGGCTGGAGTGCCTGGAGGCATGATCTCAGCTCACTGCAACCTCCACCTCCTGGGTTCAAGAGCGACTCTCATGCTTCAGCCACCCAAGGAGCTGGGATTACAGGAGTGTGCTACCACGCCCAGCTAATTTTTGTATTTTAGTGGAGATGGGGTTTCACCATGTTGGCCAGGCTGGCCTCGAACTCCTGACCTCAAGTGATTCACCCACCTTGGCCTCCAAAAGTGCATGAGGCGTGAGCCACTGTGCCTGGGCAGTTATTTGTTTATAGTGATGCAAGAACAGACTAACACAAATGGGTTCAGAATGCAGTTGTGGAAAAGGTGTATAATTTAATAGTTCCCTCAAACCTCACAGAAGAATTTCAGAAAGATCCTATATTTGTTTTTGAATGCATGCAGAGAATAGATTAAAATATAAATATCTTGATGTTTTTTATATTACATATTTATATCCCATCTTTTTCCAAAACAGATTTAAAGTGGTTTCATCTTTGACATGGTAATCTAACCCATGACATTCAAAAGCCACAAGGACAGAAAAAGAATTTTCTAAGACTGCCTGAAGCGCAACTTCATTTGATATGATTTCCTAGCCTAGAATATAATCAGGAAGGCACTGATTTCTTTCTGTTACTGTTGTTTTTAAGCAAAAAAGATCCCATTCCTCCTCTTCTATTTCTTTGCATGGTGAATAGCTTCGCTAGTTACCCAGCCACTAAACAACAACCTGGGAATCAACTTCCTCTCTATTCTGTTGCCCCTTCCCCCAAACAACCACTCGATCATCAAGATTTCTTCCTCGATTTCATGTTCAGCTCTACATCCAGGGTCTAAATTCACACCTTGGATTTCTGCTGCCTGAACTAATCCAGCAGTCGCACTCTGTAGCCCTTCAGTCCCTCTTCTGTAGCATGTCCAAAGTGTTCTTTCTAGCAGAACAATGTGATTGTGTTACTCTTGTACTTGAAATCCCTCAATGTCTTTTTCACTGTCTCTGGGATTTATTCCAGACTCCCTAGCATACATACAGGGACCTCAAGGTCTGGCAGCTGCTCAGTTCTCCAGCCGTATATCTCTGAATGGTTTCTCTCTCGGCCTCATTTCTCCATCACCCCTCCTCCCAGTAAACACATACACTAGAACCATTGTGAATTTCTCAGAGTACTTCTTATGGTCTAGGATAGTTTACATTTTTGGGTCCCTTTTGCTGCTCCTCTGCCTATAATTTATCCCTTCCCCTCTTGCCTTCCCTCTACCCCCCAAGGCTGGCTCAGCTTTTAAGACTCAATCGAAGTGCCACCACCTCTCTGAAGCCTTTTTCACACTTCACCCTTAGGAAGAATGAAGCATCTTCTTCCTCTTCTTCCCTTCCATGTCTATAATCCTCAACACATTTTTTTTTTCATGAATTGTCTGCAACACTGTTTGCTTTCGCTAGACTGAAAGATCTTAGGGACAAAGTCCAAGTTATGCTCCTTCTGCTGTCTCTAATATCTAGCATCATTCCTGACACTTTAGCAGTATTTCATAAATGTTTATTGACTAAATGCATATTTACCTATGCATGAAAGAGTAACAGTTTCAGAGTTTTTGTTAGCTGCATTCCTTTACTTCCTATCAGTTTGGGGAAGTAGATTTAGTATCCACAAAATGATTGGGGGTCCCCTGTACTGCAAAGATTTGACTTTAAGAAGTAGGTGGCTGGGTACGATAGCTCATGCTTATAATCCCAACATATTGGGAGGCCAAGGCAGAAGGATCGCTTAAGCCCAGGAGTTTGAGACCAGCCTGAGCGACGTAGTAGGGACCCATTCCGTATGAAAAACCATATATATTAGCCAGGCATGGTGGCGTGTGCCTCCCAAATTGGCTGAAGCAGGAGGATTGCTTGAGCCTGGGAGGTCAAGGCTGTAGTGAGCCATGATTGTGCCACTGCACGCCAGCCTGGATGACAGAGCGAGACCCTGTCTCAAAATAATAATAATAAATAAAGAAACAGGCCCGTGAACAGCATCAGCAGTTTCAGCTACTAATACTAGCAGTCTTTGTTCCTCTTAGAGTGCAGAGAGCTGCTGGTCACTTTTGATCTTTATTAAAACACCCATACACAGTAAGATTGCTTGGGAATCCAAGGCAGAATATATCTGTGTGGTTTGAGAGAGGACTTTAAAGTGTTAGAGAGTCTAATCTTAGAGCACACTAAAAAGAGAGTAGATACACTACCCCAGGACAGAGATGAAATAATGAATTTGCTGAATATTCCATGTGGGCCCTGAACATCAACAGGGCAAGAGAGAAGTCAAGAAATGAAAAGTGCTGGTAAGGTCAGCAAGTACCTATCTTGGCACCCAATGGTACCAAGTGACCATTGCATGGACCATGCTCTGGGAGGGCATGAGAAAAATTAAGGGCAAAGGACATTCCCTCAAAGAGTTTACCAGTTTAAAGCTTTAATGTCACTGAAACTAATATGTCTTCTGTGACAAGCTTTGATGATAAATGTAGACTAAGTTTTTTAAAATCATATAAAAATTTAAAATACTTTGCAAAGCACAAACAATTTTCTTAGGCCTGCCTTGGTAGCAAGAACAGTTTGTAATGACTAAAAAGTGAAGAATCTATGGTATATTCATGGTCTAAATCAGATATTGCAAGCTGGTGCCCTCTGGACTGGAGTCATACGATATTTTCAAATTCAGGAAATTTTAAATAAAAATTAAGATTTCTTACTTGTGATTTCCTTGTGCTCTCAGGTTAAAATGGTTTATGCAAGACTTGATGGTTTGAAATAAAATTGGCTAAATGGATTCTAGTATAAATGCAAAGGATATTTAACTCACTTGGGAGCTCATAGGCATAATGCATATGTTTGTTTAAAAACAAAAGAAGCAATTGAAGATTAACATTGACTTTGTCTCGCCTGGCGCGGTGGCTCACGCCTGTAATCCCAGCACTTTGGGAGGCCGAGGTGGGCGGATCATGAGGTCAGGAGATTGAGACCATCCTGGCTAACAGGGTGAAACCCCGTCTCTACTAAAATACAAAAAAATTAACCAGGCATGGTGGGGGGCGCCTGTAGTCCCAGCTGCTCAGGAGGCTGAGGCAGGAGAATGGCATGAACCCGGGAGGCAGAGCTTTCAGTGAGCCAAGATCCTGCCACTGCACTCCAGCCTGGGCGATACTGACTTTGTCTCATAGTTTAGATCTGGGATAAACAAACCTTTTCTGTAAAGGGCCAGAATATTTTAGGCCTTTATTTATTTTAGGTTTTGCAGGTCCTATAATCTCTGTTGCAGCTAAACAGCTCTGCCACTGTAGTGTGAAGTCACCATAGATGATACCTGGACAAATGAGCATGGCTGTGTTCAATAAAACTTTGTTTATGAACACTGAAATTTGAAATTTATATAATTTCTACATGTCACAAAATTTTTTTTGTCTTTTTTTCAGCTATTTAAAACTGTAATAACTATTCTGAGCTCATGGGCCATATAAAAACAAGAGATGGACCTCATTTGACATATAGGCCAAATGGACATTGGCTGAGTGTCATTGTAAAATCTTGGTCTTAGGCTTTTTAGACCTGATTAGCCTAAAAGGAACAAACTAGAATGTTCTGTTCTCTTTACAGGGCAAAGGAATTCTCCTTTCCCTACTTTTTATTTTTTATTTTTTCATTTTTTTTGGATGGAGTCTTACTCTGTCACCCAGGCTGGAGTGCAGTGGCACCATCTTGGCTCACTGCAACCTCCGCCTCCCAGGTTCAAGCAATTCTTCTGCCTCACCCTCTCTAGAAGCTGGGATTGCAGGTTCGTGCCCGACGCCCAGCTAATTTCTGTATTTTCAGTAGAGATGGGTTTTCACCATGTTGGCCAGGCTGGTCTCGAACTCCAGACCTCAGGTGATCCACCCACCTCGGCCTCCCAAAGTGCTGGGATTACAGGCATGAGCCACCATGCCTGGCTTCCCTACTTTTTTATATCCATGGGGAGCTTGGTTGATATCCTGCTTGAACATGGAAGACCCAAGTTGCTCACCCTGTGTTTTCCAAAGCCTTAAAGGCTAGTCTACATTTCAGACAGCCCAGGTGATGAGGGAGCCTTGTGTTTTCTGTGAGGAACCTTATCCCTTAAGCATCTATATCCCAGTCATACTTATGCATGGAAAGGCTAAGTAAAATCTATTAATATCCTAGCTAGAAAGAAAACTATAAAATTACACATAGATGCAAGCTTGTGTGTATTCTGCAGTTCAAAGTGTAGTCAGCAAAAAAAGCATACACGCTATCGCACTGGGAGGAAATCGGTGTCTTTGAAATCAAATACCCTGCCATTGGCATATCCAGGCTTGAAACTCAGCTGCAGCTTTTAGCTTCCACCACATGTTTACATTGGAAATCTCTCTGTGCACATATAGAGTTTGTTCTCTTATGAAATCATGTCTCTAGGGAAGGATAATTTAAAGCCATTTCCGTTTGTTATGTCTGAGCTGAACTAGACTATTAGGGCTTGTTAACGCTGGATAAACTTGAGCCCTATAACTGCCTTCATCTGCAGATTATAGAATCTGTCCAACAAATTGCATTCTGATGTTTTCAGAATGATGGCTAAGCAAGCAAGGGCCTTTTAATTTATATTCTATCACCATGGTTGTCAGGAATCACAGTTTTGACTTTCATGCTTACTTGGTATAGCAGCGATGATATGACTCTTGAATGGACCAAATCCAGAAGTAATTGAGACACTAAACTGCATCTGCATGTTACTATAGCAGAGTGAGCAAAGGCTGACAGTCAGAAAATTGCTGGTGAAGCATCTTTCTTCAGAGTGCCTCCCTTCCCCGAGTCTTAGCATAAATCAGTGTTAGGTCCACTGAAATATCGTGTGTGGTCTGCATTTAGAAATTTTATTTGAAAATGAGACAGATGGATAAATGAAAACAAGTTTTCTTTAGGCTAGTGTTAAGTAAATAGAATTAAGTGAAGATAGACAGTTTTCCTGATTTAGTGGAGGGGAGATGGTGGTTGCCCCAGGATATCTAACTCCCTCTGCCTCTATTCATCAAATCCACTGAACACATTTGCCTTCAGTTTGGCTTAATATCATTCACCATTTTAGATAGTGGGATACTGGAAGGTAGAAATTACATCTGTTTGACTTCTTTTGTGAACCAGTGTAGCAGAACTACCAGTACAACTTAAGTAAAATCACAAATAGGATGGCACCAGGCAATAGTGTGACTATCCAACATGGCATCCCCTAGCTGGGAAAGGAATCCTTTCTTCATGGCTCTGGCCTTATTTTCAGTAGCTCCACTGAATTCACTTCTTTTCAATAAACTTGTAGAAGGTACTGCCCTACGCCCTGAGGTTGGGGACAGTGGCAGTGGTAGGATACAGAGACAAGTAAGACATAGACCCTGCCCAAAAGGTGACTGTATACATAAAGCACCCTAATCCAGACCAGACTCAAAGAATGCTAGAAATGAAGGGCAGACATAGGACAGTGGCATTTTGAGTAAGAAATAGGGTTTCAACTGGTGGGAGAAAGAAGAACCTGCTAGACTAAGGGAACAGCATGAACTAAAGACCAGAAGTAGAAAAGTACTACTTTTTGTACCAAAAGTAGAAAAGACCAAAAGTGTTGAGGGAGAATGGGAATAATTCCTCTCTCTCTCTTTCCTTTTTTCCCTTTATTCTTTATTCAATAATTATTTGATGAATGTTTATGGTAAACCGAACAGACACAGCTCCTGCCCACACAAAGCTTACAGTCTAGAGGAGGAACAACCAGGAATCAAAGAAGCCCAAAGTAAATAACAAATTACAGCCCTGACCCTTACCTCAAAGGAGAGGGGTACATTGACTAAGAGAGCACATTACAGGAGAGTGGAACATACTTTACAAGCCTTTACTGGAGAGATGTCCTGCCACCTGAAGAGAGAGGAGGCATTGATTAGAGGAGAGCGCTCTATGGAGAGGAGTCAGCGTGGACACTGAGACTGCAAGAGTGAGGGAATGTGCGGGATTAGACCACAGTCAGGGAGCAGAACACAGTGGGGTTTTTGGTCTTTATTCTAAGAGCAAAGAAAAGCTATTGACCTGTTTCTAGCAAAAGATGGGGTAAGGTAATGAGATTTGCTAGTTGGAAAGATCCCACTAGCTGCAGTGTAGAGAATGAATTAGATGGGTGAAGAGGGACCCCTGCCAGGAGGCAGATGCAATTGTCCATGGGGGATATTCTGGTTTCTTTGCACTGGAGTAATGAGGATGGGGATGAAAAGAAGGGAATATGTTTAAGAGCTGATAATGAGCTTGGCCTTGGCAACACTGAGTTTGATGCACCTTTGAGATACTAAGGAGACATACCAGGAAGATATAGGTGTACTGGAGCTCACTGAAGAGGTCTGGGCTGGAGATAAACAATTGAGTCATCTCCTTATAGGTGATAATTGAGCCATAAAAGTGGATAAATAAATATAAGTTGAATGAATGATAGAATTAATGAATAGATGGTATTGGGTGAGGAAAGAGCACAGAGTAACGAGGGCTTAAACAACGTTGTGGTGCTGTATTTCTGTAACTATTACTTATCAGTTGTGAGACTGGACAAAGTGATTTTCCTCTGGCCAGGTCTGATGCCTCCTATGGACACATTCTGAAAGCCAGCAGGAACCTAGAAAGTGACCAGGCCACCCCCTTGCCCACATAGAAACATGTCTGCTAACTCTTCCACCTTACCAATAGGTGGATTCCAAGAGTTCACATAAAAGGTGGTTGTTTGGATTGTAGAAGTCTCTTCCCAAAAGAAACTCCTATTTTCCTAGGGAGATGCCACCATAGACCCTAATTAACCAAGGTCCTTTCTGTGAGACATTATGTTCAATAGGACCTTGAGGTGTTACAAACTATTTCCTCACAGATGCCTGGGCATAGGCCTGGACTCTTCCCCAGAATCCTCCCATCCCACTTGCCAGGCACTGAGAAACAGGACTTTCCACTTGTTTGTCACTGGCAAGGACTTCATGGCTTCAGAGAGGGAGCTCCAGGGGTTTCTGGGACACTTACCAGTATAAATTCCCTGAGGTTCTTCTAAGTCTGTGCTTGAATTCATTCATTCATTCCCTTCTTATCTTTTCTGAGGACCCCAAGAATTGGCCTGCCTGTGTCCTTTGCTTTTACTTGCAGCAGGTGGGGGTCTGGCACGGTCGGGGGAAGGGTTTTGATGGGAAAAGTGAGGCTGGTACTATTTTTCCTCCCATGTTTAGCCTATAGAGTATAGTCATAAAACTTTTCCTCAATGTTTCAGTCCTGAAGCAAGCGCACAGCTCATTGGAAGTTTCTAAGGATTTTTATTATTAGCAATGTCAGAAAGCAAGTTGAAAGCAAAACAGCCCCCTCTGGGCCTCTTCCCTAGCCTTTCCTTATTTTGTGTTGCTTTCCTCACACCCAGGAGGAACACATATCCCAATTCCTGAGGACAGTCCTGATTTGCAACTGGCATCGTGGCACAACTGCCAATAGTACCACCTTTAAAAAGTTTAGACACTGAATTATGGTCATGCTACTTAACCCCATAAAGAAAAATAAAGTAATGCATTGGGGGTAATAGTGGATTTACAAAAGACTACAATAATCTCGATCTGCATTTTAGCGAGAGGATATGAGCCACAGAGTGATTTCTTTGGTATTTTGTCCCAACAGCTGGACTGGGCCTCTATGTGTGTAGGTGAGGGATGGGGTACAGAGAGGAGGACTTGTGGGAAGTGCTGGAATATCAGGGCTAGAATATTGCCACAGAAATGTGTCTATTTTTTCTCCTGTCTCTTTCTCAGTAACCAGATCTACCTTGGAAGACTCAGACTGGCACTTTGGCAAGGTGAGATGAAAAATCAGGGCTGAGGAAGGTGCATTTGCAGGCACTGTGGGGTCCACAGCAGAGAGGATAAAAACGTGGAGGCAGAGGTGCATCCGAGTCATAATAGCACAGAGCCGGGCGTTGGGGTTGGGGCCTGAGCCATTGTTGTCTGGCTGTCGCAGCAGGGGGAAAGGAGGACAGAAGTGTCAATGTTTCGTTTAGAATTTTTCTAAAAAGTTGCCACTTTGGGTGAAGGGCTCAGTAAGACCTTCCCCTCCACACTCCACATAACTATGCTTCTATTAGAAGTATTCTGAGCAGTTCAGGCCTTCCACGTGGTGGAACTGTGTGGGGTACCCTCAAGCCCATGGGTCTCTAGGGGTTGTGCCTAAGTCACATGTATACGTTCCACCTGTGATGTTAGGCAAGCAAGCATATGATCCTTTCTCATCACCACTTCCATGAAACAAAGACATTTTAGAACTGTTGACGATAGCAATGTTTTCTCGACAAAGAGATTACTTGTAAAGTAGTAAAGAACATTAGAAAAAGGAGCTATAGTCATATGGTCACTGTTCTTTGTGGTGCTATATAGGTGGTGTGTATATTATAAGAACTTTTGTGTCTTCCAATAATGTTTTTTGGTTTTTGGTTTTTTGGTTTTTTTTTTTTTTTTTTTGAGATGGAGTCTCGCTCTGTTGCCAGTCTGGAGTGCAAGGGCACGATTTCGGCTCACGGCAACCTTCACCTCCCAGGTTCAAGCGATTTTCCTGCCTCAGCCTCCAGAGTAGCTGGGACTACAGGCACACACCACCACGCCCAGCTAATTTTTACTGTTAGTAGAGACGAGGTTTCACCATGTTAGCCAGGATGGTCTCGATCCCTTGACCTCGTGATCTACCCACCTCAGCCTCCCAAAGTGTTGGGATTACAGGCGTGAGCCACCGCGCCTGGCCCCAATAATGTTTTAAACGAGTAAAATGAAGTTTGTCACTTCTGCATGCTTACAAGCTTAAACATCAAAAGAATTGGCCAGGTGTGGTGGCTCACACCTGTAATCCCAGAACTTTAGGAGACGAAGTTGGGAGGATCACTTGAGTCTGGGAGTCCAAGACCAGCCTGGGCAACAAAGCAAAATCTGTCTCTACAAAAGATTTATTTTTTAATTTTTTTTTTTTAATTATTAAGAATCCAAAGAGTTTATACATTTAGGTGGGAAAGGTAACCCTTGGGAAGCCCTGGGCTAGCCTCTCGGCTTGCTCATGATTCAAGTAGCAAAAAGAAGTAGTGGACTCAGGACAGAATTTTGACGTGGGAGCCCCATTTCAAGCTCTGAGGTCTGAAATGCCAAGTTTAAGCCTCTTGGCCTCATTGTGACTCGATTTCCCTTTCTGTGAAATGAGAAGATAATCCCAGTATTAGGGTACTATCCGAGTACCTTCAGGCTTTTTAGGAAGAACTCTAGTGAGTAAGCTCTCTGGCTGTAGAGGGGACCGTGATGCACAGTAAAAAGAACCCCATCTTGTCACTGGAGGGATATAGGCAGCCGCCCAATGGGAGCTCCCATACTGTAGAGATGGCACTCTTGCTTTGGTGGGACTAGTACAGATGTATTTTTTATGTCCCATTTCTTATGTTGCCTATTTTTTGGAGACATATTTGTTTGTTAACTCTTTGAGTTTCATAAAGAAAACATTAATACAAATTTTATTGAGTGGTAGGTTAGCTCCAATATCCTCAAAATAGATTGAGCATTTTAGAATTCACCTTAATGTTACCTGGAATGCAAAAAGATTTGCCTAAAACGTTTAGCTCCTCATTTTGTTACTGGCTTCATTCTGATTTTGGAAACAACAGAAAGTAAAGTGGAACTGGGGTTTTGGGTCTATTAGATTCTCCAATTTAATCTCGCCCATCTATTCCTGATATTAATAAACTCTTTCTAATATCAGTTGGCCATGGTTGTCATTCTGGTAAATACCTCCCTGGAACCGGACTGAATAAAATTCATGAGACTTGCTGGTCACAGCTGGAGATTGGTTCAGTGGTTTGGGTTTTTTTTTCTACCAAAGTGAAAATAGAATTATTGTTATTATTGTTTTCTAGTTTTAAAATGACTAAAAGTACAAAGGAAAAATGGAAAAGTCAATTTAAATCCTACTGCTGAGAGAAATAACATTTTGGTGAGCAACTCTCCAGATCACTCTCAGAATGTGCATATTATACTTCCATGTGCCATTGTTAGAAAACAAGAGTGTACTTTCTCATTGTGGACAACTCTATGTCCATAAATAATGACACCATTAATTATAGTGACAGTATATAATATTCCATTAAACAGCTGTGCTATTATCCATTTATGCATTTCCCAATTATTATTCATTTAGGTTTTTTTATATTGCTTACTATCATTTAAAAATTGCAGTAAACATTCTTTTACATCCAGATTTCCAAATTTGTCTAATTATCTCCCAGGTTATATAGCCATATCTTGAGGATATTGTAGACATGGTTCCAGACCATTGCAATAAAGTAAATATTGCAATAAAGTGAAATACATTTTTTGGTTTCCCAGTGCATATAAAAGTTATGTTGGCCGGGCGCGGTGGCTCACGCCTGTAATCCCAGCACTTTGGGAGGCCGAGGTGGGCGGATCACAAGGTCAGGAGATCGAGACTATCCTGGCTAACAGGGTGAAACCCCGTCTCTACTAAATAAATACAAAAAAATTAGCCGGGTGCAGTGGCGGGCGCCTGTGGTCCCAGCTACTCCGGAGGCTGAGGCGGGAGAATGGCGTGAACCCAGGAGGCGGAGCTTGCAGTGAGCCGAGGTTGTGTCACTGCACCCCAACCTGGGCGACAGAGCGAGACTCCGTCTCAAAAAAAAAAAAAAAAAAAAAGTTATGTTTACACTCTACTCTATTAAAAGTGCAATAGTATTATATTTTTTAAAAACAATATAGATTACCTAAATTTAAAATACTTAATTGCTAAAAAAAAAAATGCTAGGGATCATCGGAGCCTTCAGTGAGTTATAATCTTGCTGGTGAAGGGTCTTGCCTTAGTGTTGAAGGTTGCTGACTGTTCAGGGGGTGGTTGCTGAAGGTTGGAGTGGCTGTAGCAATTTCTTAAAAAATGACAATAGGCCGGGCGCGGTGGCTCACGCCTGTAATCCCAGCACTTTGGGAGGCCGAGGCGGGCGGATCACGAGGTCAGGAGATCGAGACCATCCCGGCTAAAACGGTGAAACCCCGTCTCTACTAAAAATACAAAAAAAATTAGCCGGGCGCGGTGGCGGGCGCCTGTAGTCCCAGCTACTTGGGAGGCTGAGGCAGGAGAATGGCATGAACCCGGGAGGCGGAGCTTGCAGTGAGCCGAGATCCCGCCACTGCACTCCAGCCTGGGCGACAGAGCGAGACTCCGTCTCAAAAAAAAAAAAAAAAAAAAATGACAATAATGAAGTTTGCCTTATGGATTGACTCTTATGAAAGATTGCTCTGTAGCATGTCATGCTGTTTGATAACATTTTATCCACGGTAGAACTTCTTTCAAAATTGGAGTCAATCCTTTCAAACCCTGCCACTGCTTTGTCAACTAAGTTTCTGTGATATTCTAAATCCCTTGTTGTCATTTCAACATTGTTCATAGCATCCTCACCAGTAGATTCCATCTCAAGAGACCACTTTCTTTGCTTATCCAAAAGAAGCAACTCCTCATCATGTTTTGTCATGAGATTGCAGCAATTCAGTCACATATTCGGGCTCCATTTCTAATTCTAATTCTCTTGCTATTTCCGCCACATCTGCAGTAACTTCTTCCAATGAAGTCTTGAACCCCTCAAAGTCATTCATGAAGGTTAGAATCTTATTCCAAGCTCCTATTAAGGATGGTATTTTGACCTCCTCCTATGAATCACGAATCTTCTGAATGGCATCTAGAATGCTGAATCCTTTCTAGAAGATTTTCAACTTACTTTGCCCAGATCCATAAGAGGAATCACTATCTATGGCAGCTATAGCCTTACAAATTGTATTTCTTAAATAATAAGTCTTAAAAGTCAAAATTACTCCTTGATCCATGGGCCGCAGCAGGCATGAAAACAACATTAACCTTGTACATCTTCATCAGAGCTCTTCAGTGACCAGCTACATTGTCAGTGAGTAGTACTATTTTGAAAGAGATCTCTTTTTTTCTGAGCAGTAAGTCTCAATGGTGGGCTTAAAATATTCAGTAAACCATGCTACAAACAGATGTGCTGCCATCCATTCCTTGTTGTTCCATTTCTAGAGCACAGACAGCCATTTTCAACATGCCTTCCTCACTAAGCTTAATCATTTCTAGCTTTAAAGTGAGAGATATGTGACTCTTCCTTTCACTTGAACACTTAGAGGCCATTGTAGGGTTAATTGGCCTAATTTCAATGTTCTTGGCCTAATTTCAATGTTGTCGTGTCTCAGGAAATAGAGAGGCCTGAGAAGAGGAAAAGATGGGGAAGGGCTGGTTGTTGGAAAGTCAGAATACACACATTTATTAAGTTTGCTGTCTTACAGAGGTGTGGTTGATGGTGCCCAAAACAATTACAAGAGTAACATAAAAGATCACTGATCATAGATCACCATAACAGATATAATTATAATGAAAAAGTCTGAAATAGTGCGAGAATGACCAAAACATGACACAGACATGAAGCAAGCACATGCTGTTGGAAAAAGGGTGTTGAAAGACTTGTCAACGCGCTTGCCACAAACGTTCAATTTGTAGAAAAACATAGCATCTGCAAAGTGCAATACAGCAACACACAATAAAGCTAGACATGCCTGTACTCCTGAAGTGATGTTGATGATCGATGGGTCCGAGGCATGTTTCAGTTTTTGTATGTATTGCAAAACTACCTGTCAGGAATGTATCAGTTTGCATGACCATCAGCAGTGTTTGTGAATTATTGGTCCCCCACACTATTGCCTACACTGCAGCTAATTTTTTTTCTCAATCTTTGTGAGTCTCTTGAGTGAAACAATATCTTACTGTCATTTATGTTTGCTTTACTTTGATTACTAGTGAGATGAAGCATCTTTTTGTATGTTTATTGCCCACTTGTATAGTATTTCTCCTATTATGAAACAGAATAGGTCCTGTCCAAAAACTCTAGGAAGGTTATGGTCTGGTTGGTCCATGGAATGTAGGATCTGGACTGTAAATTATTCTTCAGTCAGATCGTGTGATATAAAAGCCTATATCACACAATGTGTGATGGTAAAGAAATTATTAAAAATTATTTGAAAAATATTTTAAGAATAGCTTGTTTTATGATTATATCATGGAGTTTGAGTATCCTTAACAAAGGAAGAAATTCACCATGCTTATTGGAGACATGTAATCCTAGAGAAGGTGGGACTGGGCCATGCCCCTCTGCTGCAGTACCAGCACAGAATGACAGAATTGTTGGAAACCTCTCCTAATTCATACCACCCCACAGAGGAGCAGCTGCCACAGTGGAGCACACCCCACCTGCTTGGAGGTGCCATAGGCCAGCCTCTCTGAGTTTTATGATGCATCTGAAATGGAGTTTTACTGCATCCTCCCACGACCTTACGAAAAACCACGGGGGAGGAAAGAAAAACAGAACCCACCAAGAGGAGCAAGCAGACCTGTCCGAGGGTGGGGAATTGGCTACTCCATAAGGCAGCAGGAGAGTAAACTACAAAAGACATAAAGCACACCTTGCTTTAATCCCTTCCATCCGCCCAGAGCCCCCAGAAAGCTCATAAAGTCTCCCTTTCTGGGTGATTGGATTCCTTTAGCTCAGGGGCAAGTAGGGCATTTTTTTGGTTTTGTTTTGGAAGAGGGCTGGGTAAAGGAGAATGGTAATCACTGGGGTTGGAGGAGGGAGAATGAAAACGGGGGCAATCACTGGGGTTGGGGGAGTCCCTTCTCTTCTTGCTTCGAGGTAGTGAGTGGGAAACGCAAACAGCTGCTGCCTGAAATCACAGCGCGTGGGTACTGGGCAGCCAGACCAGATCAGCAGCCATTAAGCAGGGCCCACAGTTCCTATGGCCGTTACCTCTCTCAGAAGCCAGGCAGAGCTGTGAGTTCTTTCACCTTTTGAGGGCTCCTCTTGGCTACCTCAAAGGAATCATTTGGAATGCTGCTGGCAAAAACGTTGCTGAAAGTTGTGTGTTGTAGGGGGGCAGTGTTTTTTCTCTCTCTAAAAAGAGTGGTGGTGGTTCTTTGCCAGGATTTAGAAGCCAGAACTGTCTGTCCTTTTTGTTTGAAATAGAGACTTTAGAGACTAGTCTTTTCGTTTACTGAAAGAAGGAGAAAGAAAGGAAAAAAAATTTGTCTACTTTGCCTTTGGTCTGGGTACTTTCCACTTGTTTGCTTTTAACCTTTCTCAGTGTTTGCAGGGTGCAGGGAAACGGCCTTGTCAGCCTGGGCTGGGCTCCTTAAGTCTTGAACAACAAACACTTAAAATAATCAAAATGTTATATTTGGCAGTTAAAAGAAGAATCTCCTAAAACTATGTCTAGTCTTATTTGTTTCTGAACTCCTGGTAGAGGCGGGGAGACCATGTTCTCCATTCTGTGGCCTAGCCACTCTTCCGGGCCTTCTCTTGTTCCTCTTCACTCCCTCTTCCCCAGATGTACTCCTAGACTGAGCTGCTTCCCAGCTCAGAGCCCACCACGTGCCTCTGCAGCTTCTGTGCCTTTGCAGATGCCGCTCCCTCTCCTGGAATGCCTTCTCCCCACCCTTCCCTGGCTGAAGTCCTCCTGGCCATAAAAGGCTACCCTAAGTGCACTGAGCTTCCTTGCTAGGCACATCTTATCATCGTTATTTCTGTAATTCTTCCTTTCATTGGCTGACATCCATGACATCAGGGCCCAACCTTAGGTGGCTAGCACAATGCCTGTGGCAGTAGTGGCAGCAGTAGTCTTCGTGTTACCAGCAGCAGCAGTAATGACTCTTACTGGGCATGTGCCATGTACTAGGTCTTTTTCATACTCATCTCTAATCCTCCCAACAACTCTACATCGTATATGATATTGTCTCCTTTTTAGAGATGAGGAAATTGGGACTTAGGTGGGGTGGAAAGATGTGATACCTTTCCTCACTCATCATGAGGGTCACAGCTGACACCCCTTTAACAAAAGACAGGTTGATGATAAAAGCATAACAAATGTATTTCATCAAAGTTTTACATGACAAGGGAGTCTTCAGAAATGTAGACCCAAAGGCCCAGGGAAGATGGTCTGTTTCTATGCTTTGGTCTGAGGAAGAATGGGCAGCTGTGTAGAAATGTGATTGGACAAAAAAGGGTCTGATCTAATGATGACAGACTGAGGGGGTAGACAGAGCAAGGCCTGTCTGTTCAGATTCTTCTTGGCCTCCCTATAGCATTCCTTCCTCCAGGTAGGGGGTAGGACCCCTCTGAAATGAAGGGTTTTAGGGAGAAGGGAGAGAATGACCTTTCTAGGTTTTATGGATTGCTTTGGGAGAGAGGGGTTCTAGATTCTATGACCTGTCTTGAGGAAGAGGAATTCTGGTTTCTGTGATTCCCTTTAGGGGAGATGGGAGACAAGGAGGGCAGGAGAAGGTCAGAGAAAGACTTTGCTTCTGAGGCAGCTCTGAGGCTACCCAATATCCTTTAGTTCAGAGTACTCAGCCTGCCAAAGCACCATAGTTTGGGATACTGTTTTCTGCGCCCTGGCACTTACAAGTTAAGCAACTCACCCAGGGTCATAGAGCTAACAAATGGTTGGACCAAAGTTAGAAGCCAGGTCTTACTCATTTCCACCCTGTTTCAAGGACTCTGATTAGATGCTCAATAAGTACCTACTGAGTGAATGAGCGGCCTTGAAATTGTTTTCTGAGGCTGGGGAACTCTTGCCAGGAATTTCAAGAGCCACTGCTTTTACACTTGGCCACTTAACTTTGCTCCCTAGAGCTTTAGTTTCTCTTCTTCTACACCCAATATCATCATGTCTACTGTTTTCTTCCTGAGTCATATCCTCTCATTATGTTTTAGCTATGGGGGGTAAGGATGGAGAAAGGGGAGAGTCTCCTGGTGCTTGTTTCATGTATCTTATTCCCTTGACCTGGTCCTTGTTCCCTTGAAGTCTTTTGTTTGTCTGTTTGTTTTTGAGACAGGGTCTCACTCTGTCACCCAGGCTGGAGTATGGCGGCACGATCTCAGCTCACTGCAACCTCCATGTCCCAGGTTCGAGAGATTCTTCTGCCTCAGCCTCCCGAGTAGCTGGGATTACAGGCACCTGCCACCACATTCAGCTAATTTTTGTATTTTTAGTAGAGATAGGGTTTTACCATGTTAGCCAGGCTGGTCTCAAACTCCTGACCTCAAGCGATCCTCCCACCTCAGCCTCCCAAAGTGCTAGGATTACAGGCATGAACCACTGCACCTGGCCCCTTGAAGTCTTTATAGTCGCCCCAAAGAAATTAGGCTAAACTTAAGAAGTCACTGCTTCTGTAGATCTAAGGTGGCTGAATATCGGCCACAGCATACAGTTCAAACTAATGCAGTGTATCTATTAAAGGTTATAAGAAGATACCTACAAACTTCCCTCATGGGATTGTTGTGAGAATTAAATACATATAATACATATAAAGGACCTCTAGTGCCTAACACATTGTGAGCTCTCAAAAAAATATAAATGTTAGCTCTTGTCATTATTTTTGTTAATCCTTGACTGGGGTACTAAAATTCCTAAAAGAGAGTAAGCCAAGAAAAATATGTTAATTATTACAGCAACTAATATTTATTACTATGCATCAAGCCATTTTTGTAAGGATTTTTCATATATTAATTCATTATTAACTAATTTTCATAGCAATCTGATGATGTAAGTGTTAGCCCCATTTTACAGATAAGAAGGTGAGGACAGAGAGGCGAAGTTGGGGAGCTTGGGATCAAGTTTCTGGTTCTAGAACCTACGTTCTTTCATAACCATCACTGCTCTGAAAAAGAGTAAGCACCAGACCTGAAAGAAACATAACAGAGGCCGGGCGCAGTGGCTCACACCTGTAATCCCAACACTTTGGGAGGCCAAGGTGGGCGGATCACGAGATCAGGAGATCGAGACCATCCTGGCTAACAGGGTGAAACCCCGTCTCTACTAAAAATACAAAAAATTAGCCGGGCATGGTGGTGGGCGCCTGTAGTCCCAGCTACTCAGGAGGCTGAGGCAAGAGAATTGCTTGAACCCAGGAGGCAGAGGTTGCAGTGAGCTGAGATTGTGCCGCTGCACTCCAGCCTGGGTGACAGAGTGAGATTCCGTCTCAAAAAAAAAATTAAAAAAAAAAAGAAACGAACAGAAATGTTGTTAGCTCCTTCTCACTTTTATCTCTAGTTTGAATGAGTGTGTTTGTGAAAGGCAAATGCCTCTGGGGTTCTTGCACAGTCCTGGGCACCACTGGGAGGAGAGAGGGCAACCTAGAGACATTTGTGTTCCTGGTAAACAACTGAAAATAGGCGGAGCCTTTGTGCACTGAACCCAGCTACTTTCAAATCGCAGTACTTCCCAATTGCAAACTTGGTGCAAAAAAACCTACATTGCCACAGTTGAGACTTTCATGAGGAAAGATTTTGGGTACAAGATAGTTTTTCATACCGCTTTGCTTACCCCTGAGACTGCAAAGTACCATGTCTCCTTGTTTTATAGAAGCCAAAACAAATTCTATCGATAAACAGAATTTTTGAAACTCTGGTATTTTCAGAAATTTGTACTGTGCATAAAGTAATGGTTTGGTGAATTAACATAGGTGATTAAACAATAAAGTGATGCATACCCATTTCCATAGAAAATATATGCATATATAAAAGGAATTTTACAGATAAACTGTATGATATATCTGTTAATATATCATGTTTTATTTTCAGTGTTTTTGTGTATTCTCAGTGTCCGCCAGTATGGAGACAGGCTCATCTCCAGGTGTGCAGGCTCTGAGTGAAGGGGGCCTCCTCATTGGAGTGTGCAGGGGCCTCCTCATTGGAGTGTGCAGGGCTCTCCTGCGGCGGCGCCCACTCTGTGTCCTTCTTCCCTGTTTTTGTTTGCCACCTTGTGGTTAACATAGCTCTGTGGCTCAAGGAGGAGGGTTGGGCCGGTATCATCTCTGAAGGTAAAATGCATACATGCGATGCTGTAACACAGTCTTTCTCCCGGCGGGGAGTGGGAGTGTGTGTGCACACGCGTGTGTGGGTGCAGTGAAGGTGGAGTTGCCCACTTAGTGAGACTCAGAGTCTACCCTCAACCACTGTGCTTCTGTGTGCTCCCGTGTAGGCTGGAAGTCGTATCAGCCGCTCCATTGCACAGAGATTGCAGAGAAGGGGCCACATCGGTCAGTGTTAGCGTCCACAGGAGGAAGTTGTGTGGTGGGAAGGCCGCTTCTGGCTGGACTGCAGGCTTGTTTGCCCACACGCGCCCCAGTGAGAGCGAGGCCTCCACGGGCTTCCTTCTCCAGTGCGGGGAGTGTGTGGCGAAGGAAGTATCTGCTGCTGAGCTCAGCTTTGCTTCGCCATGTTCCTTCCCGATCCGCTCATCCTAACCCTCTCTCCTTCCGCCTCCATCCTCCCTGCTCTCCGATTGCCCCAGTGTGTGTGTCCCCTTCCCCAGCCACCCCTCTGATCCCTGACTACCCTCTTCTCCCTCCCTCCCTCTGCGCCCACTCCTCATCGCGGGCCTCAGGGGAGCCCTGTCTCCACTCAAGACACCCGTGAAACAGAGGGAGACACTAGCAGTCAGCGGGCACTTTGTGGGGAGGGCCAATTTAGAGGACAGATTGACCAGGGCGAGCAGCAGGATATCTAGAAAGACGCTTTGCTTCTAAGGAGCGGGAGCCTAATCCCGTTACAGGCTGGAGGGAGACTCCTGGGGCCGGCAAGCCTCCTTCCCGCTGTGCCTGGAGGGATATCATTGGAGGACCGCCGGGCGCGGTGGAGGGCTCCACTCGCCAGCAGCCCCCTCCCCCAGCCCCTTCCACTCTCTTTTCTTTTGCAGTGACACATACTGCAGTGCCTCTGAGGTCATTTGTTTCCCACAGCCTCACAGGGCGCTGTGGCAACAAGGGGGACAATGATCTCTCACAGGAATGATGGGAGGCCTTGTTTTGCCTTAAATAAGCCCCTTCAAGGGAGCAGTAAGGTCTGTTGTGTGTGTGGTTTGTTTTTTCAGAAAATCCTCTTGCACGTAGTTCCAGTGTGAAGTACTCTGGCAACTTCAATTGAAGACATAAAGAATCTTATGTGTGTGTGTGAGGGTTTAATTTTATTTTTATTGCTGCTTTGAGACCAGGATTGTGTTTTCCCTTCTGCCAGTTACCCTTTTCCCGCTCAAGCTCCCTGGACCTCCGCATTCTTTCAATAGTTTTAGGGCAGGAATTGGCAGGTGTTAGGGGCAGAGAGACGCCCATGTCTGGGTGCTGGCTTCTGACTGCCCTTAGCTTTGGTGAGGGAGTGAAGGTTAGCGTGGCAGGAATGTAGTGCTCCTACACATTTCTCATCCTATCCTGGGTCTGAGGAAAGCACAGGGCACTGGGTGGCTAGGGCTGGGATTCACAACAAAGTGACAGTGGAGGCTGAGGGAGACGTACTTTATGGGCCACCTCGGAATAGATCATCAGCTTTAACGCCAGAGCTTCAGAGGCATGTGCAGAAAGAAAAAGGCCTGTAAGTAGAATAAAGAGGAGGCAGGTTCTGTGTCTGATTCGGCTGTCCGGTGAGGAAAGATGTGAAGTGATCTCTACCCACACCCTGGTAACACCACTGGAAGACAAAGAACTGTCCTGTTTGTCTTACTGCTCTGTCCTATGTTTTAAAGTCTTCAAGCTGCTGAAGGCAGTCCCACCTCAGAGCTTACATGCGTAAACATTATTATCTGTAAAGGCTTCCTATTTGATGAATCATGGTGTATCATACAATCTAGATATTTCATCTGGAGAAACTGAGATGAGGCAGATTAAAGTCTTTTCCAAAACCACATGAGGAATTAATTTCAAAGCTTGAGATTAAAACCTACATCTTGTAGTTTCAGATTATTAACTTACCAGTGTGATCTACAAGTTCTTTCTCCATGTTCTAAAAAACAAATTTTTTAAGGCAATCAAGACATTTTCATTCTCTCATGTGAGCAGTATGTATCAGAAAAATTCATCTGTATAAACTGTATGGCAGTCTAAATTATATTTTTAACCTGTCTTTTCTTTTTTTACTTTTTATAAATCATATCTTCCACTGTTTACAAATTTTGTTATGTCTTTCACATATCAGACTCAAAAACAGTTGGCTTTATGATTGGGCCACTAGAAGAAATATAATATTTTTTCACTTACCTTTTCATTTCCTGACTTTTTTTTAGTGATAATCTGAATATATTTGTGAAATATTTAGGCAGGAAGGTGAGTTTTCCAGATGTTTCTGTTGATTATTGCAAACACAGAGCAATTCAAAGACTAGTGTCGCTTTTTGATAAATTAAAAATACTTTTTTTGATAACTAGTTATTCTTGACTTTAATAAACATTCCTAAGATTAATTCTTCCCTTAACAACTTTAGTGTAATTTTAATTTTTCACAAATCCTGAAGTGGGAGTACTGGAATTTTGGAGAAATAAATTAACATGTTGCCTTATTTCTCTGGACCATCTGTTAATGCTTATTCTCAACTAAAGTACTGTTCATCAGCTTCAAGTAACAAACATACCATAGACAAATAGCCTATGTCTGTGACGGTGATAAGACATTGGCCAAATCATCCTCTCTCTGACCATGACAAAAGTGTACCAGTCGTAGCTAAAGCAAGACTGAATCTATTTGGTATTCATTGTAAAGGAAACAACAACAACAAAAATAACTAATAAAGGTCTGAGACAAGATGATGGATGGCAAAAGAACCCCCTATGGTCATAAATAAGCTAACTTTGGAAATGTTTGACTTAAGGAAGTACAGACTATGCTTAGTCTGCCTCGTGTCCCTGGACTAAAGCAGCCTTGAAGGCTCATCTGAACATTTCCCCAGGGGTTTCTTGCCTATTGACAAATCCCACCACATCTTCCAGATGCACAGAAGAAAGTTCCGTTAAATCCAAAATGGTAACCAAAAATGTTGAATAGCAAGAAACTGGCAGGGGTGGCTTTGGGAACTGGTAAATAAATAACAGGCTTGTTGTCCCACACCCTAGTTTAATGCTCTCAAGAGGTTCTTATGTTGCTCGCATTAGTGGGCATGTAAATGAAACCCCTGTTGGCCTTGGCAGATATTGGCCTCTTCCGTGACCTTGTTTGACTGAAACAAAAAGTCATTGGTGGAACAAAAATTCAGAGCTCTGAACTTGGTTGAAAGAAAAGGGCAATTCTCTGAATTGGGTAATTGGATCACCCTCCCAAGTGCCCTAGGGCTTATATCAAACATATAAGAAGGGGATTAATAACTTCAGTGTATAAATGAGCTTCAGGCAGCTTCCAACTGTAACATTTCACTCTCAGGAGCTTTAGGACATAACAGATTTTTTTCAGAGCATTTTGAAGTGCTCTTTATAAAATGCAGGAAGGGACTACAGACTACTGTGGAATCTTTGTAATTGTACATGGTCCAGTCTGACAGGCAGGCAACCCGAAAGCCTCTTCAAAATGGCCACTTAATAAAACTGTTCATGAAATATACCATTTTGGGACTGAAAGATGATGACAGTGATATGTTTTCAAACTGTACTTGATATTCCCTTCCTTAGTCATAATTTTATGATCTAGACTAAATTACATGTATCATTGAGTGTGAGGATTCCAAGACTTGAGACAGACTTACGTATTTATGTGTGAGTTGTAAGGGACCATTGGAAAAGCTGAGAATTTTAAAATTCATTTATATTAATTAATTTGTTCACTCAGTATTTATTCAATGCCTACTATATATCAGACTTGAGGATATAAAAAAGTATAAAGTAGAGCAAGGCTGACAGACATTTGAAAGGCAGGTTCATGAGGATTGAAGGAACATGTGGGAAGGGAGCCATTACTTCTTAGGAGTGGGGAAAATCCAGAGGAGACTAGAGGAGATAACGAGAGATGAGTCGACAGCACAGGAAAATAAAGAAGAGTATTCCAGGCGGAGGATACAACACTTGAAATAGTTACCCAGAAAAGCTGGCCTGGTGATTAATCGGCCCAGATAAAAGAGGTAGGCTAACACTGTTATTCGTCTTTTAAAGGAGAAGGATCAAGAAGCAGTTCTGTTGGGTCCTGAGGAAGTGGGATTATTAGTGATGGACACAAAGTGCTGGTGTCACAGCTGTGGTAGAAAAAGGGAAACAAGAGAAAGCTTCTGAAAAAAATGTTTTGACAACTATTTTTATGGCTGTGGACATCCTGAGACCTCTGACAATCACATAGAAAAGAGAGCCCATAGGGAACATTTTAGAATTGATTCTTATCTTAATAGCTATCTTTTTGGCCTGTCTGGTTGCCAAAAAGAATTAGCAGAATTCTGCTGTTTATGTATTGCTGAATCAGTTTACAGGTGATGTTTTATTACTAGGGAAATATTGCTAAAGCTAGGTAGAGGTGCTTCTAAGAACTAAAGCACCAGAAACCTAATTGGGAAAGGAATTAACTTTAGTCATGTACATATTTTCATTTTTCTCCTTTAATTTTTATATTAACAGAAACCCTGTGAGGCAGGTGTTTTACCTACATTTTCACAAATGAGCACACAGCCTCGAACAAGTTAATTCCTCAGAATCCCACAGCCAGTGCATGCTAAGGCCCAAGTCCCCTTCATCCTCCATTCTCCCACCGGTCATAGCTAAGTCTTCAAGCTAATGTTCACCTGCCAGAGTAAAGGCAGAATATTTGAATTCTCTTGTATTTGTTTTAGTTTAGTTATTGACTATGTTTTTCTTCCTATAAAGTAAATATGTTTCATTCTTTCTGCACAGGTTTTCCTATAATGCCTGGGTGCTTCTAGCTAGAGAGGGCAAATTGATTTCATCTTCCATTCAACTCCAGAAGGTCTATAGTGGCCGCTTGGACTGCTGTAATGGAGTTGCTCAGCAGCCGCTCCCATATGCTCTATGATGGGGCAGTGGTGGTACAAGTGCTGCATCCCTGCTACCGAGGCTGCTGCTTTAGTATCTTTACTTCACTCTTAAAGTGGGGAATGAGAGAAATTGTCTAAAGTCCTAACACAAGACAGCCATACCTACTTCCCAAAGTAGTAAACACTCTGCTGCTGCATGTAGAATGAAATAGAGCAGTGAAATTATAAAGGAGATTTGCAGTCTAATAATTGGGAGGGAAAATGAAGTATAAGGCTAAATGAAGTAGACTACAAACACCTGAAGCATGACTACAAAATCAAGTTGACATTTTGTGGCTCATTTTCAGGGTAGCTGCCGGAATCTGGTTATGGTCGTTGTTTTTATTTTTTAGGGTTTTCCCCCATCTGTGTACAGTGAGATAGCAACCACAAAAAAACTAACAGCCTTCCTGAGTCTCTTGGCTGTAGAGTACCCAGCTCTTTTCCCTGAAGCTTGCCCTGAAGAGGCCTGGTGATACATCCCTCTTGGGAGATGTGACATGGTTCCATATTGACATTACCCACTGGGCTCATTGCTTGAGTCTCAAGGTTGTTTATGTATTTGATGTTTCATTTAAAAATAAAAGTTACTTACGGCAAAAATAGCCTAGTGCCAGTGGGTTTGGCTATTGTAAAATTTAGAAACCCATTTAGGAAACCACCATCAGGATCTTGTTGGTGCTGTATCAGCTTGGGCATATTGCCCTTCAGCACACCGGCTCTTGCACAGATTGCGTCCACTGAGTTGAATTATGGAAACCTTCCGTGAGAAAATGAGAGCACTCAGGAAGTAGTATTGGTGATCCACAAAGCATTGCTGTGTCCTCTAAGGTTCTTTCCTGGTCTCATACCATGGTTTCTTCCTGGGTAAAAAGTGAAACTGGGGTTCTGCCTTTCTCAAGGGAAAACGTGTTTGCTGCTTGGCTTTGGAATTTTGGGGCAACTCAGTCAGTGACATTTCTCTTTCACAAACTCCTCCTGTTCTTTCAAATAGGTGCCATATCTTTCACTTTCCCTATCGATACTTCATATGTTATGCCTGGCTGCTAGGTTTCATTCCAGAGCCTCTTGTGTTTAAGTAATGAATGGACTAATCATAATGACTAGCTCAGTACAGGTTGCTGAGTTGGAGACCATGGCCTAGTCATTTCTCTGATCACACAGAAGTCATTTCTGGACAAAAAGTGCTACATACTATATATCTATATCTGTCTATATATTTTTTTCTTGATCTTTCTTCTATTTTGTGCTGCAAAAACAAACTTCGAGGGGATGATTCTCTCACAGGATATGGAAATGGCCTTGGACAATGTCCAGGGTTAGTGGCACAGCTGCTGTTTCCTGCAAGGGACATCTCAAATCCAGAAGGGAAAAAAGACAAAGTTAAATATATAGCAGGAGGATAATGACTGAACCTATTAACCCATTTATGCCTAGTGTTCCATTAGTGGAACACTAAGCTTGTGGGAGTTATTTATATCCTCATGCTTAAGCTCATCACCAAGGTCTGATTTTTCACATAAAAATTTTGCAACCTCTGGCATAAATGGGTTAACAAGAAGGAAGGGATTTGCCTGTTACAAGATCTGTCTGTAATCACATATAGCCATTGGCAGAAATTACAGTTTACATTTAGAAGACATGTTTAAAACTCTTTACCAAAGGGCAACTGATCCAATAATAATGATAGCAACAACAATAACATCTATTTATGGCACCTAATAATTTTAAAGTTCCTTTGTGTACGTAGTTTTATATTCACAACAACCTAGTAAGGCCTGTAAGTTGACTGGAGAGGGCTAGGGTATGTAAAACTAGGTAAAGAACTTGGATTTTATCCTAAGCATAATGCAAAGTTTTCAGCCAGGGATGGACATGACTTGACTGACAGTTTAGGAAGATTACTTGGCCTGCTCTGTAGGAGTATAGACTGTAAGGGGGCCACATGAAAGCCAGGAGACAAGTCAGCAAACATAACACTAATCCAGGAGAGAGATTATGGTGGCTCAGACTGGGGGGTGTGGTATAGGGGATGGCAAGTGGTCAGATTCAAGATAAATATGAAGACATTCCTTACAAAATCTGCAAACAGATTGAATGTGAAGTGTATTTTAAAAAATGAAGAATTGGCCGGGCGCAGTGGCTCATGCCTGTAATCCCAGCACTTTGGGAGGCTGAGGCGAGCAGATCACGAGGTCAGGAGTTCGACCCAATATGGTGAAACCCCATCTCTACTAAAAATACAAAAAAAAATTAGCCGGACGTGGTGGCACACACCTGTAGTCCCAGCTGCTCAGGAAGTGGAGGCTGGAGAATCACTTGAACCTGGGAGGTGGAGGCTGCAGTGAGCCAAGACTGTGCTGCTGCACTCCAGCCTGGGCAACAGAGCAAGACTCTGTCTCAAAAAAAAAAAAAAAAAAAGAAAAAAAGAAAAGAAAATTAAAAAAAAAGAATTATCTGTGTATTTTTTATCTTAAACAACTGAGAATGGTGTCATTTTTTCCATTCCTAGAGTTATTTAGGCCAAAAAAATCTAGAATGTTGAAGAGAACAGATTGGGGTGGGAGGTGCAGGTTAGGGGATTAAGAGTTCTGTCCTAGAGGGCCGGGTGTGGTGGCTTACGCCTGTAATCCCAGCACTTTGGGAGGCTGAGGTAGGCAGATCACAAGGTCAAGAGATGGAGACCATCCTGGCCAACGTGGTGAAACCCCGTCTCTACTAAAAATACCAAAAATTAGCTGGGCGTGGTGGTGCATGCCTGTAGTCCTAGCTACTTGGGAGGCTGAGGCAGAAGAATTGCTTGAACGCGGGAGGCGGAGGTTGCAGTGAGCTGAGATCACGCCACTGCATTTCAGCCTGGCGACACAATGAGACTCCATCTGAAGAAAAAAAAAAGGGGTTCTGTCCTAGAATAGTTGCATTTGAGATATGTAAGTGACCGGGCGTGGTGGCTTCCAGCACTTTGGGAGGCTGAGGCAGCAGGATTGCTTAAGCCTAGGAATTCAAGACCAGTTACCTGGGCAACAAACACAGTGAGACCCTGTCTCTACAAAAAAAATAAACAAAATTAACCAGGCCTGGTGGTGTGCACCTGTAGTCCCAGCTACTTGGGGGGCTGAGGTGGGAGAATGGCTTGGGCCTGGAAGGCCAAGGCTACAGTGAGCCCTGATTGTGCCACTGCACTCCAACCTAGGCCATAGTGTGAGACCCTGTCTCAAAAAATAAATAAATAAGAAGAGAAAGATATGCAAGTGGACAATGACAAAGCAGCTGAATAAATGAGTCTGAGTCTAGAGCTCAGGAGAATGGGCTGAGCTGTAGTGAGAATATGGCAGAGATTGATCCTGGGGATACATCAACATTTAGAATAGAAGAGAAACCTGCAAAGGAGACTGGCAGGGAGGAGAGGATCAGGTGGGAAGAAATCCATGAGAGTGTGCTTTTTCTGGAAGCCAAGTGAAGCTAATATTTCAAGAAGCAAGGAGTTAGGTCCAGTGCTGCTAAGAGGTCCAATAAGATGAGGACTGAGAATTGACCCTTGGATTTGGCAGATACAATCAATGGTGACCTTGACAAGAGTGATTTCAGTAGAGTGTAGGGGACATAAGCCTGCCTGGGGTAGGTTAAAGAGAAAAACAAAGAGCATGTTCAATTCTTTAAGGTTTTTCACTACAAATGGAAACAGTGAAATGGAGTGGTAGCTGGGGAAGTCAAAGGAGGTTTTTTTTTTAAGGTGGGTGTTTTTTATTTCGCATTTTGATATTGATGTACATAATGCAGCAAAAAGAGAACATGTAGTAATGCTGGAGAGGAAAGGATAGGTAACCATTGGTAAAAGACCTCAAAGGTATTAGAAGGGATTGAGATGCTCGTCCAAGTGTATGGGCTGGCCTTAGGCTGAAGCAAGACTGCTTCAAGAGATACAAAAGCAAATTCATTACCCTAAGAATGGAGTACATCACAGCAGGATTCCTGGAGAGAAACAGAAAAGAGGGTCATTAAAAACTTATGTCACCACTTTAAAGAGGGAAGAAAGTTCTGTTTGGCTCTTTTGGGGACTCCAGAAGAAAAGTAAAGGTATACTCATAAGCCCAACTTTTTAACTTTCTAGTTACCAGAACACCAAACAAGGATCTTAGAATATCAGATTTTCAATTAACCCTAGAAAACTAACAGCATTTGAGTAGAATTCAAATATATGTGAGAGAACATAATACATAAATACCATCTGGGAAGTTCTCTAATCAACATTCTCCTTCCCTAGCACTCACTGTTGGATCTGTAGTACATGCATATGTGAGTGAAGAGCTCTTTCACAAATATGAAAGAAGCATAGTATGGATGTAGGGTGATGATTTACTTAGTGTGGTAAGTGTCTCCAAGCAACACAGTAAGGGACAGAAAAAGCTGGGCCAGCCTGCCTCTGGGAGAGACATGCCAAGCTTTTCTATCTCTGTGAATCTCACAAGTAAATGAAAATAAGTGCAAGTAGTACTATAGTAATTAAATCAAACTATCTTCTTTGAGAGTGGCTTTGTATGTGTGTCCCCATTATTTGCTAATTTACTATTTCCCACTGCTTACTGATTACCCTGAGTATGTTGCATTTATTGTCCTATTTAATCCTCTAAACTCTATCATTGCCATTTTACAGATGAAAACATAGAGGCCAGAGAGGTTTAAATGGCTTGTTCAAGGCCACATATCTAGGAAGTGGGAGAGTCAAGATTCTAAGTTTAATGCCCATCAATGATAGACTGGATAAAGAAAATGTGGCACATATACACTATGGAGTACTATGCAGCCCTAAAAAAGTGAGTTTATGTCCTTTTCAGGGACATGGATGAAGCTGGAAACCATCATTCTCAGCAAACTAACGCAGGAACAGAAAACCAAACACTGCATGTTCTCAGTCATAAGTGGGATTTAATGATGAGAACACATGGACACAGGGAGGGGAACTTCATACACCGGGGCCTGTTGGTGGGTGGGGGGCAAGGGCAAGGGGAGCATTAGGACAAATACCTAATTCATGCAGGGCTTAAAACCTAGATGATGGGTTGATGGGTGCAGCAAACCACCATGGCACAAGTATACCTATGTAAGAAACCTGCACATTCTACACGTGTATCCCATAACTTAAAGTATAATAAATAAGAATTTTTAAAAAAGATTTTAAGTTCAGTCTTTGTTTCCAAAGCCAGAGATCTTTCCACTATACCACACTGCCTCTTATGTAGTCAGTGATAATAATAGCTTGGTCATTTGCATTTGTGAAGCACCTTTTATTTGAAGAGCTGAAACTCTGTAAGCCTTATCTTTGTAATCTGGAGAGAGGAAGAAAAGAACCGACATTTATTGGGCACCTTATATTTGTGTGTGATGTAATTTTAAGCACTTTCATACCAGACATGTTAATTATCTTCATTTTAAAGATGAGGAAATGAAACTCAACAAAGAAATTAAGTAAATTGCCCAATATCACACAACTCCCATATAGTCAATCCTGGCACTTTCCCTCAGCAGATTCTAAGCACCGTTGGAGCAGAGAGCAAGTCTGTTTTTAATCATTCTGATTTTCCTAGTGCCTAGGACAGGGTCTCACTCTGGCACATAATAGGTGCTCAGAAAAAAAATGATTGAATGAATAATGAGCAAATGTGCTGTAAGCTGAACTGGAATGCATTGAGTCTTGTGTTGTACTTCCTGGTATCTTCCAGTGGATGTCAACATGATATAATGAGAAGATTCTGAGAAGGAATCAGTGAAGGCATGCATGTTCCTGACTGTGAAACTTTTGCTCTTCTCAGAGCTATACAACCTAGGTGATAGACTTCCTTTTCTTTCATTGGGAAAACTGAGGCAAAGTTTCCTTGGCAAAGATTTTGCAAGTCAGTGGACAATTTGTGGCACAACTGAAATCTTGAGATTCTCACCTTTATAGCCCTAACCACTTAACAACCCTGTGGTCCTGGTGGGGTTATAGCTTTCCATAAATCTGGTACTTAATCATTTAAAGAGATGGCAATTTATCTTAAATACACGCCTCATTATAGATGTGTCACACTTAGCACAGATGGTCTCAGAAGTTTTTCCTGGCTTCCCATACCCTAACAGTATCTAGTATGTTAATGTCAATATTAGCTTTACTGTTTTAGGTAACTTTGGTATGCTTCTCATTAGCTGAAACCGTAAAGAGCTCAGTTTTACCTGCGCTGAGGGATCACTAAATTCCTATTGGCATCTGAATGCACAGTCCCATGTCGAAAGTGAGGTCATGTTTCTCCTGGATTATGCCCGTATCTGATGAGCCTCGGCTGGCGTGAATCCGAGACAATGAAATAATCACACCCATTAGCTCACCAGGGCCCTATTAAGATGTGGCCTGGCTTTCCATCCATTTCTCCTGCTTGGAAAAACTGACACAGTCATGGTTTGTAAAGGTTAGTGCAGATGGAACTGCTTCAACAACCAAAACTTAGCGTTACCCTATTTAAACTTGGGAAGGGTCTGCTGCTTAATCTTAAGAAATAGCACTTCAGGAGCCAGGGTGTGAGGATGTCCTTTAATCTCTTTGTATGTGATGGTAAAGCTGAATTTTCCTAACACCCTCCTTCCCCGCTCTCAGCTTCAGTGGCTGGGGTGGGTGAGGTGGGGGAGCTCTGGAGTTGTGGTTTCCATACTTTCTACTTTTTATTCTATTTTTCTTTAGAGATCCCAGGTTTTGAAGGCTTGAGTCTAGTAAACAAACTGTAATGGTTAAATCACGATTTTATTTTCTCGTTGACACCTAGTGTGTGTTATATGCAGCGTCCTCTGCCTCATGTCATTCTCCAATATGCTTTCTCAGGGCTACTTTCCCAGACCCTATGCCTTCTTATGGGTTGTAGCTAACAGTTACACTTCCAGAGTATGCCGTCCCTCACCCACAGAGCTCTTCTCACAACTGTAACTAACTGATTATTTGTGTAACTGTTTGCATGTTTAGGCTGTAAGGATGCAGACCATGTCTGTCTTGCTCACAGCTGTTTCTCTAGTGCCTAAGTCTTTGCTTGATACATAGTGGGCACTTGGTAAACATTTGTTGAATGCATTAATGAATCAGCTTATTTAATTCTAGTGAAAAATATAAAGAAATATCCCCCTTATATTGGCTTGGGGAGCCTTATTCTGGATATATTTGATAGGATTTTTGAAATGTTGTCAACAACTTGAATGAAAATCACCAAGTTTAAAATGAAGGTTCACTCTGGGCAGGAGAGAAGATGATGCTATTGGAGAAGGATTACACAAGAGGCTTCTGGAATATTGATAATATTCTATTTATTAAGCTGGAGGACTCCTAGGGACCCAGGGGCCTCAGACTTACTCCTGAACTGGAGGGACATGCCAAATAAGCCACCTGCTATTTATTTCACGCACACCCAAGGCAAAGCTGTTGGGGCCACTTAAGGATTTTGTAAAATGTGAGGGTGTTATTAAAGTAGGCTTATTATTTTACAGCTCTTATGATTGTTCACCTAACTACCTTGAACAATACTGCAAGTATTTTTCTCTGCTCACATATTTGGAGACATGCAGAGCCACTTCAAACAAACCATCCTGACTTCCCATTTGTATCTACGACCTCATGAACCCATCTCAACCCCCCAAACCACACACTGAAACTAAGCCAAATTAAAAACAAAAAACAACCCACCACCCAGCAGTATTTAGTTGAGCACCTACTGTTTGCTTTGTATTATAAGCTGTAATTACAACAGCTTGAGTCTTGTCCTCAGCTTCCTGAAATCTCCCAGTGGATGGCATCATGGAAGAATGAGAAAGTTATCCAAGAATGAATGGTCTGATGTCAAGGAAGCTTTTCAGCCTTTCCTAATGGTCTGATGCCCTCTGTGTGGGTTACAATCTTTGGAAGTATAAGATTTCTTGTAAAAGTCACAGCACCTGCCAACATAGTTGGGCAGGGACCCAAGTGGGGTGACTTGTACCGCATTCCTCCCTGGTATTCAGAGACCACATAGTACCAGAAGCTTGCTAGGCCCAGCTCCTGGGGACTGTCAGAGGAACAGGCCCAGGCAGTCTTCTCCTCAGATTGCAATCAAAAGTTGCTTGATAAATCAGTAAGATTGAAAATATTCTTGGCAGTTTACATAGGCAATGGTAAGAACATGTTTTTTTGTAGTTACAATGAGTACATTATACAAGGGCCGGAAGTGACCAAAATCATTGATTGGCTAATTAGACATAACTGAAGGGTCATAATGCTTCAGTCGTTATGTGGGAATATTCATAAAGCACTTGAGTTCAGCTCCAATAAAGAGGAGAAATGTACCCAGGGAAATTGCAGAGTAAAAGTCTGGGAATGTAGATAGTATAGGATGTTACAGGTCTGAAATGGAAGGGTTTACTATATTATTGAGTTTTGCAAACAGATTCTTGGAAAACAGATTCCTCAAGTCTTTCCCAGCTTTCAGATGGGATATGAAACTAGAGGCTTTAGCCTTTACTTGTGGTTGTCTAAAAATCCACCCTATTTTTCTTAGGAAGGGAAGCAGTTGCCTTAACACCCTGGCCAGATTCCCAACATGTACAGGGTGGCCCATTTAAAACAGGCCTGTGGATGCTTCAGAGTGAGCGAAGGGGTTTGTTGTAAAGCACCATGTGTATGTGGGTGTTTAATGAATATGAGCTGATTAAATTGGCCACCCTGAATTATAACCTCATACCTTCTCTAGTTCCTCTCCAGTTTTTAGCTCAGGACCATATTCTTCCTACTTTCTGCTCAAACTTGTTAGGGAGAAACGTTCCCACTATTAAAACTGCCAGTGTTTTCCACCCAGTGTTTCTTTGTTTCAACGATGAGCAGAAGAATCCAGCCTTGGAAATACCTTTCTTTCAAATTGCTTGTCCAGCTGCAATGACGTCTGCATCAGCCACACCCACATCACTTCCCCTTCGAACCTTCTCGCCTCCATCTGCTTCCCTGTCTCTGGTGTAGGACAATACCAGTATCTGTCTGGAGCAGATAGTGAACTCTGCCACAAACAGAGGAGGGCTTGTGTGAAGAAGGAAAAAGCTCTGCTTTCGAAATCAAGCAGCCTGGGCTTGTGCCCCGTTTTTGCTAATAGCCATCTGTGTGGCTTAGGGAGTCACTGTCTTCACAGGCCCGAGTTCCTTCATCTGTAAAGGGAAGGAGCGAGACAAAATCAGCACTTCTCAAATTGGGAGCTGTAGATTCTTGAGGTCTGCAAGTTTAATGAGATTTTAAACTTTTTATGAAGTTTTTTTTTAAATCATAAAGACAATACTTTGCAATTAAAAGTCATTTAAAAAAATAAGTCTTAAGTTTGTTAAGCTGGTCATTCTGAAACTTAATCTTAGGTCTCCTAGAGATTTTTTAACAGTTTTGCAAGTCTCAATTTTTCCCCTTTAAAAGGACTCCACATATCACTCCAGTTTGAGAAACACTGAACTCTTTTCATCTACTCAGAAACTGAATCTAGCGGTAGGATAAAACATTAGCTTTAACTTTCTTATCCTTACCCTACTCAACCTAATTACTTTTGGCCCACTTCAATATGTTTAAGTCTTTTAGCACATGGGCTCCTTTTGTTTTCATAACTGAAGTATTTCCTGTTTTCAATCACTATATGTTAAATTATAAAAAGCATGTTTCTCCCAATAGCTCTTTCCCTTTCCCTTTAAGACTCAGATCATTTAATTTATTAGTGCCCAACCTGGTTAATTGAGACCACCTTCCTCTATTAATGTTTCTTTGTTGGTTGAAGTGAAGAGATATATGGTCTGTTCCCTAAGTACCCATGAAGGATTGGTTCAAGGACTCAGCCCCATACTAAAATCTTCAGATGCCCAAGTCCCTTATATAAAATCACATAATGTTTGCATATAACCTATGCACATCCTCCCATATACTTTAATCTCTAGATTACTTATAATACCTCATACAATGTAAATGCTATTTAAATAGTTATCATGCTGTATTTTAAATTTGTATTATTTTTATTGTTATATTGTTATTTTTCATTGCTTTTTTTTTTTCAAATATTTTCAATCCACATTGGTTGAATCTACAGATGGGGAAACCCTAGATATGGAGGGCTGACTATACTGCTTTTATCTGTGATCTCAAGATTGAATACTCACAGTAGTTTATGTATGCATTCTGCTTTCATAATTTGCAGAATGCTCTCATATACATTATCTCTTGATTTTCACTGCAGTCTTGTCTAATAAATGATGTAGGTAGCATGATCCCCATTTTACAGATGAGACACTCAGGCCCAGAAATTTTGCTTCATATCTTCTGATTCAGTCTACTTGTTCTCCCAACAATGCTTCTTCATCCAATTACAGCAACAAATACATACTAGGTACCTGTTATTTGCCATATGTGCTGCTTTATTGTTACTTGTTCCGGGAAATAACAAGTGGAGCTTCTCATTCAAGGATAAACTGATATTGCCAGGCCTTGCTCAGTCTGACATAAGTCTCATGCCATTATTTACTAAAATAGCTAGCTACTCTCACCCAGTCCGGTTCCTGGTACATAAAGGAACTCAATAAATATTTATTGGATGATTGAGTGAATGAATAAATCTAAAATAAATTATATCATTAATTAAAATTTATATATTGGAGATAATTTTTGCTAATAGATTTTTGCCAACATTTTTTCAGATTCCAAGTCAATAGGATTTACTCAGAGACTGCCAAGTGCTTTAAGGGGAAAACAGAGGGACTGCTGGGAGAAGGGGGTGCACTGGTAGACAAGTAGAGGAAATCCCCTTTCTGGCTTCATCCATCTTCCTGTCTATGATCGGTGTCCTAGGCCTTAGAGTGGACATGGAGAATGGTATCACTTTGTCTGCCTGCAGTTAACCAAAATACTTACTCCCACCATAGGGAGAAGAGAGGAATGACAGAGGTATGTGAAGATTAAGTAGAAAGACCGACAAATGTAATCACATTGGAAGGTAGAATGGAGGGTAGAAAAGTTGGTGGGAAGACAATTTCTGTGGTCAGGATACATCTGAATGGAAAGGGGAGAGAGATTTTGTCCATTCCTCCCATAGTATGGTTTGGCTACTTTCCCTCTACTTCCCAAGAGAATTATTAGTGACCAGGGACATCACATTTTAATCAAGGCAACTGTTGCTGGGCTGGTAAGCAAGGCTCCCATGGGTGTGGTGAAGTTAGCAGGGTGAAGAGTGAGGCTGCTAGTCACAAAGGGATCCACTCACCCTCTTCCGCTGTTGGCGGCTGCTGTGGTATCTATAAACATAGAGTGTGTACTCACATACTCATAAATGCTAGTTATTGTCATACGATTGCATTGTGTATAAAAGTAGATTGCCTGGAAAAAATGATTCCACTTCATTTTTATATACACATTGTTCCTGGAACCACTTCCTGAAATCCCAGGCTTTTATTTTGCTGTCATTCTCTTAAATTGCCTCTTTCTCAAAGCATCCGGGTTCTGGAGATGTTCTCGTGCTTAAAGTGTGTTTCTAAGTAGCTTCTGGGAACCACGTAAAATTGTCTGGCTCCACTTGACCAATGAGGAGCTTACTTTTCCTCCCAATTATTCCTCTCTGACAGAGGCCGTTGGTCATCTTGAAAAGCTAAGAATGTTAGATGGGACCAAAGTAAAATTGCAAAGCCTATTCACCCAGCCAAACTGAAACACACCTGATTAACTGACCACACACATGGTCTCAGAATGACATCTCACTTGGGGAGTAAAAGCCAACAGTTGTGGTTAGTGCCCCAGCAGGCCCCAGATGGTTAGAGTTAATATACACCTATGTTTTCTGCCAGGTAGTTTTCATCAGTTTCCTCAGGATGTCAGTGTGTGTGTATAATTAAGAGTATTTAATCATATTATAATTCCCCACAGAGAGATGGAGTGGGGGATGAAGGATCGCTGGCTTTTACAGTCTCAGCAAGAGTCATCAGTGGAAAAAAATAAAAACAGAAAAATGCCAAGTCTCTGGGCTGTGCCTGTGCCATAACTCACTCAGAAGTCTGGCTGGCACCACTACCTCAGTGTCATTTCAGTGAAGATGTAATCCCAAATCTTTTGTTGCAATCTTAGGGTTCTCACTATTTTAACATTAGCTTAGAACATGTGGATTGCAAAGGAAAACTGTGTTCTAATTCCCTGTTCATCAAGGCTGTGATTTGTGTACACCCACATAAGGCAACCTTCAGTTTATAAGACTGATGACTTCAGTCTTGTAAAAATAAATGAGATGGGCACTTCAAATATTTTAAGTTAGATCAATCAGTAGGGTGAGCACAGTTTAATTGGCATCTATTGATACATTTCTAAATTAAAAGAGCAGAATATAGAGCCATGAATCTTAGCCATGAAATCATGTTCACATTTATTACAAATCCATAATTCTTTCCTATTTCCCCATATATCCTGTTTTCTTTGTCCTGTCAATTGTCAAATTTAGCTGCTGGAAATGATCTCTTATTTTGGATTAGGAAACCAAGTCCTAATGACCGTAAGTGACTTTTCAGAGTCACACAGCTAGTTAGCTAGTTAGAATCTGACTCACCAGAATTCCAGTCTTTCTACTTTGCCAGATAGTCTTTACTGGGAAATACTTTTTTACCTATTTCTTAGAAGAATTTACTTATGTGAGCTTCACTTAAAGCAATATTGGTCTATTTCCTAGTTCCCTTAAACTGATCATGGTGCATTTCTGTTAAAAAAGCCATAGAGTTGGCCGGGCACGGTGGCTCACACCTGTAATCCCAGCACTTTGGGAGGCCGAGGCAGGCAGATCACAAGGTCAGGAGATCGAGACCATCCTGGCCAACATGGTGAAACCCCGTCTCTACTAAAAATACAAAAAAATTAACCAGGCATGGTGGCGGGCGCCTTTAGTCCCAGCTACTCGGGAGGCTGAGGCAGGAGAATGGCGTGAACCCAGGAGGCAGAGCTTGCAGTGAGCCGAGTTTGCGCCACTGCACTCCAGCCTGCTCAGGCGACAGAGCAAGACTCCGTCTCAAAATAAATAAATAAATAAAAAGCCATAGAGTTTCTTTATAATTAGGTTCTAACACTACTTCTTCCTATTAGTCAATAACAGTGCCACAATAAGTGGATTGGGTTAAAATGAAAATCACCAATTGAGTCTCTACCCAAAACCCCTTCCAGTTGCTCTTATTTAGGAGGAAACAGCTTCTGCTCAGTTTCTGTCCACTCACAAGACCTCTCCTGCATGGAACCCTGTCCACAGTTTCTATCACTCCACCTGTGCTTACTTCAGATTATCTCTGAAACAATCAGATGTAATGGCCAGTGGATGCAAAATACATATAAAGTAAGATTTGGGATTAGGAGGCTCAAGGGGGATGGATATGTAGAGAAAAGACCTAGGAAGAACAAGAACAGGGACTGGCAGAAAACACATTCTGAGACAAAGGCCATTTATTTAGCTCTGGCCAGTTGGTTTATCTAGCCTGACATTTCTCAACCTGGGCGCTATTGGCGTTTTGTGCCAAATTATTCTTGATTGTAGAGAGCTATCCTGTGCATTATGGTATGTTTAGTAGCATTTCTGCCTCTTCCCACTGGGTAGATGCCAATGGCATCCCTTCATTTGTGACAACCAAAAATGTCTCCAGACATTAGCAAATACCCTGGGGAGTGGGAAAGGGAGAGAGAGGAAGAATTGTCTCCGGATGAGAATCACTGATCTCACTCAAGGTTTTATCTTTGACATCAGCGCCATAAGATATTTTGTGAGAGGACAGAGTGGCCTTTCTAATTCTTAAAAGTTAGGGTTCTACTCCAGACATTCCTTATCTACTGCAAATACAAATTATTTATTTGTTCATTCATTCAAATAACAGTTATTACAGATGACACTATGTCAGGCTCTCTGCTAAGTCTAGGTGAAAAGACAGAACCTCCCCACAAAGACTTAGAACTTAATACTCTTAAAAATCCTAGTCATTGGAGTTGATTTGCTCACCAATGCTAACAAAGTTAAGACTTTGAGGTTGTATTCCCTTATCTGGCTTTAACTCAGACCAACCATTTCACTGATTGGACCAGCACAATGTATCCTGGCTACTCTAAAAGTCACTTAAAAAAACATATCCTACTGGTGGTATGTTGATAGTTTCCTGGGATATGAAGGTGGGCATGGTTAAAGCTGAAAGGACTCTTAGCGACAAGTGAAAAAAACCTCTTTGGTAAATCACTAGCATAGTATTACATGGCTTTTTTTTGGCCTGGGTGCAGCCCCCTTTAGACTCAAACCACTGTTCTTCCTGATAACACATGGCCTTATTTATGTTCATTGTATTTATTTAGCTTATTTTGATTCCTCTTTCTACATAAGAAACCACAACTGGAAAAATCAATTAATTTTTAATTTGCTCATAAATTTCTACCCATTAGAAGGAACCAAGGACTCTTGTAATTTGGCACAAATTTCCTTTCAGTATTTTTAATCTCTTTGGATATGTGTGAGTTGAATTCTCTTTAAACAACATGAAAATATATAAGCTATTTATATAACTTTTAAAAGTATCAAAGAGAAGACTCTAACATCCCTCACTGAAGCTTTTCCAGAATTTACCATGTGTACCAGTGTACCAGTTGTTCTCAACCCAGGGTACTTTGCCCCCAGAGGACTTTTGACAATGTCACAGATGTGGAGGGATGCTACTGGTGTCTACCCAGGGACAATGCTAAGCATCCTACAATAAACAGGATGGTCCCTCCAACCAAGACTTATCCAGCCCAAAGTGACAGGGTGCTGAGGTTGAGAAGCCATGTGGTATATAACACAGATGTACACACTGGAGGAAACGTCACTGAAGTAGATGCTGGTCACTTACCAGTTTCACTCCTTCAGGATATCCTCTTCTTTAAACGAGGAGGTTGTGACTAGTTACTTCCCATGAAAAGCAGCTGACCCTTAGGGTTGAAAAGTATGTTTATTCCCAATAGCAGTGAATGAAAAAAAAAAAACACAATGAATTTCTACTTGCAAGAATGCCATCTGTGGTTTTCTCCAAGTGTTGCTCTCAGCCCTCAGTGTTCAGGGTCTTCTTCACCTGTGCATTCTGCTGCCCTGCGTTATCAGAGTTAGAATCAGGGTGGAATACAAATATTTCCCCAGGCATCATTTGGTCCACAGCTGATGCTGCCAGCTAGTAAGCTGTGGAGTCTTACACCTGATCAACACTGGTTATTTTCTCCTTTTGATTACAGCCTGTTTTACTGTACTACTATGTGTCAATCCCAAGGACCTATTCTAGAGAGACAGAGTGAGCAGGTTGCCCCTGAGAGGGTCACTGGGTAGGGAAGCTTGGGAGTGTGGGTGCAAGTGGGAGTACACTTTCCACTCACAGGCTTCTTTGTCAAGATACATGTTCTATTTGTTCTGCTGAGTAATTCAGTAACCACTGAAGTTTCTTCTCAAGTCAGCTTTTCACTTTGTCAAAGCAAAATCCATTTGCATCAATGAAGTTTATTTTAATTTTTTTCTTATGATCTCAGAATGAAATAACAAAGAATGAGGGAAAAAGTAAACATTTTAACAAAGTGCATAAATCAGGGATTTTTTTTAACCTTATTTTCTTCCGGAAAATCTTGTTGTTTACGTGGTTGGAACTTTATTATTACACAGATTATTATAAAAATGAACCAACACTCAAAAGTACAAGGCAGGATTTCCCACAATGGCTATGTCCTGGCTGGCCTTGTTGCTAGCTGGCACAGTAATATGCCACCTGGAAGCAATGACCATTGGAAAAGAAGCCAGGAAAAAACCTTATGAGAGGCACAGGGCAGTAGATAATTTGTGAAGCGGTCGTTTGCCTCCCAGAGTGGCAAGGCTGGCATGTCTGGCCTAAGTGTACACTCACGTCATTTATCACATCCTCTGGTAGCAGCGCCTCTCTCCACTGCCTGTGAAGGAAACTGTTGCACAATCCTGAAGATCTGACTGAAGGAAAGTTGTCTTGGGATCAGAATTAAGGTTCCTTTTTCTTGTTTTCATTTCCGAGTTGCAAGTTATGCCCCTTTTTAGCGTTTCCATACCCAGCTGTCTACATTTTAAGCAATCGTTATATGGAATTATATCTTAAATGTAAAATAACAAGAATTCATTTAAAATAACTGCTTTCCCTCCAGAACCAGAGGTATCTCACCAAAGCTGTCACCTCCCCACCAGTATACTCCAATTGTGGGTGACAGTTGTGTTTAGAAAGTGGTGTTATAGCTCCTTTTATGTAGGATGATTACTCTGTGGCCATGACCTTCTGGGATGAACGGAAAGGGCTGGACAGAGTTACACAGCACGACGACAGAGGAGAAGCTTGTGGAAGTGCATTGCAAACAGAGATGGGCGAGTTAAGTTACTCAATTGCCATCTGCCTCTGTTTTGCTAACTCATTAGTTCGGACACCACATTGTGTTAATCCCCACTTCCCTGGCTCTGAGCTTGGTCCAGGTCTCGGGGGAACAGTGAGACTGCTCAGCTCGACCCTCCTGTCAGCTGGGCCTCAGCTTCTCTGCATCGACAGCATGCCAGGCCTGCCACCCTCGCTGCCACATCACATCAAGGTGAAGTTTTCTCCCCAGCCCCTGGCAACAGAAATTGAAGCCTTTGGACTTCGCTCATTCTTCCAAAAGACTTTTCTAGGCAGTGGGATAGATTTTCGCCTTACACCCCCTAGCACTCTCTTCCCTTCCGGCACTCCTTCAAGGCAACTGCAATTTCAGGCTGACCATCTTGGAAGTTTGATGGCACTGAGTACCACCAGCCAAATGCTCTCACATTTTCTGTGCCTCTCAGAAGAAGAGCCCATATGGCAGCTAAGAACCAATGAGTGAGGCCTAATTTGTCCCCCAAGACTATACGAGAAGGGCAGTCTTACTTCTGGACCTAATCTAGCATTACGAGCATCCAGTGATGACCCTTACGGTACTTTCTGAGAGTAGTTGCTCATAATCATCATTGTCTCTGCTGGTGAGCTGACTGGGATACGCAAATTGTTCCTATCAATTTATTTTGACCTCTCTGGACTTCAGTATTCTATGTGTGAAAGGGTATTTTCTGAGAATGATTAGATAATTTGTGATGTCTTTTTCAGCTTTAAGTATGAAAATGATATGCTAATTTTATATGTTGTCAGACACTACTCTAGGCATTTAACATATGCAATCCCATTTATTGGTACCCAGGAAGTAGACACTATTACATCTCTGATTTGCAGATGAAAAACTCAGGCACTGAGAGATTGTTTGTTCAAAGGCAAAGGTAATAAGTGACAGCCCAGAGATTGGCTCCCGAGTCTGTGCTCTTAGCCACTTGTGGTCACTTAAGATAGTCCCTTAATCACTTCATTGCTCTATTTCCCGTCTTCTTTCCAAAGTCTGTGGGTTCTCAAATGTGATCTCATCAACATTTAGGGCAGTATCCTTTGGAGGTTATTGTTGCCCCCTTTTTTACAAATGGGCACTTTGAGATAAAAGCAGGCCACATACAAGCTATTGGCAGAACCCAGGAGTCCAGCTTTTGTGCTGTGGGTTCCATCTGCTATGTGTCTCTCCCAGTCATAATTAGGATGATCAAAAAATTCAGATATAACCTGCTTACCCCTCTCAACCAGGGCAAATCAGAAACAGCTCCATAGACAATTGGGTTAAGTTTCCAACTCAAATGTTGAATGATCTATGCAGAATATAAAGGCGTTTACAAGCCAATGACTGATACAGATGCAGCAATAACATACCTTTCCCCAGTCCTCTCTTTGCTGTAAGGCACCCACTGAATATCTTACACCTCTCTGGATAGCAGGAGTTACAGCAAATTCTGCATATGCCCTCCCACATTTAGCACATGCAGGGCTCATCCAAGAATTTTAGCAGCAGGGGATGATAGAGTTTGTTCTCTGGTTCTTTCTGACTGTCTCTGCCCTGATAGTGCCTAGTACCTGAGTGGCCCTTCCTCTGTCCTCTAATCCCACTGGATTGCACGTGCCTTTTAGCACTGGAGGTTCTGAAAGCCAAGCAAGAACTCCTCCTAATGGCATTCAGTACCTCTTTCTTCCCAGTCCCAGGAGGGGTTTCCCAGCAAGCAGAGGGAAGGTGATTGTTTCTACCTCTCATTTAGTCCTTCCTTTCCAACTTGATGGTATACCACCTGCAAAGCTATCCCAGAAACAGATGAAGTTTAGGATGCCCGAAGACTGGTTTGTGACATAGAAAAATTGGAATTGAAATGAAACTGCACATTCATTGATATCACCTCTCCTTTGTGAGTCTGGACCTAATAGAGTGGAATGAACAACAATACTGAAATACCAAACTTATTTATGCATTTAAGTCACCAAGTGATTTGGGTTTTTGTATCAGGGATGGTTGTTGCTTTTCCCTCTGCAATGTTAAACTACTGACCCGTTTCCTCTCAAATTCCAGTTCCACGTTTAACTGAAGACACACAGAAATAAATGTGTGTTGGCAGAAAGACAAACCCTGAGATGAAGCAGGAGGTATGTTGGCTGATAGAAAGGCTGTTATTTTAATTTCTTTTACATTGCAGCAGTCTCAGATGGATAGTATCCAGGTAACTTGTAGCGCCTGCATCTTATTAAACTCCTGTTTGATTCAGAATTTACAGCTAAAATGCACCTGGAATACTTAAAGTAGGAACTAGACTTTGGTTCATTTGTTCTCAAAAGGGATGTACAAATCGATTGCACAACCTACAGCAAGTGGCATAAAAACCTTCAGAATAAGATGATGGCACGTTTTTGTTAATAACTATATTTCTTGATTTATAAATTCAACAATGCTAATTTAGTGTTTACTGTTTGACAGACATTGTGCCTCTATAGCAGGATGAACTCACAGGCATGTTTTCTGTACGTCTGTCTCTTTTTATTGCATGTGACAGAAACCATACTCAAAGTAGCTGAAGCAGAAAGTAAAGTTATCACAAGGATACTGGCATATCTATAGAAACTAAGGACTGGGATGCAGCTGACTCAAAGAAGAGATGGAACCAGTGTTAAATAACATTAAGTTAGTTGGTCTCACACTCTTACACACACACTATCTCTTACACACACACTCTACCACTACAACCACTAAATAGCTGCACTGTCGCTACATAGCCACCACCCACATGTAGCTACTGAGCACATGAAAGGTGCCTTAAGTGTAAAATATGCACTGAATTTCAAGGACAGTATGAGGGAAAAAAACATAAAATGTCTTAATTTTCATATTGATTACACGTTGAAATGATAATGTTTTGGATATATTGTGCTAACTAAATATATTTGACATTTATTTTACCAATTTCTATTTTTTTCATGTGCCTACTGGAAAATTTTAACTTACATATGTGACTTGCATTGTGTGTGTGTGTGTGTGTGTGTGTATATATATATATATATTTTTTTTTTTTTTTAATTGAGGCAGCCTCTCTCTGTCACCCAGGCTGGAGTGCAGTGGCACAGTCTCAGCTCACTGCAACCTCTGCCTCCCTGGTTCAAGCGATTCTCCCACCTCAGCCTCCCGAGTAGGTGAGCTTGCAGGCGTGCATCATCATGCCCAGCTAATTTTTGTATTTTTACTACAGACGGGGTTTCTTTTGCTGTGTTGGCCCGGTTGATCTCGAACTCCTGACCTCAAGTGATCTACCCACCTTGGCCTCCCAAAGTGCTGGGATTACAGGCATGAGCCACCACACTCAGCCTGGACAGTGTTGTTCTTCTAGTTGGTTTTCCTAAACATCTACAGCAACATAAATCTTCCCATGCCTTAGTTAGCCTGATTTAGTTGAGAAACACTGAAGGGACAATCAGAGACATATATCACCAATCAAGTATATATCATTCTATTTCATCCTTTTCTCTCTCCTTTACTGTCCCTCATAATTTCTACATGAGCCGAACACACACACTTCTTTTTGAAAGTGAATGTATATATTCACTCACTTCAAAAATACTTACTGAACCCCAATTCTATGCTAGGTCTTACATCAGGCGGTGAGGATACAAAGTCCCTGCCCTCACAGAGCTTCCTTTCTAGCAGCCTCAGCCACTTTTAGCTTGTTTTCATGAATGGAGCCCTGATGTGGGAAGTGCACCTCCCAGCGTGGCTGCATCTGGTCCAGGCTGAATGATTAACCCTTATAGTGAGTCTAAGTTGAATGAAAACTTGGATTTTCAGAGTCGCCATTAATACCATGTTGTCAAGGGAGATGGCAAACGATGTTGTTATTCACAAGTCGGGAGCCTTCAATGATGTAAATTTGTATTTCTCTTCCCATTTTTATGGAGCCATATTTCAGAATTCAGAAATGGAACTATGGAAATATGGCTCTCCCCGTCCCCAAAAAGAGTCCTTCTTCTAGACTTCTTGACAATATGTGTGAGGAAGCCTCTGGATTCAGTTGTTTTGTTTTTTTAAGTAACTTTTTAAATGAAGTATAATATGTAAACAAAAAAGTGTGTACATCGTAGTGTATAGCTCCATGAACTTTCTCACTGAGCACACATGTAACCAGCACCCAGATTAAGAAACATAACATTAATAGCGCCCATGGAAGCTCCTCCTTCCTGTCATGACCCCATCCCACCCCTCCACCCTCATCCCAAAGGTAACTAACTACTATCTGGACTTCTACAACCATGGATTAGTTTTGCCTGTTTTTGAACTTTATATAAATGGAGTCATATAGCAGGTTCTCTTTGGTACTATTTTCTTTTACTCAATGTTATGTTTATGAAGTTTATTCATGCTGTTTTATTAACCCATAGAAAATATAGATAGCTCCCAAGAAGAAACATAAAAATTATAATCCTACTACATTAATATGTCAGTGTTTGTCCTTCTAGCCACTTTTCTATGTATATACTTATGTTAACTTTTTTTCCAAAATTAGACCATAGTGTGCATACTACTTTGTGATTTGCTTTGTTGTTTGATATATCAGATCTACCAATGTGTTCTAAATGTTGGTCGTTGTAATGAGGCTATATTCTGAATTGACTAATAGGTAATACAGAAAAGTAGAAAATTATTTTTTAAGTACCCATAAGTATTTATATTAATCATTTTGTCCGATGTAGATTTGATCCGTCTCAGTCAGGCTTCCAAAAGACTTCCAAATAAAGGTAGCGAACAAATGGATCACTGATTGCTAGGGAAATCTGGTAATCAAGACCAAGTTGGGCCTCTTGTTTCTCAATGAATCTTCTAAATCACTCTCTACTGTTTTAAACCTAGGTATTCTGCGAATATGTAACAGATTAGGAACTGAATAATTCTGAGAATGGCTTGTTAGAGTCTCTGTTCAACTCTTGGCTTACTCTATAATCTGAGACAAGTCTGTAAAATGTTCCTTATTTCTCAGACGAAGAGCCTCATCTCCACATCTGTTTGGGATCATAAGAAATAATACTTACATAACATTTTGGAATCCTTGAATGAAAAGTTTTTTGGAGTTGCTGACTGTTCCTAAAATTTCCTCAACTAACATTGTGGAAATCCATTGTTGTGGATATAGTTGCTGAGCTAGGTCATAACTAGATTGCAAATCTTGAGTAGTGGAAAAATCTACGCCTCGAAGTTCTGGTCATTTATTTTAAAAGCTATTCATTTATTCCTAGATGTTCATACTGTGAGCTTAGCCTGTTATCATTTTGGTTTACTTGCTAAATATTCACATTTGGGGTCTTCATCCTTACCCATTTAGGATTGTATCTATTGGCATATGCCATTGGATTTGTCTGAGTGAGGTCACCTGGAACACTAGTGTTCTGACATTGAGTTTACACTGCAGGGATGAGAGAAGTAAATATTCCTATTAGTCAGTAAGGTTTGAATTTATAGCCTGAGACTCCTCAGACACTGACTGTCTGGGACCCTTGGAGACAGACCAGCATTGAATGAAACTGAAAGGTAGAGAATATACTGTGGCTGGGAAAAGTGATGGAGCAAATCTATGCAGAGATACAATAGTAGGATATTTAAGAGTTGGAAGGGATATTAGAGGCCCTGTGGTCATACTTCATTTTTCAGTTGGGGAAACTGAGGCTTAAGGAGGTCACAGAATGAGTTAGTCACAGAGCTGGGTTAGAAGCTTACTTTAGTGTTTCACCAACTACTCAGATGTCTGCACTACTGAGATACATAGAGAAAGAGCGTCAGAGGAAGGATTAGGGTGTCCTCTAGACCTCATTACACTAATGCAGTCCCTGGTAGGATCTAAAGACGTACTTGTCTCCAAGACACCTGACAAGCTGAGAGTATTGATTCATTCTTTCCCAACTTGGGATTGCAATGGTGAAAGGAATTTGGCATTTTATCTAATCAGCATTGGAAACTTGGCTTTCTTTTGGAGAATTCAAAAGTTCAGTTTAGGATATGTTCACAAGATACTTTCCTCCAGAATTAGGTGGGAGATAAATTATTAAATTTATGAGACTTGTCTTTCTTTCTTTCTTTCTTTCTTTCTTTCTTTCTTTCTTTCTTTCTTCTTTCCTTTCTTCTTTCTTTTCATGTAGCATTTCTTTTTCACATTGTTTCTGATGACCCTTAACCCCTGCTTTTTAAATTCAGTTTCATTTGTGTTGTCACATATATATCAGTTGTTGAGTCTTTAGTATGCGGAGATGCTGAGCTTGCCCTTCCAAGATGTTGGAAGGTCAACTCACTTTATGGTCTAGGTCCAGGAAACAAGAATATTTCCAACTCGCTGGGGACCATCTTGGCCTTGAGCAGAAATGGGATCTGAATTATTACCTAAGAGACCTTTGTAGATTGTCACAGTTGGCAGCCTCAGGACTTGAGCTAATCCTGGAAATTCTTTAACTTCCCAGAAAGAAGGTTCCACAAGGGCAGGCTGAGGTCCTCAGAGAGAGCAGATGGAATAGAGCTTACAACCAGTTGCCTTTACAACTGGACTTGGAGATAAATAATAACATTATACCCATTTTTTTTTTATCATGAAGCCTTTGACTTTCAGGGGATATCTATTCTTTATTCCTTTTACCCTGTATGTGGAAAAAAAATGCTCTGTATGAAAGAAAAGCAAGCAAACTTGTTGACTCAGTTCCCATGGTGAATGCAAGGCAGACCAGGCCAATAGAAACAACTCAGATATTACAAAAATGTGTTTCTTTCTGGCAGCTGCACAGTCAGTCCTTTATATCCAGTCACTGCAATCGCCCCATCACACAAAACCATTTCCAAGGTCATTATTCTGGTTGCGGGGGCTGCTTCCCCTACAAATAAATGTTGGTTTTACTAAATGTCCTCTCTCTCCAACTCACTTTATGGCAAATGAGGAGTAGCAAAGCATCATTTAGGAAGAGAAAGTGTAGAAAATCAGAGAGATGAAATACTACAGGTTTTCTAAAGGCTCAGGTTTATCTGGCTCAAGCAATACAAATTACAAACTATGGCACCACCTGTATAATCTGGTTTTAATTAACTTGAGGAAGGTACATCAATGTTATTTCATTAAAATCAAATTCTGTTTAAATGGAAAACCACCACTACAGGGTACATTGGGGCATTGTTCACTTGGGTTTTGGGGTTGGCAAGTAAATCCTGTATTTAGAAAAACCCAAGCAAACCCTGTTTTTTTGGAATCTTCTTATGCTTCGGAAGGCTTGTCATAGGTTCCTTGGAATGTAGGGGGTGCCCTGGTGAGGACCAAGGCACAGCTCAAGATGTTGTTTGCCAATTCTTCCTTTTATGACCCTTCTAGTCTTCTGTCTTCCTGCTCCCTGCCTGTCTCCATATCTCTTTAGTGCTTGGCCTTGATGCCCTATAGGACTCTCTCTCCCATTTGCCACTTTGAACTGAATGATTTGATCCCCACTGGGTGGACAGTGGATGACATAGGGCACTCTATAAACAAAGATGCTATTTCAGGCTTACAAGAGGAATGAGGCCCACGTGATCACAAGGGGCTGGTGAATAATAGAACCCTCTTTTGAAACTCTCACTTCACCAATTACCTAAGAGCTGGGAGGAACCTGAAAGATCCTATAATCTACACACCTCCTTTTCCGAGGAGGACACTGAGATTCGGAGGTAAAGAAACTGGTCCATACTAGTGAAGGCTGTTTGAGTGGGGCCTCCCCATTTCGACTCATGCCCTTTCCCCTCCAGCCTGGTGCCCCAGTTCTGCAGACCTGTTGATTACAACACAGCCCACGCCGAGAAAATCCTGCCCTGTCAGCAGAACAGCTTTACAAGCTGACATAGGACATGTGTGTGTTTGGAGTCAGGAGAATGGCTGAGTTTTAGTTCCAGTTCTGCCTCTGCTTTGCTGGCTTCAGCGAGTCACTTCTCCTTCCTTTGTCTATTTCCCCTATTGGGAAGGAGAAGATAATTAACCTTTCCACCTATCAGGCTCACTTGAGTGTTATAAAGAATAATGAGGTGATATTTGTAAAGTGCTTTGAGCTGCTGGGAAAGAGGAGGGGGTGAGCTCCGTGGAAAACATTATTAGCTGGAAGGACTTATCAATTGAGCTATTTAACAATAGCAGAGAGTAAGGATACTCAGAAATGAATTCCAGGGACTAGCCCTGCTTTGAATTTAGGAGGAGGATTAGTGGGAACCTAATAGGTATTCCGCTTCTCCAGTTTCTTCAGTGCACCGTCAAACTAGGAAAGGTAATTACATTCTTCTATGTCGGATTCAGCCCGGAGTTTCAATTGGGATGTCAAAGTGTGCTTGTCCTCTATTCTCATACTGAGGCTGTGTTATGGTGTGATTGTTAAAGCCTTGGGCATCTTCTATCCCCTGGGGTAATTTCGCTTAGGAGCTATACAAAGTAATTTCTATGCAGTGGCTGGGCTGCTGTTTATAAGGTTGATTAGTAGAGCTTCTAAATCTAAAGCGCCTGGGGAGCAATTTGGTTGAAGCAGGGAAATAAAAGGCAAGGTCTTTATCATGGTTGATCTTTTTTTATTGAGCCGCTCCATGGGAATTTTCTCAGTGACTCAGATGCATCTACAGTGCAAAACGTGGGGCTTGGTGGCTCTTTGACATGGCAATGGAGGCCTAGCCCCAGGTAAAGGTGAACTTGCCAGGTCACTAAATATATTTAGGGCCCCCTTTTAACTTCCTTTACTCTCACAGAGGGTGATGTTTTTGGGGCCCTGAAATGTGTGGGAATGTTTCCAAAAGATTGTTCTGATGAGGGATCTGTTTCTGCAAACTCCTGCCCCACTGTTTGAAAGACCGTCTGCCCCAAATTCAGGTCTTTCTCATTTTTAGGGCCAGGGAAGAAGACAGAGGAAGAGAAGAACTGGGGGAATTTTGTTTTGAACTTGTGCAGTCTCTGTGGGCTGACTGAACAGTGAGCCAGGCAGAAGGTGGCTCCCTCTTTAGTCGGCAGGAGCAGGGCTGAATTTTATCAACATCTTCTGCAGGTGTAGGGAGAGGTCAAGATGTCATTTGGAATGATAATTTCTCTGATCAAAGTTAAGTTAAGGAAATTACAGTGATTGCATCTTTGTCCCCTAAAGTTTATGAGCCTCTTTGTAATCGCTGCTTCCGCAAACCCTTCCCCACCTTCCCAAGTTCTCAGGCCTCCATCTGCAGGGGCTGCTGGGCTTTTCCCTCCAGGAAGGACGGGCTCGCCAGCTGGCCAGAGGTTCCTGTATTAGTGCTGCCCTGTACTGACTTGTGAGTCTCCAGTAACAATCCTCCGGTGTGGCACAGCTACAAGCAATGACCAGGGAGGCCCACCTTGAATCCTGAACCTCTTTGGGGGCTGACTCAGTCCTCTGAAACTGACTCTTGGATTCCTTCCTGGGTTTGCCACCAACTCATTTTTGTTTTTCTCAGCAAATCACTTCTCTGCCTTGAGACTCCATGAAATAATATAAGGTTTCCTTGGCAGGATTCTCTGACCTTTTTCAGAGACCCAGATTTCTTGTTTATTTTAATTTGAATGTCTCAATCCTCTGAAAGCATTTGGAATATTTTCTTCATTTCCCTCTCCCAAGGTATCTACTTTATCCCAGACAGGGCTCCCCCAGTGGGTTTTGAGGGGAAGGATGCTGAGGCTTTGGGCCCGGGCTCCTGTCCTTTACTTCACCTCTGCCAGGGCAAAGACCAGCACTGGGCTGACCTCCCTGGGCTGGGCCAAAAGAGAAGGCTGTGGAAGCCGCACGTCTCCGATGCTGCCCACTGTCCTTTCCCTCTGCAGCCACAGCTGCCTCCAGCCCCCCTCACCCCCGCCTGCTCTTTTTCTCAGTGAGCCTCAGCGCCAGTGCCCCAGTGAGCTGCTGGGAACAGAGGTCCGTCCCCTGCACTGGCCTCGGCTCCCCGCACCAGAACATTCAGGCATCAATGGGAAACAGCAAGATCTGTCGGCATCCCCCCCTTTCTTCAGGCTTTGAGGGCCACATTCTCCACGGCCATCTGTTCCCTTTCACCTCTCTGGACAATGTTGCTTTTTAAAGCCAGCGATTCTTCCTCCTTTATCCCCTCCTCTCCCGCCTCCCCTTCTTCTGTGCTCCCACCCTTTCTACCTCTCCTCTCTTTGCCCGATTCCTATGAAATTAGCCTCTCTTAAGATAAGATTTGCCCTTCCTCCATACAAAGCTGTTTTGCAAACACTATGGGTTTTTGAATTTTTATTTTTACATTTTGTTTGAAGTGAGGGCTTGCTACTTTTAAAGTTTGTGATTGTCTTGTGGAGGGGGTAGTCTTTTGATAGGGATAGGAAGGGGGAGGATAGAAAAACTTTTTAGTCATGAAAAAAGAAAATACAGAATAATAATGAGTTTTAGGTTCCTGCTGGCAGGCACTTGCCTCTTTAAAGAAGGAATCCTCCCTTTCCTTTCCTTGATGATCAGTTTAAGGAAATTTTTATGCTCTCGAGGTCTTCCCACCTTTTATTGTATTACTATTTTGTTGTTGCTGCAATGTTGTTGTTGTGCTGTTTTTAATTTAGAGCCAGGGCTTCTGTGGATCTGGTACAGCGGATTCCTTTGTCTTGGACAGAGCCATATACAACTCCAGAGGTTCCTGGATTCAGGCAGAGTGCCCATGGTGCCTTCTAGATGAAGCAATCATCCTGACTCAAGGGCTGGACATCAAGGGGTGTTTGCCCCAGGACTGACCAGTGACTAAGTGTGTGACCTTGGGTACATCACTTTCTTTAAGAATAATGATGACAGAATCATTTACTTCAAAAAATTTTTAACACATGATTCTTCTGTTTTTACTATTACTTGGTTTCACAAGCAAGACGAGTCCGTGGTAATGTCATGAAAACTTATGGGTTATCCTTGGGTAAGGATGTACCAAGAATCCACCGTTAGGGTCTAGTTGAGCAGCAGACATGGGAAATATCTAAAACAAGGACGGACTCCTGGCTGTGGCTGCCTGTCAGGATCACAGAGCAGGGACACGGGCACCGGCAGAGTTGGGCTGACAGATTGAATCCTGTCTCTCCTACTTACTAGCTATACAGATATCAGTAAGGTTTTGTCATCTATAAAATAGGGGCAACACTAGAGATATACTTCGTATGGTCGTTGAGACAATTAAGAGATTTTTATCACGTAAAGCACTTGGAATAGTTTCTGGAACCTGGTCGGTACTATGTCGTTGTCCCTCTTCCTATCCCACATCCACATTACAGATGAAAACATGGGCTAACGGGTTTTCTGCAGGGCTCTTCTTAGTCTTTCACATTCACCTTCTGCTGGTTCATTTTTTCATTGCAGAGTGAACACTGATAAAATAAATAATGTAATTATCAGATTATAATGATGATTAACACAGCGATTCTATTTAGAAATGTCATAAAATAGTGAAACATCCTAAGATACAGAAAGATATATGATCATGTACTTCTGGCAAAGAAGGTGAACCAGATGTGGAGATGATAGTCATAGAAGGAAAGCCAGTCATGATTTTGGCAACTGGGATCACCTTACATATTTTCAGTTGGAGAAAACCTGGAGATTTATTTTTCTTTTGGTATCAATTTCTAGAAACCTGTCGTATGACTAAGAGTTTCCCAACAATAGGGAGAGAACATTATTAAAATATGCTTTTCTAGAAAGGCCCAAATGACTCTGAATAAGAAACTGAATATTATAATTTAATGAGGAAAAGAAAATGAATGGGATGTCCAGAAAATTGGGGCGGGGAGGGGGTAGTTTCCATGCATTTTCCCTCCTAGAAAGGGAGATTAATGGCCATTCTTGTAATATCTAAATGGCCAAAAGAAACAATGAAAAGAAAAATAATGAATCAGACTCTGGGGTTTAAATCCTGACTCTGCCACTTGCCAGGTGGCCTTGGGCAAATCACTTTCTTTGTAGCGCAGCTTCCTTCACTAGAAAATTGGTATGATAATGGTACCTCCCTCACAGAGATAATGTATGTAAGGTGTTTAGCCTGGAAAACAATAATTATCCCAAAGTGTTACCTCATAATTCTTTACTGTAATGTCTTATATCAACTGACATCTGAGATGTGGGACACATTACCCAAAGTTGGTAGTCTTGATCACTTTGCGGATGCTGGTCATTTGCAGTAAACCCATAGTTCTGTCTCATTTCTGGATAAGCATTGGCCTTCGAGGAAGAAGGAAATTGGTTTGCTTAAGAATTCATATTTTGCAGATGTGAACTGACTGGCTACTGACACCAAAACCAGTTCCCCCAATTAAAATAACCCTGCTAGCCTCAGCACATTTTGTTCATGAGCTCCCTCTCCCGCCATGAGGCGGCTGCCTGAAAGTACTTGACTGCCCTACCCTCCACTCCCCGGGGATTGGGACATGCTTGTGAAGAGATACTTGAGGAAGTTAAAGCAAGGTCATCTCCATTGCCTAAGCCCCACACCCTGGTAAACTGCACACTGTTTGGACCTTGAAACTTGTGAGCTGCGAATTCCTGTCATAAATGGAGTTTTCCTCCCTCCTGTGGCCCCAGTTTGTGGTGAGCCTTGTGTTGGCATGGTGGCCATGGGGACACCCCTCGTGTGTGTGTGTGTAGGCCCCCAAAAGGAGAAGTGTAGCAGCTTCCCTCAGCCTTGCCTCAGAAAGCCGGGTCCAGATGGCCAAGGAAGCACACTGCATTGAAGGAACTCTGCAGCCAGAGTGAATTTACCAGTGTGGGAAACAAAAACGTTCGGGTTCTGGTCTAAAATTCTGGGAGCAAAGGACACTGGGATTGCCTCCACCAAATGTCAACATTTTACTTCTTCCCCCACCCCCTTCTCAGAGCCTCGAGGGCAGCAAACATATGTGAGGCCAGCATTCCATTCCCTCCCACGCAGGAACATATGCTGATTCCTATCAGGATCCTCTGCTTCCCAAAGAGGCTGATGGAGATGGGGAGGGAGGAAAGCATAACCATAAATCCTCACACTCTGGGCAAGGTGATAATTGAAAGCATTCTCCACCATGACGTGCTCTCCAGTGCCAGGGCAGCAGGCAGCTGGGACAGCTAAAGCTGGGGAAGGCCTGGGCCGGGGCCCAGCTCTCCCTCTGACCAGGTGAATTTTGGTGGTCAAGTCACTTCTCTGCCTATGAAACGGGAATAAGGATTGTATCCATGTTGTGGGATCAAAGGAAGCACTTTAAGTCAAATTCATCAGATGCACTTAGGCACTCTGGAGTTTTCAAAGCACCTCAGCATTTCTGTCTTGTCTCACTTGATTCTTTTTGCTCCCCTACTTGCACTCTGTTCCTGCTGTCACTGAGGAAACACAGCAGAGTGTGAACTCTGAAAGCTGACCCTTGTTTGGTGTCTTGAAGCAATGCAGGTCAAGGAGCAAGACTGAGGAGGGGCCTTAATGAGGGTCTCTGAGTGAGGACCTGGGCCCGGTAACCAGCCCTGGCCTGTTTCATGCCCAGGCTATCAGCCGCCCCTCCTACCAAGTCTCTCTGAATTAATATTTTGGGTGTCTCCTCAGACAACAGCTCCAAGCAGATGAATTATGGCAGTTCTAAAGGGTATTTACATCTCTTCTCTCTATTCCTCTTGGGAAGCAGGGTGGGGGATTAAGTCAGTCTTAAAAACTGGCTAAAGGGCATTCTCCAGAATGATGTCTTCTGAGATTAAAAGGACACAGAGCCACATCACAAGATACTAGGTGGAGATTTTCTAATACAAATGCATGCATGATGGTACATGGACTGTCTGCGGGATCTGAGGAGTCTGTAATTGCAGGCAAAACAGCAAATGCCTAATACATGATTTTTTTTCAAATGTTAGCATATATTAGGATCATCTGAGAGAGGTTTTTGAAAATATGGACTCTTGGGCATCACCTCCAAAGATTCTGATTCATCAGGTTTGGGATGGGGCCTAGGATTCTGCATTTTACAAAGTTAACAGATGATTCTGATGTATAGAAACATATGAATGCCCTAGTAATTTCTCCAGAGATCCAATCCCATGTCTTGATTTTATATCAATGACCAAGTAATCTCTCTGGAAAGGCCAACCTACATTTTCCCACTAATTTTTTTGGGGGGGAAGGAGAGTTCAAACCTACAGAAAAGTTCCAAGAAAAGTATATTGAACTCCCCATATACCCTTTACCTGATTTTTTTTTGTGTTTTTTTTTTTTTTTGAGATGGAGTCTTACTGTGTCGCCCAGGCTGGAGTGCAGTGGCGCAATCTCGGCTCACTGCAAACTCCTCTTCCCGGGTTCACGCCATTCTCCTGCCTCAGCCTCCCGAGTAGCTGGGACTACAGGCACCCGCCACAATGCCCGGCTAATTTTTTAGTAGTTTTGGTAGAGATGGGGTTTCACCGTGTTAGCCAGGATGGCCTCCATCTCCTGACTTCATGATCCACCCGCCTTGGCCTCCCAAAGTGCCGGGATTACAGGCGTGAGCCACCAAGCCCAGCTCTTTACCTGATTTTTAACACTTTGCCTCATTTATT